>NC_000011.10:79237514-79540544 GCF_000001405.40 Homo sapiens
AAAAATACAAACATTAGCTGGGTGTGGTGGCAGGCACCTATAATCCCAGCTACTTGGGAGGCTGAGGCAGGAGAATCACTTGAACCTGGGAGGTGGAGGTTGCAGTGAGCCAAGTTCGTACCACTGCACTCCAGCCTGGGCAACAGAGCGAGACTCCGTCTCAAAAAAATAAAAAAATAAAGTAAGCACAAACAAATCAGTTGTGAGTGTGGGTTGAGAGGATTTCGTATCACAAAAATCTGAAGACTGCAGTGCACGGCCAAATAGAAATGTGTTTTGTCGGCTCAGAGGCTCTTTTTCGTTTCCTGCTTGGCTAGCTCTCTGCTGCATTCCAAATAGCTGAGGGACTTCCAGATAATCAAAGTTCTCTAACCATACACACTGTTAGTAACTCCTTTCAGCCCCCTTCCTGTCCAGATGTACAAAGAGAATAGCAAAGGGAAAAAAGCCCAACACTTCCTCGCTACAGCCACCGAGCTGCTAAATCTCAGCAGTTCTGAATCATCACATCTTGCATTTCTCATTAACTGCCCCTCATATGCAGCATTTTCAATTAAGCTGGGAGCACTGCTGTACTAATTATGTTATGATATTTGTCCCCGCAGATTAATATGCACTCACGGTTTGGGAGTGCTGTCTGAATTGTATTTCTCTATTTACCTGTAAGGAAGCCCTTCCTTGACTTGTCCAGCTGTCCTGGACTTGGGGACTCAGGGGGATGGGACCTGTGAGGGTTAATTTCATGTGTCAAGTTGACAGGGCTGAGGAATGCCCAGATATCTGGTTAAACATTATTTCTGGTTGTGTCTGTGAGGGTGTTTCTGGGAGAGATTGGAGACCCCCCTCAACAATGTGTGTGGGCAGCACTCCGATCCCTTGAGGACCTGAATAGAACAAAAAGGCAGAGGGAGGGTGAATTTGCTCTGTGCTTGTGCTGGGAGATCCATCTCCTCCTGCCTTTGGACATGAGAACTCCTGGTTCTCGAGCCTTTTGACTCAAACTGGGACATATTACACTGGCTCCCCTGGTTCTCAGGCCTTAGGGTTTGGGCCAGAACTACACCACTGGCTTTCCTGGGCCTCCTGGAAGGTGGCAGATCATGGGTCTTCCAAGCCCTCATAATTGCCAAACCTTCATAATAAATCTCTTTCTCTCTCTCTCTCTCTCTCCTGTTGGTTCTGTTTTTCTGAAGAACCCAGACTAATACAGGACTCAAGAATTAGGTGCAGGCCAGGCACAGTGGCTCACACCTGTAATCTAACACTTTGTGACGCTGAGGTGGGTGGATCACCATAGGTCAGGAGTTCAAGACCAGCTTGGCGATCGTGGTGAAACCCCGTTTCTCCTAAAAATACAAAAATTAGTTAGGTGTGGTGGCACATGCCTGTAATCCCAGGTATTCAGGAGGCTGAGGCATGAGAATCGCTTAAACCTGGAAGGCAGGGGTTGCAGTGAGCCAAAATTGTGCCATTCCACTCCAGCCTCAGTAACAGAGCAAGACTCTGTCTCAAACAAACAAACAAACAAACACGCAAAAAGAATTAGGTGCTCTCAGTTGAGCTCTGTCTGCAGAGACAGCTCTGGTTGCAGAAGGACATGATGCCATCAAGTCACAGGTGAAACATCACAGGGCCCTCTAGGTGGGGCCACATTTTATGTTTCCTCTGCACCTCCACAGAGCCTTGTGCTCATCAGATATGCTCAGTTAACACTTTCTCATCAAACCAGTCTTGAAAAGTCCTACTGAAGAAACACGACAGGAAGCAATATGCTTTTTATCAAAAATATGTCTCTCATCCACGAAAAATACAACCAGAAGGAAAAGGGAGTCATATTTGCTGCTGTATATTCTGAGTCAGACACTTCCAAAATACCTTGGCTCATTTAATCTTCCCAAGTATCTTGTGAGGCAGGTGTTACCCTCATTTTATAGATGAGATGAACTGAGGTTCAGGAAGGTTAATTGCAGAGTGTGGGACCAACTTAGGAGATGGCAGAGACCTGGATGCATGAACTCAAGGGCCCATGCTCTGTCCAGTGCACCATCATTCATTAACTCTGGGATGATGGTGCATTGATAGGGATGGTGCATCACAGAGAAATACAAGACATGTGTCCCTGTGCTCAAGAAGAACAAAAGAAACTAACAGTCGTTTGCTACTAATAATCACTAATCATTGACATTCATTCAGCACCTACTATTCCTGGGGCACTCTGCGGAGTGTTCTACATGTTTTGTTCTCATCCTAGACCTGTGGGCTAAACATCATTACCCCATCCCAGGAATGAGAAAACTGAGGCTTGGGCACTCAGGTATAAAAGATAGGAAAGACCACGCGCAGAGCTAAGGGACCACGTGACTTTGGGTAAGTCACTTCAGAACTCTCCAGGCCTGTTTCCTCCTTCAAAAGGTAAGAACAACCGATTGTTGCAGCAATCAAATGAGCAGACATATGTGACATTATACTGCTGATTATCAAAGCCTTTCCAAACGCAAGGTACTCGTCACAGAAAACTATGGTGGTAAAGTGCTCTAGAGCCAGGCTGCCTGAGTTTCGATCCTGGCTTTGCTATTTAATAGCTGTGTGACCCTGGGTGAGGCACTCTCTGTGACTGGCTTTAGCTTAGTTTCCTTGTCCCTCAGGAGGGTGATAACAGCACCTACCTCACAGGGTCATTATGAGGACTGAATGACTGCTGCCCATAGAATTTAATGCTGCTGTGCCTAAGTCAAGAAGCAACAATGGGACTTGTGGATTCTCAGCACTTCCATGACATGGACTCTACCCTAACATTGGCTGGGCAATGTTATAACTTATAAACTTATAAGTTTATAAGTCCATCCCTTGATTTTAACAGGTCTGAGCAATAATGTGGAAAGGCTACTGGTAGCCACTGCCAATAAATCAAATCCATCATAGGCCACCTCCTCCAGAAAGCCCACCTGGACTATGCTGTCTTATTGTGACTACTTCCTTGGCTGAATTTCTATGGGATTTGAAATTCAGAGAAATTAAGTAACTCATCCAAGGTCACACAACTAATAAATGGTAAACTGGTTTACCATTTAGTAACCAGGTTACTAGTAACCATTTACTGGTAAATGGTAAAGCAGGATTTCAGTCCGGCCATCTGACCCCAACGCTTGTCTGCTATGCAAGCATGGGAATCTTATGTTTTTTGCTACCTGGAAAGTTTCAGCATTGAATCATCTTAGCCTGGGGTCTTTTAAAAATAAATGATTCCATTAAAACCTTTCTCAACGGGCCCTTTGCATATAATTTTTTTTCTTTCAAGTTTTTCTACTTTTTTGGGAGTCAGTTTGACTAATTTTCATTTTCCCGGAAAATCACCTATCTTGCAGAGATTTTCAGATGTATTAGAGTACCACAGCACCTTGTATTGGTGCAATTTTAAATCACATCAGTTGCTTTATTTCTTTTTTCATATATTCTCTTCATTTTAATATTAGAAGTCTTCCAGCGCTGTATTTATTTTGCAGCATACAGAGCAATAAGAAGCACACACACAAAGTAGTTTTAAAATGCTGGCCCCAGTGATGCTGAGTGGCTTGAAAAGAAGGCAGAATGTATCTTTGATAAAGCACTCTTTTTTTTTTCAAGGAAAAATACCATGATGAGTTTGTTTGGATATGAAAGGGAAGGCCTCCTGGGTTTAGACAAAGAAGAGTTATGTTGTTCTATCTAAGAAAGCAATGAATGAATCTGACAGTAGACTGCTGGAAGAGGGGTTTTGTGTGTGGGAGGGAGAAACCTAAAAGGAGGAAGACAGGGAAGGAGGGCCAGGCAGCAAGGTGGCAAGCAGGGACGGGCTGGCAGTGTGACTTGGAGAGAGTGGGAGGGCCTCAGCATCCTGTAGCCTGTGTGTTGGGGCCTGCATGGCTGGCTTTTAACATTAAGAGAATTCGTCACTCTGAAGTTGGAGGGGACCCCGATGAGACCATCAGGCTCACTCCCAAAATCATAGGAGCTGCACATGCCAGCAGAAGGAAGAATGTTTGAGTCTGCCACACTCTAAAGTGAGGCTTGATAGTACTTAAATCACAGAGTCGTCATGGGAATTAAACAAGGTAAAGCACTTTAGAGACTTAGCATGGTGCCCACTCATTGTAGCCTGTCACTACACGCAGCATGCATTTGTGCAGAGGGACAGAATCAATGATGATGTGTTCACATGTGAGCGTGTGTGTGTGTGTGCATGTGTATGGTGGGGGGCGGAGGTTGGTAGGGTTAAGGAGTGAATGCTCAGCCACCAGCCTTAAGAATCCCCTCAAGCCCAGATAGTCTCAAATCAACCCCCACTCATCCCTGAGCTGGTAAAAAACTAGCAAGGGGGCGGCAGGACCCTGGAGTCTTATATGGAAGGTGGCAGGTGGAATCCGGAACAGAGAAGTAACTCCAGTTAGCTCCTCTGTGACCTGGGATTGTGCAGAGTCTCTTTGGCAGCCCAGCCATAAGGCAACCAGCCCGAATTTCATTTCTGATCCTTGCATTTGGGCCCCATCTCAATTAAGATCAGTTAGAAGTCAATTTCACAGTGGCTGGTTTTTTAAGATCCCTGAAAAATGATAAGCTGGAAGCAGGCGATCGCTTCTTTTAGGAGCAGAGGCCTTCCTCGACAGGGGCTCAGATGCTTTATTTATTTTGATTTGATTTTAATTTGGTAAATAACGTTTATTTAATTTTTTCTCTGATTTCAAAAGCAATGCATGTTCAGGAGGGAAAAACAGCTGTCATATCCCTCGCCAGGCCTCAGACTAATGGTGATGTTTTTTTCCTTCATTGCCTGTGAGGCTTAAATAAATACCCAACACCGATGACCAATAGTTTCCAAATATAGAAAAAAATAAAAATAAAAAACCAGAAAGGTGGAAAGAAAAGAAGAAAAATCATCCGCAATCCTACCACTCAGAGACAACTACCGTTAACAGTTTGTGTGTGTGTTTTTCCTTCCTGTTATTTTTCTGTAACTGTTTTACATGGCTGAGATCACACCGTGTGTGATTTTACATCTTGCAAAAGACAGGGTATAAAATCACCATAAGCATACCATAAGCATTTCCCCATGTCATTAAAAGCTCTATAAACATCATTTTTAACGGCTACAAAATATTCCACTCTATGAATGAACCATAATTTACCTAACCAATTCCCTAAAGTGGAGCATTTAGTGGTTTCCAATTTTTCACTCACATAAATAAAGCTATAGTGAACACCCGTGTGGATTCATTTTTGTCTGCATTTCATATTATTTTCTTAGGACAGATTCCCAGAAGCAGAATTACTGGGTCAAGGCATGTAGACTTTTTTGAGGCTCTTGAGTCTTATTGCCAAACTTTAGTTCCCAAATCTGCCCCTTCCACAGTGTGTGAGGTATCCCTCCATGCAGGCCTTGATCTGATGCATTTTTAAACTCTGTACCCTGGGGAGGGAGATTGCCACTTGTTCGGGGCCTGGGGGCTAGGAAGGGTTTTCATTCCTCTAGTGCCCCTTGGGAGCTCCAGGAAGGGTCAGTGGATTTCCATCCCCCTTTCTGCTCCCCTCCCCTTGTCTGGGGCTCCACTTTTGTTCCTGGCTTCAGTGACTTTCATCGGGGCACTGAGGGGGGCCTTGTGTGCTCCTTGTCCCCATCACAAATTCATGACACGGTAGGAGGCAGGGAACAGGGGAGGAGGTGTCTGTGTTTCGGGGGTCATTTTTAGCACTTTTCAGTCATTTATCAGACTCCAGGTATTGTGTTTTCTCCTTTTGTGAGGCACCACGGTGTGCATGGGCTGTCTTGTCGTTGTACTCGGACACATCTCGGCACAGTGGATTTTGCGGTCCATTTTGAATGGCACTGGAGCAACTCTCTTTCTGAATTTGTGCTATAAAGTCACTGGATGTGCCCCAATCAGAGGGCAATGCTGAATTTAAACAAACAAACAAAAAATGAAACACTTCAAAGGGGAAACCCTGTGAGCTTTCCAAGAGTAAAACAGAAAATGACAACAAAACGCTGCAGGGGATATTGAATCATGAGAATCAAACAGAAACACAAGAGGAGGGAGGGCTGCAAGAACACAGCCACTGTCTCCAGGGTGGGCCAGTGTCAGAGGGGGCAGAAGGTCACCCGCTCACCAGGGACAGGCAGGAAGAACAGTGCCGAGAGCCTCCCGTGGAGCCGGGACTGTGGGAGGCATTTTCCTAAACCAGGAGAGCAAATATTTCCAATGCACTAATGCAGGGCGCTAACCAAGACGCTGAGGCTCAGATAAGTCATGTGCCAGCCAAGAGCAGGCGGCAACTGAGAGGCAGAGCAAGGACTCAACTCAGGACCAGAGGTGGCCCATGTCCCGCGGTGCCTACAGCAGTGTTCCTCAAAGTTAATGTGGACGAGATTCAACTGGGAGTCTTGTTAAAATGCAGACTGTGATCCAGCAGGCCTTGGGTGGAGCCTGAGAGTGCATTTCCAACAAGCTCCCGTGATGCTGATGCTCCCGGTCCCAGGACCGCCCTTTGAGCAAGTCCTACGATCAGTGGTTCTTAAACCTTAGCAAGCAACAGAATCGCCCTGGAGAGCCCCTTAGAACACAAGTTGCTGGGTCCCACCCCCAGAGTTTGTGACTCAGAAGGTGTTGGATGGGCCTGAGAACTTGCATTTTATAAAAGTCCCAGGTGAGGCTAATGCTCCTGGCTCGGGGAAAATGTTCCAAGAATCATTGCCCTACTAGACTGTGGCTCCACCGGGGGTGAGCAGGGAGCAGTTCTCGGCCTGCTCCAGTGCTGCTGCTTAGGCCTTTCTGTGTTCTGAAGAAGGAGTTAGGGCCTTGTTCTTGAGAGGGTCTGGAAGTGGGATTGTTCTTGTCCAGAGACCCTCATCTTTTGGATGTGGCATTAGGAGGGACAGGGCTGTATGTGTCTATGTGTGTGTGTGTGTGTGTGTCTGTGTGGTGTGACGAGTCTCCAAAGCCCTTTTAATCTCCGTGCAGAACCAGGTGGTGATAGGAGAGGCCAGAGAATTTCTCAAGCAGCTTGAGGACTCACCCATAAAAAAGCCGCTTGCAGTACATCAGTTATATTATGTTGTCGAACAGAGCTTCCTGCTTGTTGGGTCTTGGAGTTTAATAAAAAAATATATTATGACTCAGTCCAAACTTACAAAAGTCCTTGGGGAATCTGAAATGAATCATGTTAAGCTCTTGTTATAAAACAAACAGTCATTTCTTTCACAAGCCTGTATCCACAGCAGACTAGCTGTAGAGGTGGGAGAAAGGGAAGGTGGGGAAAAGACTCAGGGCAAGGGGTGAAATTTTTGCCCGGAGTTTTCTTAAACAACCAGAGACCTTCAGGCTGAAGGAAGACAGAGCCCAAAGAGGCTGTGTGTGGGGGAAAATGCTTCTTTAATGGTGGGCTCACCCTCTAACAGCAGAAGGTAGCTAAGGAAGTAAGGATTTAGAGGTTACCTCCTTCAGAAAGCCTTCCTTGATTTCTCCAGGAAGAATGGCTCTAAACTTCACAGCCCTTTATCTTTGTCACTGAGCACAGAAACCCAGCTCTGTACATGCCAACTGTTTATGGCCATGGTGCTCTCCTACTGGACTGAATCTTCTGAGCTGACTGAATGCAGGCACACCTTATCTCCCAAGTTGCCATCCTGCACGTGGAAGCCTCTGAGAGGTAGCAGAAGCCCTGCAGCCATTGCATGTTTGATTGACTGACTGACTTGACAAAGTTTCTCAGTCTCCCTATCTTTCTTCTCATACTGAAGGAAGAAACTTCATATGTTGTCAGAGCCCAGATTACAGTAACAAAACTTGAACTAGGACGTGGATCAGTGTGCAGTTGTCAATAGGGCATTAGCCAGCATCAAAATACATTTTTTCATGTAGAGTCCTGGCTGGGTGCCCTCCCTAGAGGGAAAAGTGAGCATATCATCCCTGGCTCCACTACCTACTTAACTGGGGGACCTCAGACTGTCACTTTCCTTCTCTGTGCCTTAGTTTCTTCACCTGAAAAGCAGGGATAATAATGGAACCAACATTGTGGCATTTTGAAAAGGTTAAATGAGATGTCACGTGAAAAGTACCTAGCATATAACACTTTATAGAAAAAGAAAGGAAGATAGAAAAAGAAAACAATTGGCCGGGTGCAGTGGCTCACGCTCGTAATCCCAGCACTTTGGGAGGCTGAGGTGGGCAGATCACCTGAGGTCAGGAGTTCGAGACCAGCCTGGCCAACATGGTGAAACCCTGTCTCTAATACAAATACAAAAATTAGCCAGCCATGGTGACGGGTACCTGTAATCCCAGCTACTCGGGAGGTTGAGACAGGAGAATTGCTTGAACCAGGGAAGCGGAGTTTGCAGTGAGCTGAGATTGTGCCACTGCACTCCAGCCTGAGTGACAGAGAAAGACTTTGTCTAAAAAAAAAAAAAAAAAAAAAAAAGAAAAGAAAAGGAAAGCAAAACAGGAGATCCTAAATCTAAAAGAGAGAGTGAGTGAGAGAGAAAAAGAGAGAGAGAAAGACAAACAGCGCAAGTGGTAACGTCCTCATATAATTTCAGGCTGAAATTCCAGGATATATGCACTGAAAGGGGAAATGAGGGGGCCAGAAGCATGGCCTACATTTATAGAGTGCTCAATAAGTGTTAGCTGTTATTAAGAACCTATTCTGTGCTAGATATATGCTAAGCACATAAACGTCATTTCACTCCATCTTTATAAAACCTTGGGATATGACTTATTTCTCAGATTTTATAGGTGAGGAAACTGGGGCCTCCCTAGACCAGACTGGCAGAGTTGTTTCCTTACAGCATAAGTTAATGAAAAGACAAGTCAGCAAACTTTGGAAAATAATTTGGCATTATCTAGTAAAGCTAGAGATACCAGGCCTATGAACCTCTAATTCCTTTCTGAGGTATATACCCAACACATCAGCATTCTCAAAAGACTTGTACAAAAATGTCCATAGCACCATCATTTGTAACAGTCAAACACGGGAAATAACCCAAACCCCTCTTAACAGTAGAATCGATAACTTCTGGATACCTGGATGATGGGGTATCACAAAGGAACACACTGGAACTATCCACAATTTGGATGACTCTTAAAAAGATGACATTGAGCAAAGAGGGTCAGATACAGAGAGATATGTATTGGATGATTCTATTTGTATGAAAAATGAAAACAGGCAAAACAGCTGGGTTGTCTGGATACATATACTTAGATGCCAAACAATAAAGGAAAGGAATGATGAGGTTCTCCACGACATGAGTGTGTTACTACGAGGTGGAGGTGAGGGAAGAGGGAGAGGGTTGTTTCTTGGGAGGAGCCCAAGAAAGCTTTGGGAATATTACCGGTGTTCTATTTTTTGCCCTGAGTAGTGGTAACATGATGTTCACATTGCAATTATTTGTTGGACAGTACATGTATGTGTTGTGCCCTTTTCTGGATGAATATTGTATTTCTCAAAAAAAAAAAAACACCCCCCCACCCCCAAAACAAAACCAAAATGATAAGGCTTCTCTTCTAGAGGGAACTCCTGAATATCCCCAGAGTCTA
Source organism: Homo sapiens (assembly GCF_000001405.40). NCBI lineage: Eukaryota > Metazoa > Chordata > Mammalia > Primates > Hominidae > Homo > Homo sapiens. Next base: position 79,247,078 of record NC_000011.10, read on the forward strand.
AAGCTGAGACAATTAAGAACAGGACAGATGGAATTCAGTGTATAAGAAGAATATGCTGGCCAGGTGCGGTGTCTCACGCCTGTAATCCCAGCATTTTGGGAGGTTAAGGTGGGCAGATTACCTGAGGTCAGGAGATTGAGACCAGCCTGGCCAACATGGTGAAACCCCATCTCTACTAAAAATACAAAAATTAGCCGGGCATGGTGGCAAGTGCCTGTGATCCCAGCCACTCAGGAGGCTGAGGCAGGAGAATCGCTTGAATCTGGGAGGCGGAAGTTGCAGTGAGCTGAGATCACGCCACTGCATTCCAGCCTGCCCAAAAGAGTGAGACTCTGTCTCAAAAAAAAAAAAAAAAAAAAAAAGAAGAAGAAGAACGTGCTGATTCCAGGCCTTGTGCAATGACCTGGAGGCGGGGCCTTCCCTTTTCGACTGCAGAAAGGGTCTTCATCCACAGCCACTGCCTATTGAGGACCCAGCAGTTCCAGACCCCGTGTTGGGAGTTTACCTTCATTATCCCTATTCCTCACAACAGCACTGCAATGCAACCATTAATAATTTATTCTACAGCAACAGAAATATGTGAACATCCTCAAGGGCTCCCAGCCAGGAAGTGATGGAACTGGCATTTTACCCATGTCTGTCCCAGGACAGTGCTGCTAGTGACTACATGCTCTCCTTCTATACTAGACTTACCTTCTGCAGTAAGGTTTTTTAAAACCAAAAGACAACTCAGTTGAAGGAATTTTCTGGACTTCCAAAGCATTTGAGCACTGCCTTAGAGTTATATGTTCTTTCCTCTGCTGTTTTTACAGGAGAAGGAGAAACCGGGGGAAACTGAGGTAAAGGGCAATACACATAGAGTAGCCCTTGCCTGTGGCCAGATCTTTGTAGGAGGGCATGGAAGCCCTGTCTACCCTGATGGCTTGTCCTCTGGTCCCTTATAAACACGCAGGGCTGGCCATCCATCTGGTGGAAGGTGGAAGAGCCCAAGATGACGTGGCTCATTGGGAGCTTTGTGGTGGCCTGCCTTAACTTAATGTCCCCATGTGTCCTCAGCTCCTCTGAGGCTCAGGCCCCTCAGAATGAAGAGACTGCGACTACCTTCAGAAGTAGGTGAGATACCTGCGCAAAGCTCCCCACAAGGTACCTGGCACAGGCAAGGCATGGGATACATACAGAGTGTTCACTCAATGGCCTACATGATTCAGGAGTTAGAAAAGAGGTCCTGCAAACCTCTCCTTCCTGAAGGTTCACACAGTTCTGGGCATTAGAGTGAGTGAACCCCTTCCTTGTTGGCTAGGGACCACAGTATTACAGAGTTCCCATTAGTGCCAGAAAGCAACATTTTGCTGGCCACACAGAGTAAATGTATGGAGAATCTTTCATAAGTGTCCCCCACACTTTGGGGAACGTCTATTTTGGGCATCTCAACTGTGTCGGTAATTTCATCCCTAAAGTCATTTTGCACATCTTCCCAAGGATTCAAAAATAAAACTCTGTCCCATAAAGGCAGTAAAAGGATTTTCAGGGGGAAAAAGTCTTCAAATACTATTTTTAAAAAACCATACACACCTTTCTGCCTTCTCCTCCTGCATCTTCACAAGAGACCTTTGAGTTATGAAGTGCACTTAACACCATTAATTGCCATGGAAACTACAGCATCTTCTGCTCGATATGGTCAACTTTTTCTGCAGAGACTTTTTTTTCCCCTAGCAGAGACTTTGAATAATGGGCTGTTTTTGCTCCATTTGAGGGAAGACAAAGCTTCCCTCCCCCACCCATTCCTTGTAATGTGTTACTTCCTCTGGCCACATTAGTGACAGCAGACACTGGTTACCAGGTTTCTAGAAGGCCAGGAAAGAGGAAGAGGAAGAGAGGAAGAAGAATATTTTCTGAATTTCAGCTTTCCGATGACACTACCTGTGGGATCCAGGTGTTTTCACCTGATCTTCAGCAATAATTTGGTCTTCAATTTTTATTTAGCATCATTGACACAACCCTAGTAGCATGCAGTAACAATTACTAATAATTCTTATTTGTTTGAGTGCTTACAATAAAAAATAATAGCTTTTATCTAGTACTTACTACCTACAGGGACTATTCTAAGTGCACTGTATGTGTTAACTTATTAAATCCTCACATAAACTATAGAGATATTCATCATTCCCATTCTGCAGGTGAGGAAACTGAGGCACAGAAATATTTAACCTACCTACCCATGGGCACAGAGCTAGTAAGCACAAAAGCCGAGATTTGAACATAGGTCCCTGTAATTCCAAATCTAGCCCATGCATTTTCCATCATGCTTCTAGTCTACCTTTTAAAAGGTATGACAGCATAACCCCTCACCAGCAAGTAAATCATTAATGAATAGATTGAATCATAAATATTTATTAGGCCTCTGCTATGTGTCAGGGACAGTGCTGGGTTCTATTTCAAATTCATTTACCCACCAAACTCAGCCATCTGAAACTTTTCTGAGAAACAGGAATTATGCCAAAAAGCCTCTCAGCAACCCAAAGGTATCGCAATATTCACACGCAGTATTTATGTGAGAAATACTACACCAACTCCTTTACTTTCTCTATACACAATGTTAATAAGCTGGTCATTTAAAACCAGACACTTGGATTTGAATTCCAGATCTGTCACTCCCTAGCTATGTGGCCTTGGGATTTATCTAACAACTCTCTGCTGGTTTCCCCATATTTAAAATAGGAGCAATCTCAGGAAGTTTTGAAGATTAAGTCAGAAGATGTATGTCAGGTGACTATTCCAGTAACTGGCACCAAATAGGAGCTGAACAGGCAATTTCTATGAGCAGTAGTGGCGGCATTACTCATTTATTACGTAAACTTTTATTGTGCATCAGTGATTCCCAGCACACTGCCTATTTGTGCCCTGCACTAATTTTCTTTTCTTTTTTTAGATGGAGTCTTGCTCTGTTGCCCAGGCTGGAGTGCAATGGCGTGATCTCAGCTCACTTCAACCTCTGTCTCCCCTGTTCAAGCAACTCTCCTGCCTCAGCCTCTTGAGTAGCTGGGATTACAGGTGAGCACCACCATGCCCGGCTGATTTTTTGTATTTTTAGTAGAGACAGGTTTTCACCATGTTGGCCAGGCTGGTCTCAAACTTCTGGTCTCAAGTGATCTGCCTGCCTCAGTCTCCCAAAGTGCTGGGATTACAGGCGTGAGCCACCACGCCTGGCCGGCACTAATTTTCTTTTAACAGAGTGCCTAGAAATTCAATTGTGAGGCTAAATGAGATAATCCACATATAAGGCAAAGCAGGATGCCAGGCTCAGGTCAGGCATAGGTAGGAAGTGGCAGAGCTAGAATTTGAACACACATCTAGTGACTTTGAATCCTGCACCTGGGAATGATTAGACTGAAGGCATTTGTCCCAAATGGGGAAGAAAGCCACACATTCTCAATCACTGAAGGCCAACCCCACTGTTCTATGCACCTTTTTAAGAAAATATTTCAAAAGTTCTGCTGTAACTTTTGCTATTCTAATGGAGGATGCCTGGTTTCCAGGCCTTAAAAAAAGGAGCGATCCTAGCAAATATTGCCTTCTATTAACCCAACATTAGACACAATTCAATGTCTTAATGGCATTTATAATCATCCCATGCTTCTAGTTAAAAATTAATAATTGAAATTCTGATGATCACAGATGTCCACGGAAGGCAAATTTAGACAACAACTTGCTAGGCGAAGCTTAAACTTTCAATTGCTTTTTAAATCAAATAGGTGTCTGGCTATACAATTACTTCACAAACATGCATTTCTTTGGGCTGTATCCTTGAAAGAGGTTTAAAATGAAAGGATCCACTAGTGGTGCTTCAAGAAGCTATAAGTGTTGAACTTCTGTTTCTGGCAACATAGTAGACTGGTTTTATGGATCTCTCTTCCCACCAAAACTATATAGAAATGTGGTTCAAAATGAATTGGGAAAAAAAGCAATTAAGAAACATTTAACCAAAGCTTTAAGTGAAAGAGCTGAAGACATAGTAGGCCAGAAGTATATGAGACACAGGCACACGTCTTAATAGCTAGAGGCTAGAGTTTTAACATCCACGTGGGGGAAAAAAGATGTAGCTCTGGGCCATGTGAGGCAGAGTTGAAACTAAGCTCTGACACCCTGAATAAGGTCTGGACCTTGGAAGGGTTTCCTCCCTCCATGTATGAGATGTTTGCCCATCCAGCTGCATAGGAAACCAAGAAGCTTCATTCTGCTCAGGGCTTTGGACAGAAAAATAAATAGCCTATGATGTATAAAAACTCAAACCTGCACCACATGCAAGCATGAAGTTCAAATTTATATCACCCGTGGGTTGCTAAAATCCTAAACCAAGAAATTAATGTAAAAACTGTCCTAGGACAAGTAGGACCTCTAAGTTGCTTGCTCAAATCAGGCACGAAATAGCTCTTTAGACTCTGTAGGGTCACTTTTATCACCTTGAATGCAGGGAAATCCCACTGGAAAAATAAAACAATATCACAAACTACATCACCTGAAAATGAGATTACAAAAAAATTAGAAATCACCCAAGAAAACACTCTACCAGCAGAGCAACAAGAAGGTTTGACACCCTTGACATACTAAAATACTCTGATAGATTATACATGTATTTAAATTACTAAAAAGATAAAGGAATAAAAATCATGTTAAAATAATAAAATTATGAGAAAATATAAGCTTGAAAAATAAGCAAATAAAACTCGAAAAAATGAAAAAAAAACATTATCACTAAAATTAAAATTCAGAAGCTGAATGAAACAGCAGATTAAGTACAGCTAAAGAGATATTTAGTAAAATAAAAAATAGACTTGAGGAAATTTCCCATAATGCAGCACAGGGAACTAGATGGAAAATATGACTGATCTGTCAAAACAAAAGAGGGCAAATCAGAAGATCTAACATACAACTAATGGAAATTTCAAAAGGAGAAAATGAGGGAGAGGAAACAAAACTATGGAATAAAAAGGGCAAAGAAAAAATTGTAAAAGCTCTCGGAGTGTTGGTTTTCTTTTGCTTTCTGAAGGTGGCCAATCTTTGGAAGGCTGAGGAATTATGAAATAAACAGAATCTGTGAATTGAAAGCAGCACACGGTTTAACAGTCATCCCTGGGGAAAAGGATGCTGCGAAGAAGTTCTCTCTTTTTCTTTTTTGAGACTGAGTCTTGCTCTGTCGCCCAGGCTGGAGTGCAGTGGCGCGATCTTGGCTCACTGCAAGCTCTGCCTCCCGCGTTCACGCCATTCTCCTGCTTCAGCCTTCCGAGTAGCTGGGATTACAGGCGCTCACCACCACACCCGGCTAATTTTTCTTTTTTTGTTAAGTAGAGATGGGGTTTCACTATGTTGATCAGGCTGGCCTCGAACTCCTGACCTCGTGATCCGCCCGCCTCGGCCTCCCAAAGTGCTGGGATTACAGGCGTGAGCCACTGCGCCTGGCTGAAGCAGTTCTACTCTCTAGTTTGTCGGCCAGAAAACTAGGGCAACTACTGGGTGCTGTGAACTATCTATAGTGGAAGATTGAATCATTGCTCCTAATTCTTCACCCTTCTCCTCGTGCCCTTTGCCCTGGACTTTTCAGTACTTCCTACTACAGGTGGAGTGCATTTCCCTACCCACTAGGGAGCTTGACCTCTCCCTTCTGCTGCCATGAAAAGAATGTGCCCCAGCTCTCCTGTGGGTCCAAGGAGGATGAGAGACTCATGGAGCAGACCCGGATCCACCTGCTGATTGGAGTTAAACCCCCCAGAGCCCAGTTTAGATCAGCTGACCCCAGCTCACTCCCAGACAGACGAGTAAGAGTCAATGATTGTTTTAAGCTACTGAATTTTCAAGTGGCTTGTTAATGCAGCATGATTGTGACAGTACAGTTGCTTAATACATATATTATATCAACAGATTTTAGAATTCTGAGATAGACATTGTTACCTCCATTTTACGGTGAAGAAAAGACAAAGGCTCCAAGAAGGAATGCAACTTACCCAGTGTCACACGAAAGTAAACTCAACAACTAAGGCTTATTCTGTCTGTGAAGCCCCAACTTTTAACTTCTGTACCAAATTGCTTCTCAGCAAATGCTTGTTGGATTAATGGATGAACAGACAAAGGAATAACAGCCCATCCACTGGGGCCAAAAACATAAACTGCACTCACTCAAACTCACACTCAGGGCCTGACCACCGTAAGGCCTGAGCAAACTCATCAATGTTCCCAAAGAGGCTATTTTCCTTTTATGAGGTGTCTGCTGCACAAAGAGCTTGCCGGGAAAACAAATCCCCTTCATGCCAGGAAACAAACAAACACTGCACTGGAGTGGAAAATAATCGCAGCCTGTCAGACTCCTTGGCATGCTGATGATCTTCATGGTCCAGCAGATGATGTCAAGGATGTGACCTCCGGAGGCTCACAATAGGCAGTCGAGGAAGCCCTCATCTAAATGGATGACACAGAGTCCCACAGCTGATCCGCGTCTTAGTGCCTGGTACTTTAGCAGCTGCTGGGGAACTGTCTGATTGGTACAGCTTCTCCTCTGAACCGATGGGATCCTAAATAATTAATCGCCCTGTTTTCTGTGGGGTGGGAATGGGCAGACCGTCCAAGAGGCTACAGAGGTTTCCCTGTTTAAGTAAGAGAGGATGAAGACGTTTAGACCTTCATCCCTCCCCATTTGATTCAGAATCTCAAAATAAACTGAAATAAAATCGATGATGAACTTCTTTTGGTTTCATAAAAGTACCAAACTTATCTCCAATCCAGTAGAAAAAAATAGACAAAGAATATGAATATTCTATTTACAGAAGAACAAATACGAACAGCTAGTAAACATATGAAAAGACACTTGGTCACACTGATAGTTAAAGAAATGCAGATCAAAACAACAGTGAAATTACATTCTTTTCCCTATCAGGTTGGTGAAAATGGAAAAGCTTGATAATTTTCCAGTGTTTACCCACAGGAAAGGGGCATCCTCATATGCTGTCGATGGGAGTGTCCACTGGTGAAACTATTTTGTAGGTCAATTTGGCAATCAATACCTATCAAAATTTAAAACTTTTTGGCTCATTTATTCTATTATTAGAAATTTACTCTCCACTTACACCCATCCCCCAAAACATGCCAAGATAGGCATATGTCACAGCAAAAAACTAGAAAAACGTAAGTGTCTTTGAGCAGAGACTGAGGTAAACGATGTATGGCACATTCAACAATGGAAAAATATGCAGCAGTTAACAAGAGTAATTAGTTTTGTAAGGACTGATAGTGAAACACCTCCTAGGTACGTTGTCAAAGGGAAAACCCAAGAACAGAGGATAAATGGGCTCTTTGGTATAAATAAAATATGAGCCTACACTTTCTTTTACGGAAGAATAGCAGAAAACTCTTTTGCTGTGGCCACCCTTGGAGAGAGGCAGCTAAGGAGCTAAGACAAGTCACGCGTTCTTTTCTGACTTTCTGGACTCTGTACTTTCTGATCATGCACATCCAATTTTTTAAAGTCAACAGGAGTTACTGGGGCAATGAGATTAAAGGCCATTTTGTTTTCCTTACCCTTGCACACATCAAAAATCACTTATATTAAGTGCTGCAACTGACTATAATATTGTGTTAATATTATATAATGTGTTCAATGCCACGCTGGTGAGGTGAGAGTGGAGGAGAGTCACATACACAAGCAGCTGGTGTACAGGAAAGGATCTGGAAGGAAAGATAGTGTCAATCACCCCAGTGGGTTTATTTGACAAGCTTGAGTTGTTCTTCCCTGGGAATAATCAGAAAAATAAGAAACTGGGGCTTGGGAGGTGGAAGGAGACAGTGGAGGTCGGGTAGAATAGAAGCTTTTCCATGCATCCTTGAGAGCCATGGAGGGGACAAAGGAAAAGTCTTCCCAGTTCTGGAAGGGCGTCATATGCCTTGCAGATGATGGGAAGCCCAAAGTGAGAGGGTCCCACTGGGCTTGTGGGGGCATGGGCAGCAGCCCCGCTGGGTGACCAGAAAGGTCTGGAATTCACCGCAGAATTGGGGGCGTGGTGCAAATCTCCCCACAGTTAGGGAGGTTGAAGAGGAAAAATAAAGATGCCTATTTTTCCATCTCAAGTGTCCAAGTTTATTTTCCTGTGGGACTAAGCTGCAGAGTACAGGTGACCCCTCTGTCTCCTTTACACTCTGCACCCAGCATGGTGCCCAGTGCACAGAAGGACCTGTGTGTGAAATGCATGGGATGCTGACACAGTCTTTTCAGTCCGGCCTCTCATGTTCCTAACGCCTCCGTGTCTTACATAGATCCCTGCAAGCCTGCAGCCAGGTATCCTTTAGAGCCTAGAGTCGGCTGGCAGAAGATATTTATACATGCAAAGAAGCTCAAAGAACTCCTCTTGGAAAGCCTGACCTATTTCACCAGTTAGTGATATCTGAACAATAAAGATTCATTTGACTTTATTAGATCAAATGTAAAACTGAATTTAAAATTAATTAAAAATGACGGCATACAGCTCCTTACAAAAACACCTTTGATGTGCATTCAACACATTGAATAGCTAAAGTTAGGGAAGCCAATGAGTTTTCAATTATCCCAGCTACAGGCAGAAAGAGATAACATGGATAAAAGAAATCCACAGATAATCAAAATTAAAAATCCTTTATTCTTTCTTTCCATTTCAACTTTTGTCCCTAACACAATCTTGTTAAGACTCTAAGGAAAGCTCAGGTTTGTTCAATCTTCTCTTCTGTCCCTTTCTCTATTGAAGTAGAGATGTAAATAAGGTAAGAGAAAGTGGCCTGTCCTGAGAAAGCACTGTGTGTCAGAGCAGAGCTGGGCTGGACAGTCTTTGCTCCTCCAGCTCTTTTCTCTACCCTTCGCTGCCCTTTTCTGTGCCCCAGGAGGCTGAGCTTTTGGGGTGATATCAATGGAATTCTTTTCCCTTTGACTTCCGGTTAGGGTTAGGCTATTGGAGCCACCAGCCTCAGAGGACAGAAAAGAGAGAGGCTGGGTTGTTTATTCCCCCAACTCTTCCCTGCTAGGCTATAGTTGTTAGTAGTGGCTTCTTTCTTCTACCTAAGGCATGGCTGCTGTCCAGCATCTTCTCCTGTAGCCATAGCTCTCAGTAACTACTCCTGCCCTTTCCTATTTAGGCCTAGTGGGTAGTAACAGTTTCCTGGTGTTGCTAATCCTGGGGTGCTGCGCTATCTCACCGGCTTTCTGAAACCCTGCTCCTCTCTCAACCCTCCTCAGTTACTCCATTTGAGTGCCTATCAGTTCCCCACACTTGCCATGTATTGTAGCATTTCATGTCCTCATTTTCCAGGGAAGTGGAGAGGCTGAAAGAGGGTAACTGCTTTGCCTAAGGCCACATCACCAGGCACTGGCAGAACCAGAATCCCAAGCCAGGACTGCCCAGTGCCAAAGCTTGGAGATCTGACAACTCGATTTCACCAGTGGGAAACCAAAGCAATCAGTGAGAATCTGCAAAATGGTGTCACCTACAAGAGAACCATTTGAGTTTCCATCTCAGAGTTCAAAGGGTTCAGAGGCTGGATCTTTAAGACTGTCCATGTCAGGTTTGTCTGGACCTGTTAGGAATCCTGCTGTTTATCAATGACTTTGTCTCTTGGATTTTAACTTTTAAAGGTCCTGTCTCATTTGTGGCTCCTGGACTCTGAGCCTCACACAGGAGACTTTCAGATTTCAGGCTTTCATTGGGTGATAGGGCTTTCTGGGAATAGGGCTTGAGAGTGAGGTGGAAACTCAGTTACGTTACTAATCATGTCCTCATTCATCCATCCATCTGGTCACTGTGCAATTACTAAGGGCCTGTGGAGTGACCAAGATGAGCAAGACATAACAGATGGCTCCTCATCTAGTCAGGATCAGTGACAAAGTCTTCCTGTAGAAAGCAACCACTGAGCTGCAATTTAAAGGATAAGCAGGAGTGGGCATGTTGTGGATATGAGAGACAGAGCAGTGAATGAAGGAAGGCAGGAGCATTCCAGGCAGAAGAGGTGGCCTGAGCACAGGATGCATGCAGGTGGTAGGAGATGGGCTGGAGGGGCACATATGGACCAATCATGGTGGGCATTGTTCAGTGTACTAAGGAACTAGGCCTCAAGTATCAGACTGGGGCCCAAGGTCTGGGCCAGCCTAGTAGCCTCTCAATCTGAATGTTGTGTCCCAAAGGGTTGTTATGCCACTTCTTAAAGAATTAAAAAAAAATTTCCCAAACCTATTTAGAAGTAGAGATAATAGTTCAATGAACTCCTATAGACTCAGCATTCAGGATGCTGTTCCTTAATCACCTCCAGTTTCAGGTAAAGACTGAATCTAGTGCCAGGAGCTCACCAAGGCTGTGGTGCAAATGTCCTCAGCTAGAGGGAGAGGACACCAGCCAGAGGTGCTCCTTGAGCCTAATAGAAACAATGGCCAGCAAATACTGATCCACTTGCTTCTTTTCATCTGCATCTTGGAAGGGTGGAGGGTGGAGGGGCCCACAGCTAATGCAACAAAGTTAATAAACTAGAAATAGTTGACACGTGTCTTTGACACACAGGCTGCCAAACCATCTGCCAGGGAGGTTGAGAGCCTCCTCTAGTAGAGGTTTCTGGAGTAAAAAGGAATACACAGGCTATCAGAGCAGGTCACACAGAATCTCACACTGGCCCATTATTAAGGCCACCACATTGCTGCTCAGAAGGGGAAATTTCAAACTGAACTTGAGACCAAAGAGCATCCTGACTCCACAAATGCTATCATTAAGGATCATCATAGATAATGTGGTTTTAACTAGAAGGGCTGAGGTACTGGCAAATGTTCAAAAGACTTGTCACGTGAGAATCCACCAGCACCATGGTGAAAACAGCCTGCAGAATGAGAGTCTGCTCAGGTGCAAGAGTTTAAGCCTTCTTCCTGCAAACACCTGCGAGGTGAGGGGTTCACTCAATCCATGGTACAGACAGGTTGGGTGGAAAACTTGGTGTTATCCCCCTTACATTAATGGGGAGAGGAGAGGGGTTTGGTGTCTTGTCATGTGCTGAGATGGAAAGGGTTTTAGAGTCAGACAAATAGGCCTTTGGAGTCAGATAAATAGGCCTCTCTATTAGTTACGATGATGAGACCTTGGACAAGATGCATAACCTTTCTGAGCCTTGATTTCATGTGTAAAATGGAGACAACTACATCTACATTCTGCAGGGCTAACCAAAGGTTTAAGTGAATTAATGCATCTCCACACTGGTACAGGTGACTATTATACAATGGATGGTCAGAAAGCATTACTTTCTTCCATTTTCCAGCCTCCCCAAGCTAGTAGGCAGTGGGGCCTCCATTCAAACTCAAGTCTTTGTGAATTCTAAGGCTGGCCCCCTTCAATAACTCTATACAACTTCTCATCCTTCCTTGGTAAGGGCCAGGACAGGGCTTTATTTCACAAGGTCAAGTGTGCAGTAAGTGAAAGTGGCCTTGACTTGTAATACACCAGTTTCCAAATGTGAGAAGTTTCCTGCCTGCATCTCTAAATCCTATCAGCCTCCTGCACCAGGGAATCTTTACTGACAGTGAATGCATTAAATACCAATAGATGGCTGGGCTTCTGAGCACATCACATAATCCTTGTCTGCTAACAGAGCCAGGGGCTTAAGCGGATGCAGTTATTTCAACCAGGGAGGCTCAGGCAAAGCTGTTTGTCTCTTTTTAAGCAAGTGCTCCCCCACCGGCTCCCTGGCTCACTAGAATGATGTGTCTGTCATTTATTCATGCAAGCCGCCCACCTCTCTAGGCAGGCAAATCATCTTTATGCTCATCTGAAGAAAAACATGCCCGAGATGAGCAATCTGAAGCTGAGTTCCAGTCCTGGCCCCCCCCACCTACTAGCTGTATGGCCAGGGATAGTTTCTTCATTCTTCTGGTTCATTCCAAAATAGTGAAGATCACACATATTTGGTTCACAATGCAGAGAATTACAGTGCACTAGGTCACGTGCTCAGTGTTGAATTAGCTCGTATTTCTCAAAGGAGTTGGAGGGTGTTCCTAGGACAGAAGTAGGTGTGCCATAATGAGAATATTGCTTGGCCAAAAGGAGGGTTTCATCAGTTATGTACCTACGCAGACTACTTTGCACAGCTTGGTCAAGGATCAAATAAGATACAGAATGTAAAGTGTAAAGTACTGTTCAAAAGTAAACTAGTATGAATTCATCTATCTGTGCATCTACCCATTCATACACTGTTTCCTCCACCTATCCATCTAATTCAACAATAAATATTTACTATCTGTTACATGTTAAGTCCTAGGCATTGGACATACATCAATGAAAAAAATATGTAAAAATTCCTTCCTTCCTAGAACATACATTCTAATGAAATCTACCTATCTATCTTCATCTACCCAGCCATCTGTCCATCCATCCATCTATCCATGCATCCATCCATCCATCCATCCATCCATCCACCCACCTACCTACCCATATACTCACTCACCCATCCACTCATCCATGCATCTATCCACTCATCCATCCACCTATCCATCCATCCATCCCTCCACCCATCCACTCCCCCATCCATCCATCCATCCATCTATCCATCCATCCATCCATCCATCCATCCATCCATCCATCCATCCATGCACACCCATCCATCCATCCCTATACCCATGAACTCAATCACCAAGTATCCATTAAACATCTACTATGTACTCACTATGGCGCTAGGTACCAGCAAGCAATTAAAAGAGAAAAAATCTCAACAACTCTCTTTTGTTGTCATTTACTGTAGTCACGCAAGATGGGTTAATATCACATCGCTTGCTGACAAGATCCCTGGGCTCTGAGCATCTTATTATGGCCACTTCTCAGACCTACCAGTTAAAGAGCTATGTGATGCAGGAAACTGTTAATAATCAACTTAGTGGGATACAGTGAGCACTGCCACCTGGAGGGCTGTGGGTGGTGGAGAGAAGTGGCTTTTTATATGGAGGTTACAATTTTTTTGTAGAATGAACAAACATTGTGCCTCAAACATAGTTGTACATCTGTTTCTCATGTGAGAATAGATATTGTTGTGACAAAATATAACTTCATTTAAGGGCATCGGTGAGCCGATAGTCACTTTCAATCATTACTTAACATCAGAGTTGTGACTAGGGTAAGGTGAGCGAGGCACCAAGGGTAAAAATTTTCAGGAGGCACTGAGTGCTGACCCTGTGATGGCTCCACCCTGATTGCGAGTGCTTCCTTAATTTCTACCCCAGGATGCCTCACCTACATCTTATCAGCAGTATAGTAAGAACATCCCTTTAATGAACACATTCCATATGTCTGGACATGTGCTATGTATACTTGGCATATATTATCTTACTTAGCTTTTACAATCACCTTAAAAAATAGAGATTGTTAGCTCCACTTTACAGAAGAGTAAGCTGAGGCTAAAGAAGGCATATGATTTACTTCAGGTAATGGAACCAGGGAACCTAGGTCTGTCTGTTTTCTGACCAGAGAACTCTTCAGGGGCAGGAGATCTGCCTTGTTCTTCCCTGTTGCCCAGTATGCGGTAGAGGGACTCAGTGGACTCGTGACTGTGGACTCCATAAATTACCATTTGCTTTAATTCAACTCCCTTCTTCCTCCTCAAGCAGCACGCCTCCGGTGCCAACTCAAGGCTCTCCAAGGCTGTACCTCATTACTGCCAAAAGGGCCCTCCCACCTGCCCAGTATTCCCTACTCCTGACACAGACTGGCCTGAGGTTCTTCTGGGGATCCAACCCCAGATAATGCCAAATCTTCCCCCAACCCACTTCATTCCCCTCTCTTACAACTCCTTGACCAAAGGGACAACTGGGCTATGAAAACGATGTTTCCTGAGCTCAGAATTTCTTCTTGGAAACAGAGCAAAAGAAATAGATGAAAATGAGGCAATTTAGAGAGATCAGCCAAGTCAATTTGTGATAACCTGGGTTCTAAAGTGGCCATAATTGAGTGACAATTTGCCATGAGGCACAGGGGGCAGTATTCCTATTTGCCTTGACCTGGCAGGTTGGAGAGGGAGGCTGTCTAGTGGGTAATTTCTGACCTGAGCCATGGAGACTGGACCTTTTGTGTGGAAAGTTCACTGGGAAGTACGACCCCCTGACCCTGGGTCCAGACATAATTTCATACCTGGAGATCGACCTCTGCAGAAAAACTGAGCTGAACTAGCAGGGTAGCCTCCATGCTTGTGTGTGGGGAAAGCTGATAGATCTGACCCCACAAACCTGTACCAAACCCTGCTCCAGGGGCTGTGGAATGGACATTCATTAGACACAAACTCTGTTCCCGGTCCCATGCTAGGCCTGTTCCTGTGAATTCCTTCAAGAAATGCTTGCTGTGATTCCATGAAATGCTGGGGGAAGCATCCTGGTTTCTTTTGGGGATGATGGAAATGTCCTAAAATAGATTGGCTTGGCTTGGGAATGAGCCCCCACAGTATCTTCGGCTCTATATGGAACCCCACACCAGGAACCCCTGGGGACAGCTCTTCCCACCTTCCTTGGGTCTGGAGGCTGGGCTGGGAATATACAGAGAGAGAGAGCTGTGGGTTTTGTAGGACGTGATGGCTTCTACAATTTTTTTGGTTTGCTTTTCTTTAGGAGGAGGAGCGCTATGTGTTTGGAGATGAAACCATTTAAAAAGCACAGATCTTGACAAAACAAAGCCAGTGGCTTCTTCCTCTGCAGCCTCTCAAATTTCTTTCCTGACCCCCAGAGACAAATACTGGGGCAGGCCTCTGAGTCCCTCCAAAGAAAGATGTTATGCTGCCAACATTTGGTTTCTTATAACCTCTGGATGGATGAAAGCAAGTCATATGCATGGTCCATGGGGATGCCAAAGGGGCCTGCGGAGGAACATGAGATCACAGCCCTGTAAGGATTTTCTTATATTTTGAAGAAATAGCCTTCGGGATAGATTACTTTTCTTGAGGCAGAGACCATAAGATGGAAGACAAAAGCCTCAGAGCTAGGAGTCTGAAGTTTCAATGGTGTGTGAGTACCCATCACGTGCCAGGCGCCACCTGCATCTTCTGAGACACGATGGGTCCCAGCTCTGCACTGGACCCAGGAAAGTCTTGGAGGCTCAGTTTTCTCACCCACAAAATGGGGTCAATAATGACGCCTGCCTCACTGGGCTGCTGTGAGAGGGCATGGAAAGGCTGAGAGGTTGCAAAGTGCTGTGTAGTGCACAGTTTATGGGTGCTTTTCCTGTGTTCTTTCACAGGCTCTATTCACAGAGCCCAGCCATTGGTCTGACACTCCAATCTGGACTCTTCTTTGAAAATTACCAGATTCAACAAAAAACATCTGGCTCAGGGTAGGGAGCCCCAAAGGAAGTGGACGCCAGTCTTGATGACTAAATTACTACTAGCCCTTGCTAGAACTGAAAACAAATTTTATAACTGTAAACTGCTCGTTCCATCCATTTCCCCTAGTCTTTGAAGATCCGTCTCTTTCCCAACCCCATTTCCTCACTACAGCAAGAAGAGATGCTTCAGAAATGAGACCTCAAGATGTAACTCTGAAAACAATTTAAAAAGGAATGTGTGACCCAGCAAGTGGCAGAGGTGCTTGGAGAAGCAGCTTGGTGTATTAGGTTTAAAGAACAAGACTTAGAGTCAAATCCCGGCTAAGCCTTAGGCTGGCTGTGTGATCCTAGACACATTTCTTAATATCTCTGAGTCTTTTAAGTATCTTACCTGTAAAGTGAGGATAATGACAATTACATGGGAGGATATCTTCGAGGAAAAAAATGAGATGATACATATAGGTGACTAATAGAGGCAGTGCTTAATAAATATTCCCTGAATTGAGTCGAATTGAATCAGTGCATGCTATCTCTCTCCCTTCCCTAACACCTTTGCTGAAAGCTCAGCTTTTGTAGCTCTCCCTGACCACCTGCCCAGCACAACATTCTTTTCCAATGGGCTCAGTGGCGAGAGGAAGATGGAAAGCATTTGGCCAGAACGCAGACCTCATTAACTCCCGTGTCTCTCCATCTGCTATCTATCAGGAACCCAATGCATGGAGGCAGGTGACCAATAAAAGCCCTCCCGTTTCCCTTTGTCTCTGGGCCAGTGCATGACAGTGCAAAGCTGTCCACAACTGTGGGCCCCGTCAGGGCTCTGCTCTGGCCGTCTGACTCCTAGCAAGAGCAGAGACTTTGCTGGGCTGAGAAGAAGGAAGCTGAGTTCACAGCCAACTCAGAGGCAGCAGCTGGGCCCACCTGGCCTTGTCTGTAAGTCAAGGGGGAGTCTGAAAAACCAGCAAATGGCACCGCAAACATGGTGAAGTAACGAGGTCATTATGTACAGCACAAAAATCTACAATTCAAATGAGTTTCTTTATTTCCCAAGGGCATTGAGAACATTGCTTGTTTTACAAAAGTGAGACGTGCACTCTAGTTTTTCCAGAAACATGGAGTTTGCAGAAAGAAAGGTGCAAAGAGTCCATGTAGACAATAAATGCTCAGTAAAATGTGAGCTGTTGTTACTACAGAAAATGTCTGCTGAGAACTCCTTCACACTTGTTGCAGGTGGTATGCAGGTTTGCCCCTAAATGTCCAGGTAGCCAATGGAAAGTAGTAAACATGATTAGTTTTAATCAGTATCACAATTTCCAATGTCTAACAGTAACCCTAGTAACCCAGGACCAGCACCACTGTTAATGCTACTAAAACCAGGGACGAATACAGCTCTCCCTTGGTATATATGGGAAACTGATTCCAACACACCCTCCAGTTTATTGAAATCTGTGCAAACTTAACCACATATGAGAAAAGTGGGCCTAGACCTCCCTATGCATGGCCTACGGGGCTTCGCATCCCTTGAATATGGTATTTTCCATCAACATTTGGTTTAAAAATAATCTGTGTATTAAGTGGACCTATGCAGTTCAAACCCACTTTGATCTAGAGTCAACTGTAGTATCTTCCTTAGGTCTTCCAGAATGGACATTGTGTAATGAGAAAAAAGAGATGTTCAAGTAGGAACTGCAAGCGCCGTTTTGCTGATGCTGACCATTGCTCTTACTTATCAGTGTCCGACTGTGAAGAAACCAGGCTATCCTTCTCACTGAGATACCACGGGAGCAGTGAAAACATGGCCGGCACGGGTGCTTTACAATCCCAAGCTACCCGGGCTCAACATCTATCTTTTGGCCTTCCTGTTTTGTCACTAGTGGAATTAGAGTATTATTAATCAACCAATCAGCCAAATAAGGCTCATTACCATTAAAGAAGAGAAAGTAAGCTTTATTTATGCAATTATAAGGCATTTACAAAACAAAGGGATTATTATTAATACTTGAGCCTGGCAATCTTCCCAGAGTGGTAAACCGACAAGGGCTTTGTTCTTGAAGAGGCAACACAGCAGTAACGGATTCCCGTCCCCCTGCTCTAAGCTCTGGGTGTGTGGCAATACCTCCTGAATATTCAAGGAAGGTTCTGAGGGCCTCCTCTTCCCCTCAGTGTTGTTTGGGGAAAACATCAGTGGGTTGGGATTAGGAGGCTGGTGTACTACGTGACCCCAGCCCAAACAAACAAAATCTCTGGGCCGTGGTTTCCCAGCAGTTACACGTTGGAAATGGGACTAAAATCACAGGGTAGGACTTGTAGAAAATACTTGGATCCCATTCCCATTTCAAACCAATGGAATCAGAATCTCCGACGGTGGGGTCCCAAAATAGTATGTTCAAAAACTGTTCTAGGTGATTCTAGAACATAAGCAGGGGCTGCAAACCACGACTTGGATGCCCTCTAAGTCCATTCTGTTTATACCTCTGGTCTTGTCAACACTTAGGATTTCTCAGAGACACCTGTTCCTGGGTTATCAAAGGCAAATGTCTGCAGAGGGTCTGCAGGCAACCTAATGAGTGGAGGCAGCCAGGTGTGGGGCCAAAGGTGTTCAGCTGCCTGTAGACGAAGCATAACACCTGCCTGGGTAGAATGTTTTTTGAGATACAGTACAGGAAAAATCAAATGGCACACACAGCCTACAGCCCTCAGTTTGAGACCCCGGACAAACTGACAGATCTCAGTTCCTTTTAGATGGCTAGCTCACTGCCTTGTAATGCATGAAACTGCATGCTCCCTGGTGACACAGGCCATTTCTTGTTTGACTTTATATCAGAAGCCCTAGGCACATGAATGAAGGGGTGAGTGGGTGGGTCTCGGACATTCCTTGGTTCTTCAGTTTCACATTGCGTGATAAAGACTTTAGGAGTCTAGGCCTGCACTGTTCAATACTGCAGCCATTGGCCACATGTGGCTATGGAGCCCTTGAAACGCGGCTCATCCAAAGTGTAAAATACATATCACATTTCAAAGACTTAGAGTGAAAACAAGAATTTACATTTTTCTTAAATTTTTAAACAAATTACATGTCGAAATGATATTTTGAATAGATTGTGTTACATGTATGATTAAAATTAATTTCCCCTGTTTCTGTTCATTTTTTTAAATGCAACTACTAGAAAATTAAAAATATTATATTTCCATTGGAGTGTGCGGCTCTGAGCCATTTTGCTTTCATCTACTTTTCACATATATATCCATGTCAGCCTTGTGTGTGATTTTTTTTTAACATTTCTCTCCTATCAATAAACTCTATCTTTCTCGCTTCTCATCTTCCAGTAGGATTATAATAAAACAGCATGAGAGATGGGGAGGAAACAGGGCTTTGGATTAAAAACCTAGTCCTTCTCTCAGCCTAGGAGGTTATGCTATCTGTTCCCGTCTCTCACCTTCTACCCAGGGTATTTTCTTGTAAATGACCATGGCAACTGTCTCAGCTCCCTCCCACAAAGATTTCCTCTCTCTGATGCCTTTCTTCTCATTTCCTACTCTCAGAACTCTTATTCATCCTTCAAGACCCAGATTAAATGCTACCTCCTTCTGGGAAGCCCTATCTGATTTCCCAGGTGGAGTAAGTAGCACTCCCACTTGCCTCTCCGGCACTCAGCTCTTACTGCTGTTGTAACACTTCTCCCAGGAATGACTGTGATCCTTTGACCAGCTGGCCTACGTCATAAGACTTACTGAGTGCAGGGCTGATCTATTCTGTGTTCCCAAGGTCTGACTCAAGATCTGACATGTGCTCAGTAAATGTTAGATGAATGGATAGATCTCACGCATCAAGGGAAGTATCTTTATACATTCCTTAATCTTCTCAACAAATATCTACTGCATACCTACTAAGTGTCAACCATACCAAGCACACTCTAGGCACAGGGAATACTGCAATGAGCAAAATAGTCAAAAATGCCTGCTTTTATGGAGCTTTCCTGCTTCTGCTAAAAAGTACCTTGCATCATCCTAATGCCCAGATGTTCAATAAATATTCACTATGCTGATGTTGAAGAAGAGGAATGATACAGGCAGGAGGAGCTCCTGTGCCCCAGAGCCCATCCTTCTGAAAGGCACAGGCCCTTATCTTTGCTACTGGTGTCAGTAGGCCCTTATCTTTGCTACTAGTATCAGTAGAGGCTCCCTTAACAGAGTCTTTACAACCTTCCACTTACGCTGTGCACTAAAGAGTTTAAGAGGTGCAATAACATTGCAGCAGCAGGTATTTATTGGTTTTGATAGAGACAGAGGCAGCTCTGAATTGGCCAAAGCATGACTTTTGCTTTTTTTAGAGGCACACTAGTAGTGACCAAGGAGACTGATAAGACTTTCAGAATTGTCTAGAAGAGTAACCATAAAAAACAAATTGAAGCCATTGCGTGCATTAAACAAAGGATCATTAAGCAGAAGGATCTCTGCCCTTCAGTACCACAGAGTTTTATGGGAGAGACAGGCATATATATAAATTATGAGATACAAAACACGTTGGGATAAAGGTTACCACATTCACAAGTGAGCATTTTGGATATCTTATAGGAGTTTCATTCTTCACCCACCCAAAACAAAGCTCCTCATCTTCTCTCCACAATCGCTTCTTCTCTGGTCTCATGATTGGCCCCACCATCTACCTAGTTACTCCAGCCACAAAGTGAGACCTGTTTGTCACCTTCCTCTCCCTTTCTCACCATCCACATGTAATCAAGAACTGAATCTTGTCAGTTCTAATTCTAATCAGCTCTACAACCTACACATGCCTCTCCAAACTCACTACCAGCACCAGAGTCCAGCCCATCATCATCACATACTTGGCCTATTGCAAAGCCTTCTTGTCAATCTCCATATGTCTACTCTTGACATAGTCCCTGCACCTGCCCTGCCCCACTGTTCTGTGGAGGCCATTTACCCTGTTCAAATCCAAAGATGAATGTCCTAATATGAGAAGAATGCCAGAAATGCCTCACTGTTCAGCCCATAGTTCTAATTCTGAGATTTGGAAAGATAAAGGTTGATGCTAGGTAAACTATATAGAATAATGGAGTATATAGTAGGGACTAAGGTTTAGAGTCAGACACACCTGGCTTTAAATTTGAAATCTCCTATTTCCTTGCTTTGTGACCTAGACAAATTAAAACATCTCTGGTCCTTCATTTCCTCATCTGTAAAAGAGGATAATCATCTTTACCTCCATGGTATAGACTCTCTTAACCTATACAATATATTCCTTAGAGAATAAATTATATAAGGTATGACTAGCACTTAAGGCCAGTATCTGGCACATAATAAATTCTTGATAAACTGTAGTTTGTTGAAAACAAAAAGATTATTCACAGAAAGTAGGTATTTGTCTCATTAGGGAAAACTATGATTCTTACAGAGCCCAGGTCCTGCCCCAGATGTACCACTTCATTACTGAAAAATCCCAGACACCTGTATCACCTATAAATTGTTTGAGTTTTTGACTGTGCCAAAACAATCTAACATCCTGCTAGTGTAACCAAAATGGAAGATCCTTTCTGTTCCTATCAAGCGAGTGCTAGGAATCTGCAGTTTTACTAGGCTTTAAACTTCTTAACATCAGTGTAAAGAAGGAAATATAATCAGGTATAAAATTCCCAGTGTTCAAGAGGGAAAGACAAATTGCCAGGGAAAAGCACAAAAAATTCTGGTATTGAGACAAGAGAGAACTTTCTCAACTGTGAACTCAAAGAGAAAATCTGGAGTACTACAGGAGTCAACAAACTTTTCCCTAAAGGGCTGGGCTGTAAATAATTTAAGCTTTGTGGGCTATATGACCTCTGTTGCAACTACTCAGCTCTGCCATTGTAGCTCAAAAGCAGCTACATAGACAATATGTATATGAATAGACTGTGTTTCAGTAAAACTTTGTTTACAAAACAGGCAACAGGCCTGTGGGCTGTAGTTAACTGACCCAAGTATAATATAATGAACCACATTTCAGCTATCTGACACTGGACAAGTCACTTCTTCTCTTTAAATCTTACTTTCCTATATCAAAACATGAGAGTTTTGGGCATGAGTGAGATGTAAATGAAATAAGGTAGAGTCAGTCCTTATTATTCATGGACTACCTATTCACAAAATTGTATTTGTGAATTTTGCTATTCCCAGAAATGTACTTGTAACCCCAAACCCAACACTATCATGGTCATTTGTGGACCATGCATAAAGAGGTGAAAAATTTGACTCATCAGGTGCAAAGTTCCCAGCTGAGGTTAAACAAAACAACACTCTGCCTTCTTGTCCCAACTCTCATAATGTAAAAAGTTTCCTTTTTGCAATCTATTTAGTACTACACTTTTCACATTTTTGTGCTGTGCTTTTTGTTGGTGATTTCATTGCTTGAAATGTCCACCAAGCATAGTGCTGAAGTGCTAGCTGGTGTTCCTAAGTGCAAGAAGGCTGTAATATGTGTTATATGCAAAATGTATGTGCTAGATAAGCTTCATTCAGGCATGAGTTATAGGATTGCTGGCTGAGAGTTCAATGTCAAGGAATCAAAAACATATATTAGATAAGATGTCTTTAAATAGAACACACACGAAACCAGATGATGTATTAATGAGCTGACAAAAATGTTTTGATCAGAGGCTTACAGGAACCTAACCCTGTATTTCCCTTAGGAGCAAAGGTTCCACACTCACTAATTCAGGATTCCCACCTACTTTATATAACATAACTACTGTAAAAAATGAGAATCACCTGTACATGAACATGCTGTTCAAAGTAGTAGCTAAAATTACTGTTACAAAATTCTTAGTTAAAAACTATGCTGTGATAGTCTTATCTCCTAATGCTGCAATAAAGCTATAACTAATTCACCATTTTCGTTTTATTCTGTTTGTATTATTTAACAAGAGTGCTGTGTTACTGCTATTAAGTGGTTGTATCCAAAGTTAGCCAGAGAATGTGTCTACTTTTTCTTTTTCCCATGGCTTCCTGAAGAGAATAAAAACAAAAATAAAGCCTTCCTACAGACTGTCTCCCAGGGGCTTCTACAGACAGAAAGCAGAAATAAAGCACTCTCTAGAGCCACAATTTTAGGCAAAGATGAGAGCAGCATCTTCCAGGAGGGGAATAGGGAGCTGCGTGGGTGGGGACTCGAGGCTGCACCCCTACCTGGGAGAGAGCAGGGCTCCTCAGGGCTCCTCAGGGCTCCTCAGGGCCCTCGCCTGCCCCGATGGCCAGGCAGACTCTGAAAAGCAGTGCCCCTGGCTCCTTGCTGCCCTAGTTAAAATGCCAGCCTGGCATTTATTTGTTTTCTCCCAGACAGATGCCAATTACAGGGGGCTGGGGAAAGAGACAATGGCCCAGATCTGATTGACAACGGCTGCTGAACAAGGGGCCTCTGTGGCATGCTTAATGAAAAGGCAACTGTGGTTTTATTTCATCTATTTGATTTTAGAGTGTCTTTTATAAAAACAATTCAACCAGCAGGATTAACTACTTCTGGGCTTTCTCTTCACCCTCTGGCTCTGTAGATGTCCTGCTATCCCTGACTTCCCCTCTTCCTCCCTCCACTCCCAGCAGGTTCCTTTCCAGGGCCTCGCAGAGAAGCACAGGCCTGCATGCAGCCCCACTCCACCAAGACTCCTCAGTGATTGCTGGATTTGTCCCCAGGTTCCCATCCCCCTAGCACCACCGTCCTTTCGCCCAGCATCTCCTCCTGCCTGGCCACCTGCAGGAGCCTTGAGGCTTAGCTCCCTCTGTTGTTCTTTCCTCCCTGGAGGCTTTGGAAGTGTGTGGAGCCAGTTTGGGTTGTTAACAATGAGGGTGTAACTGGCACTTAGCACTTATGGGTGTGCACAAGGCATGTGCCATCCAAAATGATCCCCAGTGATTTTATTCCCTTGGCCACTTTGTAGCCAAAGTGACTTTGCCTCTA
Source organism: Homo sapiens (assembly GCF_000001405.40). Taxonomy (NCBI): domain Eukaryota; kingdom Metazoa; phylum Chordata; class Mammalia; order Primates; family Hominidae; genus Homo; species Homo sapiens. Next base: position 79,270,352 of record NC_000011.10, read on the forward strand.
GTCCCACAACCTAATTACCAAATTGTATGGCATGTGAATTATATTCAAACAAATCTGCTATATAAAATTTTAAAAATCTAATTACCATAATTATCTACTGAAAACTCCTAAATGATTTGGGATCATCTGTACTGGATCAAATTCAAACTCCCCACATGGTACCTAAGGGTTTCTCAGACCTCTGGGCCCTCCTATCTCTCCCATGTATCTCCTCTCACTGCTTCTCACTAACCATGGCTCTCACCCCCATCCCAGTGAACTTTTCATTTCTATTCCAGCTCTGCTTGCTGTTCACATTCTCTCTATCTAGAGCACCCTCCACTTCACTTCCTTCCATGACAAATGCTTACTCAACTTTCAAAGCTCTATGTAGGCATCACCTCCTTCAGGAAGCCCACCATGACTCCTCCCAGCCTCAGGCTGCCTCTCTGTGTTTCCCTTGTATAATTTGCAGGGCAGTTACTCAACTATACGGCCCCACGATGGCAGGGAACAGGCTGAATTCAGTCCTTAGCAGAGGGCTGGGCTCACAGAAGAGCAAATCAGGTGGGAGAACAGCTCCCCTCCTCCCAACCAGAAGCAGCTTTGCCTCTTCTGTTCTATGTATTAGGACATCACAAAAGACTGAAGAAAATTCCCACAGTCACAAAAGGTTTGGAAACTCTGATCTAGGTCATTGAGTTTGTCTGCTGGGGAAATTGATGACTTCTGAAGTCATTTTTCATGATGACTTCTGAAGGCTAAGAATGGAATTAGTCAGTCTGGGGGTAAAAGACCAACAGGTACTTGTATGCCTTTCTGACCCCAGTGAAGATCTCAAGATCTAGGGTAAAAGCAAGCTGCAAGGGGAACATTCAAACTGAACTCAACAGCCAGCGTTCCTGAGCCGCCCGATAAAGCTTCTTCCCCAAAGGGTTATGTCTTTGAAGAGATCATCGAATGCTAATCGGAAAGACAAAGATGATTACAGAGACTTTTTCTTGTCTTTCTAAAGGGCTTTAGAGACGGCAAAGCCACTTGCTCCTCTAGGTTCTCTTGCCATTTATTTGCACTTTTCATACCAATCTGGAGTGTTCTATTTATAGGTCCATAATCCATAAGAGACCATGGCCCCTCCATGATGGGGCTGAATCGTATTTGCATTTGTGTCCCCAGGGCCACAGTGGGTAAACAGTCTGTGTTTGCTGAGCTTACCTCCTTACCTTCCCTCATGAGGGGAAAGGCAGGGCCAGCCCTCCTGAGGGCCTTACCTAAGGCACCAGCTGTTTAATGGCGGGGCTGGGTGGAGCCCAGGTCTTCACCTTCCACTCTTCAACCACAACACTGAACTTGCCAGAGTGGTCCTGGCACGGGCTCTTCAGCCCACCTACTCCCCCAGCTCTCTCCCACAGGGTCCTGGGGTGGCAGTAGAGGAAGTGGTGGCCTCTGGCCTGGGACTACCTCTTGGCAAGACCACCTAGTAATGAGGGCTTTTTGTTCCTTAAGTGACCAAACTCTCCCACTCCAGGAAAGGAGAGAAGGGGAAGCAAACATACTTCCCATGCACTGAGCACCTGCTGTGTACCAGAGACTATGTCAGCCACACACACAGAGCTCATAGTTAAATAAAATGAGAACATAGATGATCTCATTTGGTTCCTGTAACAACCCTAGGAGGTAGTGATGTCTGCTTCCATTTTCCAGATGACAAAGTCAAATTAAGAGTAAATGGCAAAATAGGGATTTTCAGCCTCAGGCCTTTGTGACTCTAAAGTCACAAAGTGCTTTTTCCACCTCCCACATCCCACCTCCCAGAGGGACTCAACCAGTCCTGGATTCCACTCTAGCATTCTCACAAGTTTCTAGCTGCTGCAAGCTCCTTTCCATTCAACAGTCATTGCCTGGAAGCTGAGTGTATGTGGCTAGAGGGATTGTTTAGATCATAACTGTTTTCAGAACAGTTCAGATCTGAAACCTGTGTGATTTTAAATTTTCTAGTAGCCACATTTAAAAAGCAAAAAGAAAAAAATGACAACAATTTTAATGATGTTACATTTATTTCATCTATAAAGAAATTTTATTTATCTAAAATATTATAATGTTGCTACCTAATATAGAAAAAGCACTCATGGGACATTTTATATTCTTTTATTTTTCCTCCCAAGTCTCTGAAATCCAGGGCACATCTCGTATTATATCTATGGTACATATTAATTCAGACTAGCCACATTCCAAGTCCTCAATAGTCACATGTGGCTGTTGGCTACCATATTGGTAGTGCAAAGCTGGATCTTTCAGTTTCTCCAACCAAGCCACACACACTCTGGCCTCTTCTCACATGTTCTTCCCTCTGCTTGGGGCATGCTCCCCACCACCCCAAACCCACTTTGCTGGGCTGACTTTCAAATCAGAGGTCACTTCCTCCTGGAAGCTTCCCCTGGCCTGAGTTAAGGGCCCCCTCACATGCTGCCATGGCATTCCATATTAAATGGATTGTAATTGCTTGGGTTTCTTGGACTTTAACTCCATCTATATCGTGTTTACCACTGAGCCTCCAATGCCTAGGATGTACCTTGTACATAGCGGACACCCAGTAATGTATGCAATTTTGCTTGCTAAAATAAAACATCCTTTAGGCCCTGGACATTGATCTGCTCAGGGATGGTCCTAAGAAGCAAAGAGAAACCAGCCTCTCTCTTTACACTTACCCAAAAGAGCACAGGCTTTGGAGTCAGTCAGGCCTTGGTTCAAATTCTGATTCTACCGCTTAACAAATCTGTGTCCTGGCCAAGTTCCTTTACCTCTCAGAGCCTTAGTTTCTCCATCTGTAAAATGGGGCTATCAATCTGCCATGCATAATTGTTGCACTGAGAAAAGGGAACAATAACCTCCAATGACAATGCCAGTTGAACTATGACATGCCTTCAACTGTAAGATGCATCCTAATTTCAGAGATGTTAAAAAGTTAAAGTAACCATCTTAAACTCAATGACATTTGATAAGTGATTCTCCCCTCGTCTTTCTCCCTGGAGAGTTACTGGACAGAACTCTTAGGTAGAGGATGCTGACCTCTGACCTGTGTCACATCACATGGAGCCATGGGACTTGGGTTTCATGAGGTGCTCTAGAAACGATAAAGAAAGAAATGGCTATTTAATGAATTCCCACCACAGGCCAACCACTTTCCTTACATTATTTCAATCGCTTCGCAAAGCAATCTTATTTGGTATATTTCTCATTTTTAAGAGAGGTTAAGTTGTGTAGCTAGTTCAAAGAGGTTAAGTTGTGTAGCTAGTACACGGTGGAGCCGGGCCTGGAACCAGGGCCCATGTCATGCACTGCCCCACTGCCTCCACAAAACCCAGTTTCTAAAGGCCTGAGATCTCGAGGTTGGCTGGCTGTTCTGAAAGCCTCGTTAGCAGCATCCTGTAAATGCGCTGTAAATGCCCTGAACTCCTAAAACAAGCTCTGGATCAAACCATCAGCCCTGAGCTTATTAGATTTAATGCCAGGAACAAACCTTGAAACAACAGGTTAAGGAGACCCCTGCAAAGATCTGAGGGAGAATCAGAGCCTGGCCCTCCAGGGGCAGCGGGCTGGCAAGACAAGGCTGTGCACAGCTTGCCAGATCCAATATCAGTGAAAGGGAAGAATGCTGGCCTCCTCCTCAGCATCTGCAAGCTTCAGCACTCCTCCACGGCACCCCACTGTGCGAGGGGGAAATGAGGAAGAGCCTGAGATGCTGAAATGGCCAGGGGTGCAGGGGTGGTAAATGTGGAGCAGGAGGATGTTAGGAGGGAAGTCCTAATGTGGGGAAGTTACCCAAGCTTGTAGGTGCCTGCAACATAAACATCAAATGTAAACACCTAGATGGGTGGCAGGGACTAAGGACAGAAGGCAGAAGGTCCCTTTGGTTACATATTGGCGACCAAATTTGCTCACAAATTCTCGTGAAGGTCTTTTGCAGAATGCATCCCGTTTTTCACTCTCAGATTTGCAAAGGCTGAGATGACATGCTGGTCCTGCAATAAATTAAGATACAGGAATTTCCTTACAAAGTTCAGTGTCTTTCCACAAAATCAACTAAATCAAGTTGCTGATTTGATCATCTGAGGAAGTTTATACTTCATGGGAGTTTCTCAAGCTTCTTCTTTGTTTAAGGTAGCTCCCTGCATCTTCTTTATATTTTTCCAGATGAAATCTTGGTAAAATGGTTAAGAGAAGACCTAGTATGGTGAAGTGGAAGGCAGGGCTCACCAGGCCACCCCTCCTCTCCTATCCCCTGGTGAAACCCCAGCATTGGGCAGAAGAGAGATTAAAAACCACGGAGCTGGCACTTCCAGCTGTGGCATTTGATGAGTCTGTTATAAATTGGGGGGGAAAAAGGCTTAAACATGTAACAGTGGAAGCCTGTTGTAGTAGAGAGGATGCTGGTTTGGTTCACCAAGAAAGCAGCATTTTCAACTTAGTTTGGCTGGGAAATGAGTTTCCCCAGGGTTTGGCTTTGGCATGGGTGCTGGGCCCCACCCTTCACTTGCCATGTGACCTTAGCCAGAAGACTTCTCCCCGGGCCTCAGTTTCCTGCAGGGAGTTGGGAATGCTCAGTGGCTCTCGCACAGTGCTCAGGGGAATCCTGGAAGCAACCCTCCCTCACTTCACCACTTTATCCAGAACATCTCTGCTTTTCTGTATTTTATACACTTTGGATCCCTGTAAAACTTCCTTTGAAGATGTCTTTGTGGTCAGTAAAAGTTGGAACTCTGACAGACTGAATAATCTCCTACATTCCTTCCAGCCCTAACATTCCCTGACTCTAAAAATCACCAAGTTAAAATCTATTCATGGGAATAAACAATCCTCAAAGAAGTTAGAAGGTGCTGGGTATGTGTGAGCGGGGTGTGTGTGTGTGTGTCTGTGTGTGCGCGCGCATGCGGGCATGTGTTTGTGTGTGTTTAATCCTTCAACATTTATGTGTGTATGCCTGTGCTTCTCAGACGCAAGCCACATGCAAACATTTCCCCTGCAAAGTTTGGTGCTTTTAAGTTATTTATGTGCAAAAGATGCCTGTAGGCAAAGCAGGGCAAGCATGTTTCTGTGCCAGCCCAGAAATGCGCTTTGCACTCTGCAGGTGAGAAGACACTGCTGCCCTGCGGCCTGCAAACAAGCAAACCAATTGAGAGCAACACAACTCCACCAGGCAGGTACTCACACCCTTGGTTTCCTCATTTTCCTGCTAGCCTTGTCTCCACTCCCCAGGCCTTCCCTGATTCCTGCCCATCTCTCCAAGATAGAAAAAGGAAGACAGAAAATGCAGCCCAGTAACCGTTTCAAAACAGTGACATGATGCTAGAAAACAGTCATTAAGTCCACTGCAGACTTGTTCAAGTTTCCCAAGTCTTGTTGGGTTAAACTTCCAGACCCAGGGCCATCATAGTGCCACAGCTGCAGATGCAGCTTGAGGGCAAATAGAAGTTGGTTCTCCCTGGGTGACAGGTAATCCTTAGCATCCTGTATAGACAGGCCTCCTGGTCCAGCCTAAGACCCTAGCAGAAGGGAGCAGATAACAGCAACATCAGACCATGAATAAATCAAAAGTAATTTCCATTTCTCTTTGGATCATATGGGTTTTATGTGGGGGGAAGGTAGAGCACACATGCTTTTCTGATTATATCTTCATTATGCCGCCTAAAAACGAGCAGATAAATAGACTGTAAAGCTGAAAGAGACCCTGGAGGGCATCTCACCCACCCTCCTCATTTTAAGGGCAGGAAAATCAAGACCTGGTATGGGAAGGATCCTTACTGAGAATCATCCTGCTATACTACCTAGGAGACTGGACCTCAGGCCACTGGCCATTTCATTCAGCCCCAAAGCTGTTGCCAAGTATACTTATACAGTATGCTGTGGCCTTCACTTGCTAATGGCATACTGTATAAGACATGAGGACAGGAGGGACCTCAGAGCCAGCTCACACTCTGCTCACCCAGCCTTGTGCCCCGGTGCCGGGCTATGTCTGCCTGGAGGAAGGGCATTGTCTTCTAACCTGCACAGAAGGGCTAGCAGGGTCTCCAGGAGGCAGGAAGTGTTCACAGAGGGGGACACTGGAGCCCCAAGATGAGTTTAAGAGCAGAGAAAGAAAGTGTAGATGTTTGGAGGGGGGTGGGAGAATGTGCAAAGAGCTGCTGCTAGGGATACATCCGGCATGCATCTTTCTCCTAGCGCAGGCCCAGCGCCCCCTGATGCCTGGGCCTTTATCCAAGGCCTCTCCAGGAAGACACAGCCAGAAACATGCTCTTTGGATCCCATCTTGGAGTAGAAGGTTACAGAACCCACCCCTCCAGGACTCTCTACAGCTAGGTTCCAATGGCCCTGTCATCCTTACAGGAGACTTTGGGGGCCTCTACCACTGCCATACTCCTTGCTGCTTTGGGGGTACCATTTGCAGCCTCCCCTCTCCCTCCCAGCAGCCTTTTTCCTCTGCCACCCACATCCTGGGGAGAAGGAAATCACCCAACAGAGAGAAGGGGAGACCTAGCCCAGCTGCTCTGCCCAATCCTGGCAATAACCCCTTCCCCCATCCCCCCAACTTCTGCTGCCTCAGGAAAGGGCTGAAGACATAGATTCCAAATATAGGTACACCCCCACCCCCAATCCTCCTGCCCAGCTAATATTAGCCCTTTTGTAGAATCCACTGACAGCATTATTCTGTTTTTTTGGCTGTGCTGGTGGGAATTCTTCTGCTTACAGTAAGGAGTGAGGCAGGCTGAGCCAGCAAAAGACTGCAGAACACACTGAGCCAGATACAGAGAGAGCTCTGCTACCAGGGGCTGTGCCAGGTGATTTATGGAGCTCCTTTTCAGACACGAGATTTATGATTCTGCAAACAGGGAGTTTTGGGAAATGGGCAGGGCATTGGGATGAGGATGGGTGGTTCTGGTTAATTGAATTTGTCAGCTTCCAGATAGAGGGGGCACTAACAGTTGTTGACGATTTACTCTGAGCCAGGAACACTGCTAAGGATTTTGTGTACATGATTTCATTGTATCTTTACAATAACTCTATGAGAGGGGTAGAATTATCCCTATTTTACAGATGAGGCATTGAGGCTCAAAGAAGTGAAAGTAACTTGCCCCCTGACAATGTCTAATCAACGCAAAGATGGGATTTGAACCCAGGTCTTTGTGACTCCAAAGCCCTGGCTTTTCACCATGTCATCAGGCCTGTTTGTTTCAACACTGGCAGAAAATCTTTTGAAAATGGTGTGAGTGTGCTACTTCTGCACGGTCCATAGTTAGGGGCAGGGAAGCAAAGTGCTGATTTTGGAGTGAGGGGATGTGAACTGGGGGCCTGCTGCTGTCAGGCAGACTTGGAGTAACTTATTAGGCCTGTCTGAGCCTTGGTTTTTCCACCTAGAAAATAGGGGTGCAGACAGAGAAACCCCAAAGGTGCTTTTGGCCCTGACTCTTGGAGTCTGCATAGTTTTCTGAGGGTCTTCTTTATTTTGATGGCTAGTTCTCACCATCTTGGCCCAGAAATGCAGCTTGAAATGAGCACAGTGGCATGAGGTGAGGGCAGAGAGCAAATTGAACATGTACTGACCAGAAGGCCCCCTAAGCAGCCTTCCTGCTGAGAACTCACTGTCTTGCAACTCCTTTCTACAAAGTGCAAAAGAACAAAAAAGCTAATTCTGCCTGAGGCAGCATAGCAAAAACAAGGTCCTCCTGGTTTCTCAAGTTCACTCAGAGAAGAAAGAGAAAGCAGATTTGAGAGAGAGCGTATAGATCTGGAGTGACTGGTAATACATGGGGGAAACAGTAGGTATTGATTTCATTCCATTGCTTATTTTCCCACCTTGTTCCGATGAGGATTCAAGGCAGGGGGACTTAGGAGTTGGTGATGCCTAAGGGGTTCACAAGGCCATTCACTGAGAAAGGAATAGACTCAATGAATATAGCTGATTGAGTCTAGAAACACAACGTTGTAAGCTTGTCTCCATCAGGAAAATGAGACTGGCCGGACAAATGGACTGATTTGTCAATTTGACGGCTGTCCTACTGGCTTAATTTTTGGCACCTGGAGAAATGCAGCCTTTGGGGCAGTCCACCTTGCTGTCAGCATTGTGATTAAAGGCTCAGGAGGAAAGACCTGGGCCTGCTTGCGATGGGGAAGCCAGCAGGAGCCGCTGAGAACCTCTTGAAAGAACTCTCTTCCCAGACTCCAGACATCGGAAGAGCTTTCCCATCAAAGCAGCATCAGCAGAAGCACCCGAATTCTTGCCACTTCATCTTTGTTGTATTTTATTGACGTTAAACTGATACTGAAATTTCATTTCCAGAAACCTTTCCTGGACCATTTCTCTGAGGAAGGAAGCTAGCCCATTAGTGAGCCACTCAAGTGGCCCGTGGCAGTCTCTCAGGAATTCTCAGAGCTTGCGGCTCCCAAGTGGTGCTGGGTATGTGTGTACATGTGCACGAGGGACAGACAAGCGCAATGACACTGTCACTATCAGGAAATCACAAACAACAGGATTGTTTTCAAGGTGAGGCCTGGGCTCTTCATCCTCCAGAAACCAACAGAGCCTAAAGGGAAATCTCACAGGCACGGCCACGTGTCCAGACCCAGACAAGCGCACAGGGCCCATGACACAGAAGCACCCAACATGCACCTCTGAGCCCAGACACACGTCTGCTTTCAGGCACGTGCACAGGTGTTTACACCTTTAGATGCCTGCAGAGTCCTCACATCCCAGACAAACAGGCACACACTGGGGCCACGGAGGGTGGTCTCTACAAGCTGAAAGTTTACCACATTAGGGACTCCTTGGCTGAGCACCAGCTGTGGAGGATTTCCAATCTGATGATCTCAGAACTCCCTAAAGTGTCAATATGTTCATTTTCACAGCTGTTTCTTCATCACCTTCTTCCCAGAAGGCCTTAGAGAGAGTACTCCAGGCAGAAGATGAGTAACACAGTCCTTTGGGAGCTTACAATCTTCTGAGAGTAGCAACAGGTAAGATGGTGTTAAGGAGAGAGGCAGGCAGAAAGGGAGAGGAAGTGTAAACTTTCTCAGGGTCAAGTCTGACTTCTTTACTGTTGGATATCCAGAGCCCAGCAAGGTGGGAGCACCTAGTATAGCTTCATAAATAATTATGTAATGAATTGATTCAGGGCTATTGCAGGCCAACCTTACTTGGTCTCTCTATATGCCTCTCTGCCACCCAGAGTACCAGGTCCACACTCCTTATAGCCTGCCTTCCAGGGTCAGAACCTGTCTTCCCACCTCATGTCCTATCCCACTGCCCCATAGCTGCCTCTCTACTCTTTATTCCTGTTCCACTGAGCCTCTCCCCATTTCTCTAGGACTCCAGGGCCTTCCAGGTCTCAGGGCCTTTATGAAAACTTTCCCTCTGCGTACTTTTCTGTCTGGTGAGCTCTTTTTCACCCTTTCAGATGCATATCAAATATCCTCTTGCTATGGTTTGAATGTGTCCTCTCCAAAATTCACTTTGAAACTTGATCCCCAATGCAACAGTATTAAGAGGTGTGACCTTTGGGAGGTGGTTAGGTTATGAGAGCTCTACCCCTGTGAATAGATTAGTGCCTTATAAAAGGGGTGGAGGGAACTAGCTCGGCCCCCTTTTGTTGCCTCTTCTGTTCCCTCTGCCATTTGAGGACACAGTGCTCCTCCCCTCTGGAGGATGTGGCAGCAAAAAGTGCCATTTTGAAAGCAGAGACCAAGCCCTCACCAAAAATCAAACCTGTTTCATCTTGATCTTAGACTTCCAGTCTCTAGAACTGTGAGAAATAAATTTGTTCTTTATAAATTACCCAACCTCAAGTATTTTGTTACAGCATTATTAATAGCTGAAGATACCAGTCTTCTGTAGTTTCCACAGCTTTTCCTTCTCCTTCCCTCTCTTCTCAAGTCAGAGTTCACTGCAGCCTCCAAAGAGCTCCAAAAGGCCTACCTTCCTCCTTTTGTGGCCATCTCCCCACAGCAAGTGGCTCCAGTGGGCAGGCATATCCTACTCATTCCAGAGCCTGCCACCCACTAAGTGAAGTTGCTGGAGACCTAGCAAGGTGCCACCACAGCTCCAGGGCCTGGCTCTGGGCTTTGTAAGTCCCTTAGCTGGCCCCCTCCCATTTGAGTGGGAACAGGAGAAGCAGTGGATGCCACACATGGGAACCACACAGGGAAGAAGCGAGCCGGAGCACAGACTATACTACACCTGCTTTAGGGCTGCTGTAATCACCCACGCCTGGCCCCGGGACACATAGGAGGCTGTGATTCCCATCTCTCCGTGTCCCTGCCTCCAAGCCTGTGGCTCCTGTAGTCACCTGTCCCAATTAACCCTCCTGAAGCTCTTTTCTTGAGAGGCCCCTGGGTATGAAACATCATTAAGGACATATCTCTCCCAGGTTAAACTCCCCAGTGCGAAAGAGATGCTGGTCTACCTTTCAGCTGGAAAATCTGGGACAGCCAGGCTGGGTTAGTGGGAGCAGGAGCTGTGGGCCCTGCCTGCTCCCTTAGGGAAGCCCAAACTAATTAATACCTGGTTGGCCCACTCGGCAAAATAAACACATAAAATGAGGTGGTTTAACATCTTTTTTCTTCATTGATTTATTTAGATTTCTAAAAGGTCACAGTCAATTTGTTTTTCCACTGGACAGAAACCTGGAATGAGTAAAGGGTTGAGAGCTGCAAATGAATTCAACTACAAAAACACTGGGCTGTCTTTAGGCGTCAAATGATGGCGTTACGCTCTGCATATAGAGATGAAGGAGATGCACCTCAGCCTTCCGGGAGCTTCCTTGTTCACATTCAGACTCAAAGGCAACTCCTTAGCACCTTTGATATGCCCAGGAACAGCACAGTGATTATTATACTTACTCCTCTCAGCAATCCCCATAGGGAGGTATTATGATCATTTTTATTTCACAGAGGAGGAGATGGAGACTCAGAAAGTTCACTGATTTGTCTACGGTCAAGCAGCCATTGGGAGAGTTGGGCTTTGAACCCAGGTCTGTGTAGCTCCCAACATTGATAGTCTTATTTTCATAAGAGATGGGTCCATCTTTAGTCCAGTGGAGATTGTTGAAAGTTTTTGGAGAATGCTTTTTTAGTTTTAATTTATCACGACAACCCTAGGAAGTAGGCATCAAGGTCCTTATTTTATCACTGAGAAAGTGAAATTCAGAGTTATCTGCCCCAGCTTGGAAATCATAGTCAAGATCAGAATTAAAAACTTTTAGTTTGACCTCTTGGTGATGTGGGATGGCTCTCTGTAGGGCCATGGAGGGAAAATAAGGCTCCTAGCGGGGGTATGCTTGATGACAAGTCCCCAGGAGGCCTGCATCCCATCTAAGGACAATTCTGCAAGGGCTACAATGGCCTTTGTCACCAAATCTCATATCAATTCTGCCTCTCTGGCATAACTGGGTTCTAGAAAAAGGTCCCAAACCATTAAAACCTTTAATGTCCCAGGATAAAGTTCAGACTCCTTCACAAAGCAGGTCCTTTAAGGTCCGCCTTCTGGGGTCTCTCCAATTCAGCGCTGTACCTTTGAGCCCTTGTGAATGTCTCTGAATGTGCAGTTAGACTCTTCTCACTGAACTGCTGGTTCTGCTTGGGCCTGGAAGGCCCTGTCCCACAGGCCCACTAGGCAGATTCCTATGCATCTTTCATGATTCCATGTGGATCACATTTCCTCTGACATTCCTCTGAACATGTAAAGATGCTGAATATCATTCATCATTAGGGAAATCCAAATCAAAGCCACAATGAGATACCACTTCAAACCCGCAAGGAAACAAAAAAGACATTAAAAAGTACTGAAAAGGATGTAAAATGATCTCTCCTTTCTCTACATTTCTGTGGCCCCCTTTATGCCTACATTATAGTCTTGATCATGTTTGGTAGCAATTGTTTGTATAGAGTCCAATATCCCTCATCAGATTGGGTGGCCCTTAGGAGCAGAGACCCAGATGGATTTCTTTCTGTGTGACCCGATACTCCAGGGCCTGGCACAGGAAAGGAGCTTCATAAATCGTTGCTGAATGAATTAATGAAGTGACTGCTGAATAAATGAATGGCCACAATTCAAAACTCTCTTTTAGACATGTTCAGGGACTCACATCATTATCTTTACTGCAGAGAAACTGCTGGCTTCCAGGGTGCAATCTCATACTCTTGCTTCTCTGTTCTAACCAATTTCAGCCAGTAACATTCTTTCCTCATTTTTACGTGTTAAAAAACAACAAAAACAAACACTTGATTCTTTTGTTAACCTGAATGGCAAGCTATTAATACTTGTGGATATTTTGATTTTCTAGGAGGACAGGATGGATTCCAGGGGAGATAATGGTGTAAGCATTGGTCTTGTTCAGCATGTGGTCCAGAGGCCAATCTCTTATCTGTTATGAAGGAGAAAGTTTTGCTTCAATGGAGTATTTATTCAGGCATTTGTGTGGAAATATTTAAAATTGGAAAAAAAAAAACTGCAGGAAAAAGGCAGGAATTATAGCATTCTGTCCCAGGCTGGGTCCCCAGTATTAAGCACCTTGCCTGGCATAATGGCCAGAGACTCACTGCCCTGCCCGTAAGGAAATTTTCAGGCTTCACTGCAGTGTTGTTTCTGGCATTTGTAGGATGTTGTTGTTGTTGTTTTTCTGACACAAGCACATGATAAGGCATGACTATTAGCTGTAGTAAGCCTTGTTCTTATCACCACCTTTTAAAGTTTTCCAAAATACAGTCAAGATTAACACAAATTCTTTATAAAACTCTTACAAGAAATACAAAAGGAGGGAATCCTTCCAACTCATTCTATGAGACCAGCATTATTCTGATAGTAAAATCAGACAAAGACATCACACACACACAAACACACACACACACACACACACACACACACACACACAAGTACAGATGAATATCTCCCAAAAATAGAAAAATACAAATTTTTATAAAAATATAAAAATCTTCAATAAGATAACATTAAATTGAATCCAACAACACGTAAAAAGAACTATACACCATGACCAAGTGGGATTTATTAAGGAATTCAAGGTCGGTTTAACATACAAAAACCAATCAATGTAATAGACCACATTAAGACCATAAAAGACAAAAACCACACGATTATGTCATTAGACATGGAAAAAGCACTTCACAAAATCTAACATCCTTTTGTGACAAAAAAACCCAACAAACTATAAATAGAAGAAATACTTAACTTGATAGAGGTCATCTACAAAAAACTCACATCTAACATTCTACTTAATGGTGAAAGACTAAAAGCTTTCCCCCTAAGATTAGAAACAAGGCAAGGTGACTGCTCTCATCACTTCTTTGAATACTGTACTGGAGGTTCTAACCAGGAAAATTAGTTAACAAAAAGAAATAAAGACATTCAGATTGGAGAAACGAAGAAATAAAACTATCTCTACTCATCAATAACAAGGTCTTATATATAGAAAATCCTAAGGAATCCACAAAAGAGCTATTAGAATAAACAAGTTCAGCAAGTTTGAAGGATACCAGATCAATGTACAATCAGTTGTATTTCTATACACTAGCAATGAACAATCCAAAAATGCAATCAAGAAAATAATTCCATTTATAATAGCATCAAAAAGGATAAAGTATTTAAGAATAAATTTAAAAAAAGAAGTGAAAGACTTGTATACTAAATATTATAAAACAGATTAAAAAGAAATTAAAGCCGCCTTGAATAAATGGGAAGATATCTCATGTTTGTGGATTGGGAGATTTAATATTGTTTGGATAAAAATATTCCCCAAATTTATTTATAGATTTAATGTATTCCCTACCAAAATCTCAGCTGGATTCTCTTTTGTAGAAATTTACTAGTGTATCCTGAACTTTATATGGAAATGCAAGGAACACAGAATATTCACATAATCCTTAAAAAGAAGAACAACGTTGGAGGAACCCCACATCTCAATGTCAAAATTTACTACGAAGCTACAGTATTCAAGATAATGTGGTACTGGCATATGAGTAGATATATAGATCAATGGAATCAAATTTAGAGTCTTGAAATAAACCCTCACATTTATAGTCATTTGATTTTTGACAAGAGTACCAAGACAATTCAATAAGAAAGTCTTGTCAGGAAATGATGCCAAGATAACTGAATATCCACATGCGAAAGAATGAAGTTTGCTCCAGACCTCACACAAAATACAAGGATTAACTCAAAGTGGATCATAGATCCATGTGTAAATCTAAAAATATAAAACTCTTAAGAGAAAACAGGAATAAATTCTCATTACTTTAGATTAAGCTATGGTTTCTTAGATGTGACACCAAAAGCACAAGTGACAAAAGAAAAAATGTAGATACATTGGACTCTTTCAAAATGAAAAAGTTTTGTTCTTCAAAGAACATTATCAAGAGAGTAAAAAGATAACTCACAGAATGGGAAAAAAATTGCAAATCATATATCAGACAATTGTATCCAGAATATATAAAGAACTCTTATAACTCAACAATAAACAACATAAAACCCAAATTAAAAAATAGGCAAAGGACTTGAATAAATATTTCTCCAAAGAAGACAAGAAAAAATTGCCATAAGAACATGTAAAGATGGTGAATATTGGCCAGGCACGGTGGCTCACGCCTGTAATCCCAGCATACTTTGGGAGGCAGAGGTGGGCAGATCACGAGGTCAAGAGATCAAGACCATCCTGGCCAACATGGTGAAACCCCGTCTCTACTAAAAATACAAAAATTAGCTGGGCATGGTGGTGGGCATCTGTAGTCCCAGCTACTTGGGAGGATGAGGCAGGAGAATTGCTTTAACCTGGGAGGCAGAGGTTGCAGTGAGCCAAGATCTTGTCACTGCACTCTAGCCTGGCAACAGAGAAAGACTCAGTTTCAAAAAAATAAATAAATAAAAAAAAAGAGAGATGCTGAGTATCATTCATCATTAGGGAAATCCAAATCAAAGCCACAATAACATACCACTTCAAACCCACAAGGAAATAAAAAAGACATAAAAAGTATTGAAAAGGATGTAAAAAAATTGGAAATGTCATACATTGCTGGTGGTATTGTGAAATGGCGTAGCTATATTTGAAAATAGGTTGGCAGTTGCTAAAAATGTTAATCATAGTGTTGCCATATGACCTAGCAATATCACTGCTAGATATATACCCCAAAGAACTGAAATTTATGTCCACATAAAAACTTGTCCATGAATGTTCATAGCATCATTATTCATAATAGTTAAAAATGGAAATAACCCTAATGCCCATCAACTGATAAATGGATAAACAAAATGTGGTATGTGTGTGTGTGTGTGTGGGTGGGTATGGGTGTTGGTGTATCAAGAATAAAGTATTGATTCATGCCTAACATGGATAAACCTTGAAGACATTATGCTAAGTGAAAAAAACCAAAAAAAAAACAGACACAAAGGCAACATCTTGTATGATTCCATTTATATAAAATGTTCAGAACAGGCAAGTCCATAAAGAGGGAGAAAGTAGATTAGTGGAGTGGTTGGCAAGGGCTAGGGGGAGCAGGGTATGGGGAATGACTGCTAATGAGCAAAGGGTTTCTTTTTTGGGGTGATGAAATGTTCTAAAGTTAGATTGTGGTGATGGTTGCACAACTCTGTGAATAGACTAAAAAAATACTGAAATGTTACTTTAAAAGGGTAAATTTTATAGCACGTGAATTATATCTCAATAATGCTGCTACAGAAAACGTATGCAAGAAAGAGGCTATAGGGAATGTGGAAAAAATGGAAACAGCTGATTTGCTAGAAGTGGTGCAATGAAAGGTGATTGTATTTCTGTTTTCTTTTATTATTGTTTCCATGTTGTTTGCACAATAATAATGTGAAAAAAAGAGAAAGGGAGCGAGAGAAAATGAAGTAGAGAATATGAGCACTCGCTCTGGAGTCCAGGAGTCTAAGGCCATCATCCCTTGCTCTACTAGTTACTATGTATTCTGGGTAAGTGGCTTCACGTTTGACCTCAATTTTTGTTTTCTATAAGTAGAAATAGGATGGGCACGGTGGCTCATACCTGTAATTCTAGCACTTTGGGAGGTGGAGGTGGGGGGGATCACCTGAGGTCAGAAGTTTGAGACCAGCCTGGCCAACATGGTGAAACCCCGTCTCTACTAAAAAATCCAAAAAAAAAAAAAAAAAAAATTAGCTGGGTGTGGTGGTGGACACCTGTAATCCCAGCTGCTTGGGAGGCTGAGGCAGGAGAATTGATTGAACCCAGGAGGCAGAGGTTGCAGTGAGCCAGAATCGTGCCACGGCACTCCAGCCTGGGCAACAAGAGCGAAACTCCGTCTCAAAAAAAAAATTTTTTTTTAAATAGAAGTGGAAATAACACAAACCTTTAGGACTGGCGTGAGGATTACATAAGCAGATATGAAGCAGGTACTCATCATTCTAATTTTCTTTCATCTTCATTTATTTCCTCAAACAATTATGGAGCATCTATTACATAATTGGGAAATAGATGAATTAAGATTGGACCTCATTCTTAAACATCTTAGAATTTAGAGAGGAAAACAAACACATAAATAAATTTTAAAAGTTCATCAGGAAACTTGATAGCCACAAATAGCATGTTGGATAAGCTGTCTGCATAGACCACATACATTCAGGAACTTGTGTTGGGAGCTATTGGTGAAGGGGCCAGACCAAGAAATAAAAACTCGTAGGAGATAGAATTTTACATTTGCATATGTTTGTTGCGAAGTGTGCTTTCATGTGTATTATCACATGCAATTCTCAGAGAATGCTACTAAGGAAAGTAGTATTGCCCTACTTTATAAACGAGAAGACTAAGTCTTGGAGGGATCATGAGAGTGTTCTCGTTTTATAAAACCAGCACATGGGGCAGGATGACTTTCACTCTGCCCTGGTGGCCTCTTCTGAACATTCTTGGTTACATGCCATTAGAAAGGAAGATGGAATAGGTGAAGTACCAGAAAATGAAGAGGAATCTTCTCCACATCATGGCTGGTAGAAAGTATTGGGTACGGAACCTAGTCTCCTCAGGGTCCAGTGAGAAAGCGTGCCAGATGATGACCCCCAGACCCATCCAGCCCTGGGTCATCCAACAAAGATTTAATGTAGTCCTTGAGAAAATATCCATGTTCTGTAGATCATGAATGTCTAGTAAACACTTCTCCAGAGACCTCACTAAGTAATGAGTTGGGGGTGAGGAAGGGAAACATCCATCATTTATAGAGCACCTATATTATACTCCTGGTTCCCCAACAAGTAGGGTGCTTGATGCATTATAATGGCCATTTTCAACACTGACACTGAGGTAACACTGAGGACCAGAAAGGTCAAGTGACTGTCTAAGATCACATAGCAAATCTGTAGCAAAAAAGAGAGTGAGGACTCAAATCAGCCCATCTTTTCACTCATCATGAGGATTCTAGATTCTTCCCTAGGCAAAAAAGTAATTGTCTCAAGGGCAGAGGGTATTATCAACAAACTGTCAGAGCTCAGAAGTCACACTGCATCAGGAAGCTGTGGGGCCCATGTCTGCTATTTAAGCAACACCAAAAACACATCAGCCCACACCTTAAGGGTGAAGGAGTGGGATGCTTAGCTGAATATCTGGTACAGAATAGGGGCCTCAGTGGGAACCCCAACAGCCTAATTGATCTTTGGTTTCAATGGAACTGGCCCTCAGCTAAAAGCAAAAGACCTCTCTACCAAATACCTCTTCCTTGAAGGAGAAGGATGGTAGATATAGGCACAGGCATTCAGCACAGAAACCCAGGTTGGTCCCCTTGTGAAACTGCTAGGCTTTTGGCACCTGGCCAGCTGGACTGGCCACAGTTCTCATTTATCAAAAGCCATAACCAGCCCTTTACTTGGCTTCAGTGTCTCCCCAACCCTTAGACCCTGACTGTGAGTTTGTGATCCCAAAGTCTCCTTACCACTGGAATATCTTCAGAAGTAAATGAAACAGTAAGCTAGTAGACTTAAAAGCCAGGCTGTGCCTAGCACTCTATACTCTGTTCAGTGAAAGCAGAAATGTCCCCAGCTCACCCACTGGGGTGAAGTAACTCTTATCACTCTGCAGTTATTCACAATGACCTGTGGGATTGAAAATCAAACTATGTAGGCTTCTCCGCTGATTCCACAGGGAACTCTGGCAAAGCTCAGTAAAGAGAATCTGGATTCATGAAGAGATCATCCCAACAAATATTTCAAAGGTACGGAAGAAAGAGCACAGGCTTTGGGAGACAACAGACCTACGATAAATCCCAGCTTATCTTCAGATCCATGATAACACCCGGCTCCGTCTCTTGCAAGACGTTACATCTTCTGAAAGCATCTTGAGAGAGCTAAGTGTCAGCTTCTTTCCTGGCTAATGTGAATGTAATTTGCTGTTTGTATGGAGGCTAGAGAGGCTAAGCAGGTGGACAGATTTAGTGGATGATTGGAAATATAAAACTAGGGGGAAGGAGGGATGTCTAAGGTGGGCTGCTGGTTGAAATAAGAATGGGTGAGATGACAAGATAGTGTGTGGTAAATTAAAAAAGAGAAAAAAAAAATGAACCATAGGGAAAACTGCATTTACTAGGGTAAGGGGAAAATAAGTCAGAGCTTGGATGAAGTGTGGTGAGAGGCCATCATAAGGAAAAATAAGAGAAAATCTTGTCTCCCAGGAGACGTACAGGGAATTGTCTAAGGTTTGCCAACTGTTTGATCTTGAAAGAGCAATCATAACACTCAAGACTTATTATGACACCATCAATAAATGTTTCCTACACGTGTAGAGGGCAAAGGTAGCAAATAGGATCCTTTTTCATGAGCAAATTCCAGATGATTGATAATGTTTATCCAAAGTATTGTGTTTGAAAAAATTCTGAGCCCTCATCTGAATGCAGTGGTAAAGAGTTGTTTCAACAGTGGTGTTTGCAGGGGAGTGGGAGAAAAGAATGGCAGCCCACAGGCCAAATGTAGTTAATGCTGTGATGTGCCACCCTGACTACCTTCTTTGGGACTGAGACACTCATTCCTCCAGCTGCAGGGACTGTTGCTGTTGGCTGCTGACAGGTATCAGTTGAGTCTCCAGGAATGGCCTTCAGCCCAAGAGAGCTGTCACCTGTGGGCAGTCCACAGCTGTCACTGCAGTGGGCAACAAGGCCAACTCCCTTTGGCTCAATGTGAGACATCTGAAGACCATCCCAGCTCCAGAGTTCCCTGTGGAATCAGCTGACATTTTTGCTGTGATTGCTTTGCAGCTCAACTCCTCCCTTTCTTCCCTTACTCCCTTACAGGTGCTGATCCTAAGAGCATGCTCCAATAAACTTTCTGCATGCAAATCTCTGTCCTAGAGTCTGGTTCTGGCGAATTCAACCTACTACATCAAGTATTTGCCATTCCTGCACAAACTATACCTCTCTCTGCTTAGCTAATAGCTTGTCATCTATGTTTACTTACTCCTCAACAAAGGAAGACTCAACGTTAACCAAGGGGAATAATTTGTAATCCATTAGCTTTCTCTTTTTCCCTTGGTGGCAAGGTAATTCAAAGATAAGTTATCAATTCTTTCTTCTCTTTTGCCTAGGTTAGAGGTAAGTTTCTACCTTTTTTCTTTCTTTTTCTTTTTCTTTTTTTTTAAGTAGAGATGGGGTTTTGCCATGTTAGCCAGGCGGGTCTTGAACTCCTGACCTCAGGTGATCCGCCCACCTCAGCCTCCCAAAGGGTTGGGATTACAGGCATGAGCCACTGCTCCCAGCAGTTTCTACTTTAGTTAGGCTTGGAGGCTCTCTAATCTATAAATGATGGGTTGGCTCTATTCCTCTCATTCTCAGTCAGTTCTCCTCCCAGCCTCCAACTCTAGAAGAGATAGCATTTATCCGTGACTCACTTTTTAAAATCATTTTAGATCAAAGGTGTCAGTAGGAGGATGAAGAATATGTGCTAATAACTCTCATTGGCATAATGCTTTCAATTTATATGTATGTAATATTTTATAAACATAGCAACTCTTTAAGGTTATTGTTATTTCTTTTGAGCAAAAGGAAGAGAAAGGCTAAATGATTTCCCAAGTCACCTAGAAGACTTATTGCAGAACCTAGACTAGAATCTGGGTTTTTTGGCATCCGATCAATCCAGTCACAGGCAGAAAGTGTCTACCTCTGCTGCTTTCTTAGAAATCAGTGTGTGATTTCTAGAAAACAATGGAAGTGGCTTGGGAACTCCCCTCACCATCGCTCCCTTTGTACCACTGCAGTATCCAGGGATCTCGGTGGTGATCAGATCCTGGAACAAGCACTGATGAGCATCCTGTAATCCAGAAGATGATCTAACCATCCAGTGCTAGAATCCCTGATACCACCACAACAAATGACTGTCTTCTTCCTCTTTGGACCATTTTATTGATGGGAAACTCATTATTGAGAAAGTGGCTTATTCTGTGTTCCCTCATCTGTGCAACTGGAATGACACCAAACAGGGAAAGATGTGACATTTAAATGGGAGAATGAATGCAAAGTACATAGTAGGTACTCATAAGGAATCCTCCCAGAAAAGCTGGCACATCCTGCTCATTTAGAGCTGTTTGTTTGTAAAGGCACAGCTGAGTGAATCTGGGAGCCAGGTCCACAGGCAGGCAATGAAGCATGCTATCTGCCTCCTGAAGAGACATGCCAGGGGCTGGGATGGAAAAGACAAACTCCAGCTTTCAGATCTGCCACTGCAAGAAAACCAGGGTTTTTGCTGTGGTGGCTCTGGGTGGAGTGGTGATGGTGGTGGGGGCAGATGGGCAGTAAACAAATAGCCAAACCCCACATAGCCATGTGGATTGGTGACATCCAGGTGACTCTGTGACCCTAGGATGCACGGGGAAGCACAGAAAACCCTTCTCAAAGACAAAAAACTGCTTTAGTTCTGTGTAGCAGTGGCTTGAAGGTTGATCACTGGTATGATGTGCCTAAGTTAGGATGCAGCTGGCATGGAACAGCACGGTTTTCCTCTGTCCAAAGAAGGTTTGCAAACAAGAGTAAAATTCAAAACATTTAATAATTGCTGTGGTACAGGCACACTGCCAATGAGAATGGAGATCAGCTACAACCAAACAGCATGGTCATGGGGGGGTGTGCCAGCCAAACATCCACCCTAGCAACAAGGAAGCCCACCCTGCAAACAGGGAGAAGAGGATCTGCAGGGTGGGGGCCTAGAAGTCAGCAGAAAATCTGCCTATCTCCTATGGAAATCCCAGAGAGGATTTCATTAACCTCTCAGGGCTCTGCAGAGCATGATTTAAAAGCCATTGCTGGGCCGAGGGGGTGGAAGTGGGGAAGTAAGTGCCTTCAGTGTCCAGCTTCCAGGCGCAGTATTATTACTCCAGTGTACAGGGCCAGCCTCCAAAAGGGCAAAGCCCTGGTTCCACCCAAAGACAAGTCCATGAAGGCTCTGACAGGTCATCATGCTGTTAATCAGCATACTTCTCCCTCTGCCAATGAGTATTCATATGTAGTCTCCCCAAGCACTTGTTCCTGTTCTAGCTTTTATAGATGAGGGCACTAGCACCCCTCACTGCAGTCCCAGGACTTAGAACACAGCCTTGATTCATGCAAATTGAGCCCTGGTGCTGGCAGGAGTCAGGGATCAGAATCCTAGTCCTGCCCAGGTCGTCCAGAGCCACTCCAAGCCCCTCTCTTTCCCAGCTCATATGTGTCTCCCAGCTGCTGATCTTTCACTAAGAGCACATGTTGCTGCTACCTTCTGGATGAAGTCACAAGGGGTCAATTATCTTGCAGCAATGAAACCGGCATACTGTTTCTTCAGCTTGCATAAGATGAAGCTCCACATGATGAAACAAGTCAACGGTCCATGAGGTCTTGGGGAAGGCACTAGAAGCAAAAGCCCTCCCTTGAGAGCAATGCACCAAGACCTCCCCTTTCTCCTGCCCTCGACCACCAATGAGCATGCTGTAGTGGACTTGCCAAACTCAAGAAATACTCACAGTAAATGCCACTGAAACATTTCCCCACTGTTTTCCATGGAGCTCAAACGACTGTACCTCTTGAGGCTGATTTTGCCCCTACTTGTGTCTTACAAATTGGGTTTGTTCCCCAGGAAGTCACCCTTTTCTTGCTAATTCTATCAGTGGCTTTTCATGCTGTCTTTCATACATAACTACAGCTTCCTAGCCTTCACCAGCTTTGTCTCTTCTAAATGGAAACCTCTCATAGCCCTGCATTAGAAGGCAATGGATTTGAATGGTAGCTTCCCAGTAATTCTCTGAAGGGGCCATGGGCATCGGCTGTGGCTAGGGCACATGCAGGAACACCTGCAGGAGGCCAGTATATCTGGGTGAGACATTAAGCACCAAGCTTTCATGTCAGTCAAGCTGGGTCCCATTCCCAGCTCAGCCACTTACCAGCTATGCAACCTGGGAAAGTTATTCAAAACTCTTTAAGGTCTTTTCTTTAGTGTAAAATGGCTTTAATAATAGTATCTATCTTATAGGGTTGCTTTGAGAATTAAAATAATATATATAAGGCACTTAGCACTATGCTTAGCAAATAGCCATGTAGCCATTTTCAATATTGTTAGTCATTCACTTATCAATCAGTTGCTATAAACCCTGTACCCTGTTAAAGGCTGAGACTCCCAGTTTCTGCCCTCAGAAACCTCACAGTCCAATGGGAAAGGACCACAGGAGAACCAGCAGTTAGGATGCAGGATGGTAAGTACTTTATTAATAATCACTTTTTAAAACACTATCACTAATGGGTGACAACCATTTTTTGCTAGCCACTGTGTGCTACATGCTTTATGTAAGTCAAGTACATAATCTTTCTAGTCTAAATATGTGAGTTCAAATCCCAGCATTACCACTGAATAATTATGAAATCTTTGGCATATTTATTAACTCTTTGACACTTGGTTATTCATCTTGTAAATAGGTACAGAAGTCAGAAAAAGTAGGATGGGCACGGTGGGTCACACTTGGCAACATAGTGAAACCCCATCTCTACTAAAAATAAAACAATTAGCCAGGCATGGTGGTATATGCCTGTGGTCCTAGCTACTTGGGAGGCTGAGGCAGGAAGATCACTTGAGCCCAGACGTTTGAGGCTGCAGTGAGCTGTGATCACATTATTGTGCTCCAGCCTGGGTGACAGAGCAAAACACTGTCCCTTAAAAAAAAAAAAGAAAAAAAAAAAGAAAAAAAAGTGTTAGGGAAAAATTGTATGTAAGATGTCACCAGAGTGTCTTGTATATGGTAGGTGCTTCATAAATGTCTGTTGGCTAGAGTTGAAGTGCAGCGACTAAGGGGTGTTTGGAAAATGCATGCGAGATGGCTATTGTTCCTCACCCCTAGAGAGTCTGTCTGGGTGGCTTTGAAGGCCCAGGCAACATGTCCACCTAGGCTGTGAGGCAGGACTCTGATGCTCAATGGCTTACCCGGTTTGGACCCCGTTCTGAGCCAATGACTGCAGCCACAGGGACCAGAGGCTAGCACACCAATGGGGTTTCTGGCAAGAACCAGGCAGAATGTTCTAAATAGGGCAGGCCCTCTAGGACCAAGGTAGATAATGGGCATGGACCTGTAGGCAGAAAGAGGTTCTGAGCTCTCCCAGGCATCCCCAGTTTTGCATACCTTGACCTCACATCATTGCCAGGATGGCTTATGCTGTCTCCAGGTCAGGCCTTCAGGGGCTCACAGTAGGCAAGTCACATCATATTTCTCTTTGTCCCAGAGAGAGCAATCCTAGTCCTGTCTTTAATGCATGGCTAATGAAATAATCAAATACAAAAGAACCTTGCAAAATATAAAGTACTACAAAAATAAGGCATTATCATTACTGACATCATTACTACTACTACTGCTGCTACAATTACAGCTACTAATGACCACTATGATTTGTCAGTCTCTATGTGTCACTTATACTTTATGGATAATCACAAATCATCCCTAAAGCCTATTTAGGTAAATGATGAAGAAATTGAGGCTGAAAGAAACAAGGCTACTACCAGCCCCGTTATTGACTTTACCTGAATTTGAAAAAGATGTCTCTTCTTCTGGGCAGATGTAGCCCCTCTGGGACACATGGCTTGGCAGGTGGAATGCAGGCTGGTTTTTAGCCTCCACTAGCCCTTGAATAAGCAGGCTTGTGCAGGACACACCCTCAACATCAGTTTTCTGCAATCTCACAGAGAATGTGAGTAGGCTCGTTCAGTAAGAAGCTAAGTTGGGGGCCAGGCGCGGTGGCTTGTGCCTGTAATCCCAGCACTTTGGGAGGATGAGGTGGGCAAATCATCTGAGATCAGGAGTTTGAGACAAGCCTGGCCAACATGGTGAAACCCTGTCTCTACTAAAAATACAAAAATTAGCTGGGGGTGGTGGCGGTTGCATGTAATCCCAGCTGCTTGGGAGGCTGAGGCAGGAGAATCGTTTGAACCTGGGAGGTAGAGGTTGCAGTGAGCCAAGAACCCATCACTGCACTCCAGCCTGGGTGACAAGAGTGAAACTCTGTCTCAAAAAAAAAAGAAGCTAAGTCAAGAGTTACATGCAGGTGTGTTCCATTATACAAAGCATGGGTACTCCAAATGGGCATTTGCTGCCTGGAGCCAGCATCTTCTATGTAGACCACAAACACTGGCTGGCCCTCTGCACACTCATCCCTGTGCTGCTACTGTGGGATGCACAAGGATGACGCAGACAGGAGCCCATACCCCAGGGAGTGCATTGCCTCTGAGAAGCAGCAGAGGTACTCCTGCTCAGAACACACCAGCCCCAGAACTGAGACGGTGCCCAGAGAGGAACAAAAACGCACAAACCCAGTCCTGTTTAGGCGAATGAACATTCTTGTAGCAGGGCTTGATAAGCCTGTTGCTAAGCCTACCTTTCTTCCTGTCACTGAGCACCTGGCTCTTGGCTCAGGAAAGATAATCACTCTGGGAACCAGCTCTCCTCAGGAGACCTGGCAGAATGCTGGCAGTCCAGAGCAAAACCTGCCTTTCAACAGAGCTTCGCCTCCTCCCATGTCAGACAAGGGGAAACTCAACCTGTAAAGGAAAGGGTTTGCACACACACAATTCTGCTGAGAGCCTGCAGTAGTAAGTGACCCCCGCCCCGGGAAAGGAAGGAGCCCCAGCTCTCCCAGCTCAAAGTGCTTCCTAAACAAAGACCCTAAGTGTCCTGCCGCAACAACTCAAGACATGGGACACTCAGGTTCCAGGAGCACCTGCAGCTATCATCTGTCAGTCCTGACACCAGCACTGTCTGTGCTGAGGTTGAAGCAAAGAGATCAGACAAGCACTGGGGTGGGAGTGGGGGCTGCAGAGGGCAGGTGAAGGGGAAAAGGCTTTGGAGAGACCAATATGAATAGCAGGCATTTTTGTCTGACCCCAAAGAAGAGGGCAAGGGAGAGCTGTGATCTGAGCCAAGATGAAAGAGTGATTGGCCTCCCCTAGTAATCAAAGAGTTTAATGAGGCTTATTAAAAGCCCATTTCTAGGTCTTGTTGAAAAATTACACCCGTAAGTGTTTTTTTTTTTTAATAAGAATTGCCTCCCAGGGATTAAACACACACACACACACACACACACACACACACACACTCCCCCAAAATCCCATACCCCACACATTCACAGTCACATTCCCACAAAAGCTGCGTATCATGTACATTACAGCATTCTAGGTGCATCTACATCAACCATGGTCATAATTCGCAACATACACATATATTGTAAGACAGAAAAGCCAGATCACTGAGGTCATTCGTGCACCTTTTGAAATTCCAGACATTGAGGGAACCCTAGAGCTTCATCCTCAAGAAGTTGTGATCCATATAAACAAAGAGCATAGCCTCTAATCCACAGCATTCTCTGTGTCTTGCCTGAGGCAAGACAACTCAGCAAAAGCAGAAGCTACCATGCTTGGAGTCCAGGATCATTAAGCTTTGGTAAAAAAGCAGCAGTTTTACAGCAAGGTCACTGCACAAGAAGGGGGCCGGGGGGCTGTGTCACTCCTTCCACCCATGGTGAATTCTCTCTGATATGCTAAATCCCAGCCACTTGGTAGAGCCAGCCCTGGGCCTGGAGCAGGTTTCCCTTGGTTCTCAGCTTACTGCGAGCTCACAGCTGCCTTCACTCTCAGGCGGAGAAAACATTGCTTTCTGGAAGAATCAGCTAGATGCAGAAAAGAATCCCTTGCAGAAAATTATCCCACCACCAGAGTGCTGCTAATCTCCCCAACATGATACTCACTGCCAAGTGGTAGAATGCAACAATGACCATTCAGATGCTACAACTACCAGGTGGAACAGTCTGCTGTTATTAGAAACAAATGTTTTAGATTTAGTAAATCTGGGTTTCAAGCCTAGCTCTAACCCTTACTCAAGGTATGGCTTTGGCCCACTCTTTCAGCCATCGTTTTCTCCTTTGCAAAATGGCAGGAACAACTTCCTTCTACGTTATAGAGTTGTGGGAAAGATCACAAAGTACCCTTCAAACTGTATACCCCAAAGCAGATGCTAGAAAGTCTCATAATGAGACAATAATGGGAAAATGGAGGAACTCACTGATTGGGTTGTGAACTCCTCAAAGGCCTATGTGGTATTTATCTTGTTCTCAGTGCCCAGCGCCGAGACTGGGACTAAATACCCTGGGAAAAACAGTGTGAAAGAAAGAAAGCAGAAAGAGTGAATCTGTGAGTTAAGTGGCTTGCCTAAGGTCACAGAGCAGGTCATTGCAGGACTTGAGCCCAGAACGCTTGACCACACTAGTCCAGAGCTCTCTGTTCTTGACGTACCAAACAGTTGGGTCTATTGAAGGGAGAGTGAGTGTCACAACAACTGCAGCATGGACCAGTTTTCAATAAGCCCCACTATTCCCAGAGAAAGACCCAATGTTGGCCATGTATGGCCTAAAAGGACTTCACAGACTCACCTGTTAAACATGTCAACTCCACACTGGGAGCAAACAGAAGCCACAAGTGCAAGTAATACTCAAATGCCTCAAACTGGCTCATCTTATTTACTGACTCGTGCAATACTGACTTGAATTGCACAAAACAGAAAAGTCACAAGCCTGGGACAATGGGCCTGGCAGGGGTTAGGTTGTGCAGACTAGAAGCATATCTTGTTTTGGGTTCACTTTCAGCATCATTACTTACCTACCGACCAAGTGTCTGAGAGATCACTAGCCCTCTCTGATTCTCAGTTTTTCCATCTGCAAAACAAGAAGACAAACACAATTAATGCCTTGAGATCGCTGGACTAAAACGCATCATCGGTTTTATGCCTGGAATTGGTTACCAACTACTTATGATTCCAGGTAACTGGGAAAACTGTGAGTGGTCAGGGGCTGCAAAATAACTAAAAAATGAAGTGCAATAATAAATTACGCATGATAATTAATAGTTATGTGTCAAGCAGGACGCTCGCTGATGGTGCCCAACTCTCAGCACAGAAAATTCAGCCTTCCAATCATTTGGGCACTTTTTATTTTTCATAGATGTCAAAATATAAAAGACCATTAAAAATACCAGGAGAAATAAAGCAAAGAAAAGGGCCACAATCTCAACACATTCATGTCCAACAATTTGGGCTTTTTTTTTTCTTTTTTTTTTCCTTCTATACATAGAGTTTACCATTTTTCAGAGCAGAGGCTATCAAGATATCCCATATTAAAAAGCACCACGCCAGTCATGATTTTCCTCTCTTGCCACCTGTGTTAGGCCGTGACAGTTGACCATTGCCCTTATTAACTCATTTTCCTTCCCATCCTTTTCATCAGTTTCTCCAAGGCCTTTCCAGGTGTGTGGTCAGGTCTCTGACAGGCACTGTCCATACCTGAGCCCAGAAGAGTGAGAAGTGAGCAACTTTTGGAGCCCTCAGACTGGTCTTTCCCTAGTCTAGGTTCAGTTACCTCATATGAAAAACAGGAATCCCAGCACTTTGGGAGGCCGAGGCGGGTGGATCATGAGGTCAGGAGATCGAGACCATCCTGGCTAACAAGGTGAAACCCCGTCTCTACTAAAAATACAAAAAATTAGCCGGGCGCGGTGGCGGGCGCCTGTAGTCCCAGCTACTCGGGAGGCTGAGGCAGGAGAATGGCGTGAACCCGGGAAGCGGAGCTTGCAGTGAGCCGAGATTGCGCCACTGCAGTCCGCAGTCCGGCCTGGGTGACAGAGCAAGACTCCGTCTCAAAAAAAAAAAAAAAAAAAAAAAAAAAGAAAAACAGGGAAACTGGACCGGCTGGTCACAGATACCCTTTTTAACTTGAAAAAGCAAGGCTAAGGAAAAGAGAAGGAAACTCCTATATTTGAGTCCCTACTATGTGACAGCTATTGAGCTAATAATATCTACAGATATGATTTCATGATCCTTATAACCACCCTGGGAGAGTTTACAGGGAAGAAAACTGCAGCTCAGCAAGGCTCGGCGAGCCGTCTAAGGCCTGATGCTGTAATTTTGGTACCCCATTCATATTTTTGCCATATCCATGTGTCACCTCTACTATCATTTACTAATTTTTCCAAATCAATTCATATTTTTTCTTAACTATATTTTTAAATAATTTTCAAAAAATGTTTCTGCAGCTCTCTATTTCTGCCCTTTCTCTCCTATGAAAAGCAACCTTGCAACTAAGATAGGTTCTGTAACAACGTTGCTAACAGCGTAAAGGAATTTGTCATTAAAACCATTCGGACAATATCTAGGAAGTCATAGGTGTGAGGTGCTGTATCCACACACACACACACACACACACATACACACACACATACATACACACACACAATTTATTAAAATAAATTAGTTTTGGAGTTGAAAGCGCTCATCCATGTACTATGCCAACTCCCAGTGGTGCCCCTGCTACACTTTGGGGAGCTGGTCTGAAGTCCTTCAATGCACTGTGACTTCAGAACTGAAGTCTTTCATCTTTCAAAGCTGAAATCGTAAAAATGCCTAACACTTAGTCTATGTCAAGAAAGTCACTAGGGTCACACAGCTAGTAACTGAAGGAGCCGGGACCAGGCCTCTGCTTGCCTGCTTCTAACCCACCCCAGTGCCCCAGGAGCGCACTCAGTTTCTGTCCCCATCCTCAGACCCCAGATATGCAATTCTGTGCCATCTGGCCACCAATTAAGTTGTTTTCAAATCCAGGCAGGGTCATCCTCTTTTGTTACATTGTCCTCAGCTTTTCCGTAAAGTGACTAGATTATATCGATACTTATTTACATTCCCAAAAGAGCGCTTTGGTATAAAACTGCATAATTTCTAAAACCACATTTTGAAAATATGAACTGAACGTGATTCTTTCTTCAACGATCCAAAATAGTAACCGAGGAAATAGAAAAGGCTGATAACCTAATACCCAGGAATGCCATTGCCACCGCAAATGAGTATAAAATCCCAACCCGGTCAGGGGAAGTGGAAGAAAGTGGCAAAGTGACTATACTGGACACTAATCGAAGCTGTTGTCTAGTGTCTTTCTAAAGCTCTAAGCTTCCATTTCCTGTCATCTGGTTTTAAATTAATTGGCATGAATTTTTTATGACCAGAGAGCAAACAGGTTGAATGTCCCATAGAACTGGGTTGGGCTTGCTTTCTGCTGAGCTCCCCATTTCTGCACTGAATATGAGCTACAAACTACGCAGAAACAGGAACACAAATGGACCCCTGACTATTCATTCTCTGTCCAATGACACCTCTTCCAGGAAGGCTTCTCCCACCAACCTGAGTCAGAATTAGTACCCCCTCCTCTGGCTTCCCTCAGGGCAACACTTCTTGCAGACTCTGTTACACTGCAGTCATGCAGTTTGTTTTCTTTTTTTAAAAAAAGTATTTTCTTTCTGACTATTCACTAAATACAATAAAAACTCACCTAACACCATCAATATGATTTTAGATATACTTCCTTTTAAGCTTTTTTGTATGAATACTCACACAGACATCCACACAATGTACATTCAGATGCTTTACAAGGTGGGATCATACCATACAAGCTAATTTTAATCTCTCTTTAATTTAGTAAAATAGCATGCTTTTAAATGGTTATGTAGATTTATAATTAATCTCCTACTGATGGACACAGCATTATTTCTAATTTTTCACTAGTGTAAATACTCTAATATCTTTGTACATATTTCTTGTAGGGTTGTTTGATTATATGCTTATACTGTATTGCTTAACATTTTAAAAAATTATAGCTGCTCCTCACCCGAGTGTATCACTTGTCATTTTACCAGCAGTACATGAGCATGCCAATTCCTCTCACTCCCATAAATATTAGGCATTAGCATACTTTAAAAAATCTCTATTGATGTGATAGGTAAATGGTACCTAATTATTTTAATCTGCCTCTCTTGAATATCAGTTAAACATCTTTCTCTCAGTTTCTTGGTCATCACACTTTTTCTTTGGGAATTGCATGTTCGTTATGCTTTACTCATTTTGTGTGTTAATCTCTTTCCGGTTGCTGCATAAGGGTTTGCTATTTGTCTTTTACCCTGATTATTTTTAGCTTGCTTCCAGCATGTCTAATCACAGAAAAGGGCACCACCAGAAATCTGGGTACCTGTTTCCTACCAGAAATCTGGGTACATGTTTTGACACCCCCCTGCATGTCACTACTACTCACAGCCAATCAATCACCAAGTCCTATCAGTTCTACCTCCTAAATACACCTTGATTTGGCTCCTTTCCCTCCCTCTCCATCTCCATGCCCTCATTCATGACACCATCATCCCTCTGGGGGACTTCTGCAGTGGCCTCCCAGTAGTCTCCTACATCTTCTACTCCAATTCTCTCACCACCTGAAGCCAGAAGTATTTTTTAAATGCAAATTGGGTTATCTTTTCTGCCTAAAACTTTCTGACACTTTCCTATTCTACTAAAGATAAAATCCAAAGTCCTTCATGTGTTCCTTTTCCTCACAAGGCTGCTTCCAGAACCTGGCTTCTGTACTGCTCGGGTATTGCAGATACATCCATCTGCCCCACAGTCTCTGTAATTGAGCCACACTGGCCCCCTTTCAGGTTTGCGAATATCAAGACCCTGGGTGCTGCTCCCTTGGGCTGAAAGGTTGTTTGCTTTCCTCTCTGCCTGGCTGACCCAAATGAACTCTTCAGGCTTCTCGACTCCAATGCCATCTCCTCTGAGAAGCCCTGAACCCCTAAGTTAAATAAGCCCCTCTGACTATTTACTAGGGTTTCCTTTGCAGCACATCTCACAACTGTACTTAAGCACTGTTTGGCATGGTTGGTTTAATGAGAACCAGGCTGTATGCTCTATGAATGACATGGTTTGGATCCGAGTCCTCACCCAAATCTCACGTCGAATTGTAATCCCCAATGCCACAGGCGGGGCCTAGTGAAAGGTGATTGGATCGTGGGGTGGATTCTCATGAATGGTTTAGCACTATCCTCTTAGTACTGTTCTCTTGATAACGAGTGAGTTCTCTTGGCCTCACCCCCCTTGCTCCCTCTTCTTCCTCCTGCTCCAGTCATGTGAAGTATCGGCTTCCCCTTTGCTTTCCGCCATTATGGTAAGTTTCCTGAGGTCTCCCCAGAAGCCCAGCAGATGCTGTCATGCTTCCTGTACTGCCTGCAGAATGTGAGTCAATTAAACCTCTTTTCTTTATAAATTACGCAGTCTCAGGTATTTCTTTGTAGCAGTGCGAGAACGGACTAATACAATCAGGACAGAGACTTGGTCTCTCCTGTCTACCACTGTCTATCCGGAATTTAGCATGGTACTTGGCACATTCTAGGCACTCAATAAATACTTACTGGATTACTTTCTTTAAAAATATATATTAAAAATATTTAAATAACCTATCTACTTCAAGGATCAAGCAATCACCTCTAGGTTTTCATAAGAAATTAACACAGGTCTTCACACAGAAAGCAGCTCCAGTGACAAACCAGTCCTGTCTTCAAATGTGCAGGGTCTAATTTAAGCCTATTCAAGAAGGACTGTTCCATTTCTCTCCATGTACAAAACTCAAAGCTCTGGCTTGGGCAACCACAAGTACACTAGGGTGAAAGTATCTCAAGAAGTCCATGTCTCATGCTTTTCTGCAGCTCCTTCCTCTCTCCACCCTATGTTTTGCCTCCATTCAGTGAATGCCTCTTAAGTGGACTTAATTTCAAATTATATATTATATCTAATATAGTATACCAAATTATATCTAATTCACTGCCTTCTCTCCCAACATTTTAAAACCAATTTGCATTATTAGCATTATTGACTTGATGGTTGTCTATAGATCAATACCTGTATTTATGAATATTTTCTGAAGTTACTTTCTTGAATTGATTGTTGGTCAGAGAGGCTCAGTACTTCTCTAGCCACATCTCTTCCCTGTTCCCTGAGTTCACCTTGTCCTCAATTCAGCATTTAGTTCACCGAATTAACTGAAATTGTATTTCCCCACTTTCCTATAGGGTCTCCAGGATGTAAGTCAGAGATCAGGCTGCGGTGTAGAGCCACCATTTCCTTGACCTAATTTGGACTCTTCTCAAACTCACCACAAAGCACCTTAGGCATAATGATCAGTTGCATGTAAGGTGTTGATGCCCTCACTTTGGTCATCTTAGGCCACTAACATACTAGTTCAAGGAGTAGAAGGAGGTCAGCAGGTCAGATATTTGCTGGGGCCTATTATGGAGGGCTTAGGAACTCACTCATGCCAAGGAGGCACAGGATAAGAATAAAAGCTCATTTCCTGCCCTGGAAGAAATTGGGTTTTAGTTGGGAAGACAAGACCAATAGGCAGTAAATGGTCTTGGCCTTGCCTGTGTCTGAAGCCTCCTCTCTTCAAGATTCTGCTTCAAGATTCCTTTTATTTAAGCATCCCTCTATATAGCTGAAGATTCCAGGAAGAGGAACTGGAATAACTGGTGAGGTCCACTAGGTCTTTGTTAAATGTTGCATTGGCTATGGAATCAGAGTTTGGGTTTTACCCCTGGTTCTATTTCCTCCTCTCTGGGTGACCTTGGGTGGCATATTTAACCTCCCTAAGCCTCTGTGTTTTCATTTGAAATGTGGGGATAGTAAAAGTACCTACCCCTGGGTTGCTGCAGTGCTTATGTGTCTATGACCTAGTAAAGGCTCAACAAATGTTGGTGAATATTATTCTAATTGCTAGACTGTGATAATCTTAGCTAACAATGAAGTATTTACTGTGTGCCAGACATTGTCCTAAGCACTTTACAAATATTAACTCATTTAA
Organism: Homo sapiens; assembly: GCF_000001405.40. Classification (NCBI taxonomy): domain Eukaryota; kingdom Metazoa; phylum Chordata; class Mammalia; order Primates; family Hominidae; genus Homo; species Homo sapiens. The sequence goes on from NC_000011.10 coordinate 79,303,553, forward strand.
CCCTTATAAATAATTCAGTGAGTTAAGTACTATTATTTGCCTCGTATTATAGATAGAAACTGGGGGTAGTGAGAGGCTAACAAAATTGCCTGAAGTCACAAAATAAATGCTGGAGACAGGATTTTGAACCCAGGAGGTTTGGCTCCAAAAGTCATGCTCTAAACCATTAGACTATCAATCATCATAATAATCATTTAATGAGTTACTATAAATTTTAGTTACTAATAATCATGATTTATTTTTATTAATGATGGATGGCTGGCCTACTCAAATAGGTCCCCGGGCAGCTAGGGTGATTGGGATGGGGTTTGGGCTGGTAGCGTGTTAAGAAGCCATCCAAGCTCACTGAAGTTCAAAAGAGTCTTCCAGTTCCAGGCAGGAACCAAAGATCTAAACAGGAAACCAGGGCAGAAGCCCAGTTGTGTGTGTTGGGCTAATATGGTAGGAGTGGGAATGGAATATGAGATAGCCTGGTAAGCCCTGGGTACTTTGGGAAAAGGGTTGGAAGAAGGGCATCTGAACCTCCAGGCTTCACCTACCAGGAGGGCTGAGGCTTCCACTGGGTGTCTCACTGTATCAAGGTGGACTCTAGGGCTAAGTGGGTCACAACCTGCAAGGGAAAGGTCCCAGTAACTTGGCAAAGAAGGGCTAGAGAAGGTGCAAGCTAATGTCTTCTTTCTGGAAGTCTCTGCTCTCCCTGCTCACAAAGTCCCAGGAATCCTAAGGCTCAGAGATGCTTCTTGAGCTGGACGTATGGCTCAGAGATCCTTCTTGAGATGGAAGTATCTACTCTTGAGGTGCGAAAGCCAATTTCAGGAAAGTCTGTTGATCTAAGCTGAGTTGCTTGCATTGCCACTGGATGTCTGAGTAAAGATGAGCTCTCCTCCAGGGACCATGGTCTGTCAATTCCAGCTTTATCATTAATTATCAGGCCTTGGATTTTTCCCCCTGGACATCCACTGCTGATCAGGTCCTTGAAACATGCTCACTTTGGTTTTCTTCAGAGTCAAAGATTTTGTCCTTTCTCCCTCCCTCTTGTTTAGGTATCATTTTTGAGAGCAGTCATGGTGGTGTGAAGCAATTTAGGATGAGAACACTGTCCTGCAGCCACAGGACCTCAGCCTCAACAACCTACCAACCTACCGTGGCTTAGTGGGGCCAAAAGTGAAATCCTAATGTATTAACTGGCCTCCAAAGACCAGCTGTATCCTCCTCTGGGTGCTCTCATCACAGCTGCCTCCGCTGCAGGTGCTCCCCAGCTGAAGACACTCTGCATCAACTTCCTTTCAGAGTGAGATCGTTTTCTGTGTTGTGCAGCAGAAATAACAGATTTTCTTATTTACCTAAAAACATGGAAAGTCTAAGAACAATCTAAGAGGTTGCCTCATACTGTCACTTCTTTTCAGCCAGGCCCACAGAACCATGTGAGAAAGCCTTTTTAATAGAAAAACAAAAACAAGGAAGTCAGCTCTTCTTGAAAGAGAAACTTCTCCACTCAGCAACTTTCTACTCACCCTCTTTCATTTAACAAGCAATGTTGATTGCTTACTGTGAACGTCAGACTCAGATTACAATTGGTGGCTGGGAAGAGTGAAAAGAGCATGGGCCTGATCCATGGTCAAATCCCAGCTCTGGCTTATGTAAGTTGTGTGACACTGAGAAAGTTACTTAACTCCTCTGAGCATCAGCTTCTTTATCTGCAAAGTGAAGATCTTTATGCCAGCCTTTCAGAGCTGATGTGAGAATTAGCATTTCTCAAACATCTAGCTGAGGCCTTCAAGTCAGTCCTTAAGAATACTCACTGCTTTTACCATTTCTACTACTAATCATGGTTAATAAGACATGCTCACTGCACTAAAAAGGTCCAAAGTGTTACTGGTGGATGGGAAGCCTGTTATCTATAGTGGGATCCAGTGAGGAAGAGGTCAACTCTACCGGGATGGAATGGGCAAGACAGACTTCAAGGGAGACTCATGAGCACAATCTTTTCAAAACAAAAGGTCTGTGGCAAGAGGCTTAAAACGTAGATACATCCTGAGAAGTACAAGCTTTAGAAGGAGATGCGGAACCTCTGACCGAGCACAGGGACTACAAAGGGCTCAGGGGCCAGCTTCTAGCAATGCGGTCATCCACCAAAGGCTTTTAAGCTGGGTAAAGAGAAGGCCAGATTTGTCCTTGAGATAATCAGTCTGGCTGCATTCGAGACAGACTAGAGGGATGAGGCTAGGAGGGAAGCTGGGACAGAGCTGCAGAGCCGAGGCTGATCTAGGCCCAAGGAAAGTGTCCCTAACTTCATTTGTGAAGCCACTGGTCACCCTTGCCAGCAACTTCTAGCAGCCTGGCCACAGCAGCCCAAATCCTGAAGGCTGTGGGCCTGGCTGCCTCAGAGCCGACCTGTGGAGGGTCCTTTCAGGAACCAACTGCAAAACCATCCACCCAAGCTGTTCCTCTCTGACTCTGCTGGCGCAGGGGCTCCTCTGCTTCAGGCCCTCTGATCCCTGCACCACTCAAGTCTGGAGCCACGGACAGGGTGACTGGGCTGCTGCCCTAGCCTGTACCAGTCCAATTAATTCAATTCCATGCAGTTAAATGATGTTTTTGTGTGGATCCTGTGCTCATCTTTGAGGGTTGTATGACACTGTAAGAGACAAGGCACACGAGCTTTATGGTAAAAGAGACACAGCTGTTCTGTAACCCAAAGCTGAGTGCTGGAAAATGCTCAAGAGAGGGCTGAGTGACAGTGTTCCACTCAGGGATATGGGAGACAGGGCCAGGGATCCTCCTTGGCAGCATCAGAAAAGCTTTATAGAAGAGGAGCACACTTGCCTGGGCCTGGAGACTAAGAAGGCCCTTGATAGTCAAAGGATGAGAAAGGGGCATTTAGGCCGAGGGAAGGTGTGTGGGGAAAGTGCTGTTGCCTGTGGTGGCTAGACCACAGTAAGGAAAGGAGGTGAGAGAAGACCAGGGCAAGATAGGTGGGCTGAGGTCGTGCTGGGAAGGGCCTGAGGTCACTTTCTATTTTCTTCCCTAAGGCAAGAAATGGTCACATAAGGAGCAAGACAGTAATTTTCATTCAGTACCAACTATGCCCCTGGTAGTGTGCATTATATGAACTCTACATGCACACATTTAGTCTGCATTTTATAACCATCCTCAGAAGCAAATATTATCACCATGCCCATTTACAACCAAAGAAACCAAGGCTTAGAGGGATTATGTGGCCTACCTGAGGCTGCTGAGGCAGAAATGGAACTCAAATTATGCATTCCAGCCCAATGATGCCCCCTCTGTACAATACCAACTCCCTAAATGGTGGAGGCAGATGTATGTCCTTCATTCAAACAGCCAAGAAAACCTAGACTCATCATCACCACCACTGCTGCCATAGTCGTGGACTCCAAATTTTATTTCGTAAGGGAGAAAATGTACCAGATGTGCCTCTTTGTAAAAGGATCTTTTAAGATTCCTGAGGATATATGTTTAAGTAAAATCAACCACTATCAGACCACCTGTGCTCACTGATGACTTACCATGTGCAAGGTGCTTCCACTCCATGTTCATAATAACCATCACAACAACCCTATAAAGTCGGTTTTACTCCCCCAGTTTTATAGTTGAGGACATGGAGGCTCAGAGAGGCAATGTGAATTGCCCCAGATGCAGAGTGGCAGCGGGAACTAGAAGCACGTGTTGTGGTGCTTGGGCCCACCTGTTCACCTCAAACTCAGAGCGCCAACAACCCAATCCTCACCGTTTCTCTCCAAAGGGTCCTCTTCTGCTGATCCCCATCTCAATAAGTGATGCCACCTTCCACCGGCCGCACAAGCTAGAAACCTAGGTCACTCCTGACACCGCTCTCTCCTGCACTGAACCCCCTAGATCTAAGCCATCTTTGAGTCCTGCTGGTTCTAACTCCTCAATCTCTCCCAATTCTGTCCACTTCTCACCATCTCTGTTTCTACTACCCTATTCAAGCCATAGTCATCTCTCAACTGAGCTTCCACAATGGCCTCCCAACCAGTCTCCCTGCACTCGTCCTCATAGAAGATGTGACCCCAGCCCTGGTGACAGGCCCCAGCATGGCTCAGCCACTCTCAGCAGCCCCATTTCCTTTTGCTCGCCATTCTTTCCTTTCCTCAAACACTCCATTCTGCGTGACCCTGGGCTTTTTGCTCTCTCTGTGTCTCAGCTGCCTTCTCTGCAAAAGAACAAGAATTGCCCAGGCCCCCCAGATCCAAGATTCCCCACCAAGGATCTTCCAGGTGGGGAGGATGAAAACTGAGAGGATATGGAGACCTAGAGATCTGAGCAGCACCGTGCTCTCCCACATGGGAGACCTCAACTTGGAGCCAAGGCCAGTGGGATGGCAGGAGCCTGCACTCCCTCTCCTCCTACCCCATCCTGGGCTTCTCAGACAGCTTCAGCCACCAACAATTGGGAGATGTTGGTCTGATGTAACTGAATGCCAACAAGGCTGCACAGGGCCCAGGGAATTGCCTCAGAAGCTGCTACTGGTAAGAAGGTGGCTCAGGCTGGGTGGAGAGGCCGGAGGCAGAGCTTGGCACTGAATGAGGAGCCACGGGCCTAATCCTCAAGGAGTCTGGAGTCCCAGGAGTTTGGGCAGCCTAGAGATCAAGGGCCTTCGCCTTTTTGTCCCATGGACCTTTTTGAAACTTACAAACCCTTTCTCAGAGAAATGTTTCTAAATTCATAAAATGAAAATAAGATTACAAAGAAAACCGATTATATTCAAATAGCTATCAAAATGTTAAAATGAAAAATTTGTGAGACAGTTAGATTTTTCTTCCTTTTTTTTCAGTCATAACAAGATCTAACGGCAGGTCTATTAACTATCATAACCGTGAGGTAGTGATGAGTGTAAGTGATATTTTGAGGTATCTGCAACAACTATAATGGGATACAAAAATATCTGATTCCTCCTGGTAACAAAGTCCCAGAGACTGCTAATGCTATTGTGGTTTATTACCCATATTCACAGTGGGAGAAAATGGTAACTTTCAGTTATTTTTTCCCAGCCACATGCTCACATTACCAACCTCTAATTGACAGCAGTGACCTCACTTTACAGAAGAGGAAACTTGAACTCCCAAAGGGGCAGGGGCTTGCACAGGGCTACACGGCACGTTAGAGTTAACTCGAGGCTAGCACAGGCCCCTGGTGCCTCCCAGGCCATGCCACCCACTCTGCAGAGCCACCTCCTGAGTGCGAGACCCACAGAACAATCATTTCACTTCTCTGGGCCTTAGTTTCCTCACCCGTAAAATGGGAATAACCACACCCACTTTTGCAAGCTGCTGTGAGGACGGAATGAGAAAAGGAGCAGGAAAGGGCCTTGTTACCTGGACAGTGCTCTGTACTTGGGTATATCAGTAACAGGCAAGTAATTATTATGCACTATCTGATGAGAAACCAAAGGATATGAAGCTCAGAGTGGCAAAGCAGAATGCCTATAGAGATAAGATAATAAGGAGGGGTGGGGACTATGGTAAACTCTAGAACTCATGCCCTTCTGAAAAAAGGAGCATCCACTCACCACCAGTGGAGGATGGCGAGCCTAGTGTTAACAAATCTGACTTTCTAAGAGATGGTGGAAGTCCACATGTTTGGTAAAATGTCCTTGTTTCTATATTAAATTCTTTGGTATTAAAAACAGAATGTGAGCCCCAAAACATATCTATATGCTGTCAGTTTGCAGCCCCTTGGGTTTACAGGTAGGCGAATTTCATTGCCTTGGGAAGGAAAAGATGAAGCAGGTCAGTGTTTTTCCCATACAGGCCAAGAGGGTCCTCATCCCATCCTGGCCCTGGAGGTCAGATGGGGCCCATACAGGGTGGGCATTCTTGTGATAGCCACCAAGGCCTCCCAGACAAGAAAGTTAGCTACACATTTGTGCTCCAGCCCTTGGCTTCTGGGGGACCGCCTGGTTTTATTAATAACCCTGGATCGTGCTCATAGCACATCAAGGTAAACAGAGACATTCCCAGGGTGTGTACTGTAGGCAATTCTAACAGATGAAGAAGAAGCAGGTTTCCAAATATAAATACGAAGATAAGATAAGCAGGCAGAGATCCAAGTCGGCTTCATACTGAGTTGCAGGCTGTGAGCCATAGACTTAGAGAATCGTGGCTCACTGGGGCTGGAAGGGGCCCTCATTTGGAGGATAGAGAAACAGGCCCAGAGAAAAGACAAGACTTCCCAAGATTCATTAGATACTTCTGATTTCTTATAGCATCGGTTTCCTCACCTGAAGAAGCTCACAAATCCACTCACAGTTTCCAGAATGTGTCATCCTCTCCCCATCCCAGTGCTGCTGCCCATGCTGTTCCCCCATCTCTGGCCATGTCAGACTTGACTGCCAAGATAATCTGGGTCTGCCTGTGGGAGCCTGTCCTGACCCTTCCAGGCAGGGCTGGATGTGGTGCTGCTCAGCACCTCAGCCCCTGTGTCTCTGGCTCCAGCAACACATGCCACATGGAATTACCACTGTCGGTGTGTCTGCCACTCCCAAACCCCTGACGCAGGGTCCTGCCTTAGCCAGCTCAGTCTACCCAGGGCCCAGCACAGGCCCCGGCACAAAGGAGGTACTCTAGAAACAGATGCCAAATGAAACAGAGGCCAAATAAAATGAAGAACAATGCCTGATGTCAGTTCCCTCTCTCAGTGGCATAAGGAGGTTGCAAGCAAAGACTGCCATGGAATAGCTCACCAGACACCATCTTGATATTAAGTTAACATGTCAAATGGTCCCAAGTCTAAGATAATAAGACTTTGGCCTATCATACCAAAGGCCAGCCAAAACTCTGATAAGGATGATATCTATCTTGTGAATAAAGGAGAGCAGCAAAATAAGTTGTTTTGGGGGTCCAATAGGTGCCAGGCTCTAGCCTGAATACGCACTCATATGGCCTCCCTGAATTCCCTAGCTTCTGAAGAAGATACGATACACCTATTTTAGAGGTGGCTGAATAACACCCATGGCCAGAAGAAGAGAAGAGAAGGCAGGACTGAATCTAAGCCACATAACTTCAGAGTTCTTTCCACTCAATCAAAGTTGCCCTGTAGTTAACAACGGGCAGCTTTCATCCTGCCTGTTCTAGACCATGGCTTGTCCCAGGCATGGAGCAGCTGAGGCAGGGGAGCTTGGAATAAATTATTTCCCCATCCCCTTCACTCTGAGTCCTGTTTTTCCAGCCCTGCCACTGACACAGGTCTGGGGCTTGGGAAGAGGGGATGATTATGGGGGATGGCTGATGCTTTCTAGGAAAAGAAATAAAATGCAAAAACAGAGAAGCCTGAAGCCCCCACTCACTACAGCAACTAAGTGGGTAGGAGAGGGTTCTGTTCAGCCTTTTTTAAAAAATAAATTATTATTTAAACATTATTTACATTTCTGTGTTACCCCTAGAAAACTTTGGTTTAGAGAGTGACTGCTTGGAGATGAAAGTCTTCAGGTTAATTCATTCCTTCATCAGCCTAATACTAACGATTCAAATAGCAGCAAGATGGGACAAGACGGGTCTTGGCGAATGTCGTAGCTAACACAATGGAAACCATTCTGATTGCTCAGAGTGTACATAGGGCATTTCTAGCTTCTGACCGGACAAAATCCTGCATCCAACAATAATTAGTACACTGAATTCCCCCGTATCCTAAATGGATGAGGCAGAGGCTTGGAGTCAGAGACAATGAAATCTCAAACCCACCTAACCTCTCTGATCCTTGGTTTCTGTGCCTATGCCTCACAGGACTTCTGCGATGACAGTGACACAGGTCAGGTAGCTAGCACAGTGTCTGCCCATTAAGTGCTGGTCTCCCTGGTTCCCTATGGCACTCACCTCAGAGCCATTGGAGGCTAAGTGCTGGGGGCAGCTGGGGCATTGAGGGGAACAGACACAGCGGATGTGCTACTTGTTTCCTCAGGCTTTGCCTCCATCGTACTTTGTGAATCCTAGTTTGCAGATTGGGCTGATATTTTACAAGCCCACAATATACAGTTTTTTATGAGTCCATAAAAATCTTCAAAGTGAAATCAAATTTATGTGCCTCTTTCTGGTTTACAGACTAAAGCCCAGCCCTTGAGCTTAACCTTCATGACTCTCCCATGAACCTCCCTCCTAGTGTGTACATGGTGGCCACCACACACGTCTGCTCACCCTTCTCTAGACAGGTTCTGCCCATCCCTGCCTCTACACCTTTGCTCATGCTCTTCCTCTTTTGGAGCAATCCAAACCCTTCCAGGTTCTACCCCTGCCCACCTGTGTGAAACATTGCCCTGCAACTTAAGCCCTTGCAGCCTTCTTGGAATTCCGTGATGTTCAGATAAATGGCCATAATTTTGATTTTCTTTTTCCCTGGGATGGTTTTATTTGCTTCAGGGTCCTGAATGAGTCTCTGAACTGTTCAAGGCCTCCACATACTCACAAGGAGGAGAGCCTCCAAGGCAGGGCTGGTGCGGACCCTCACCCTGCTATCTTCATGTGAGGAGTTCCTCCTAGCCTTCAAAACCCACAGGAAGAGCTCCCTCCTCCAGGAAGCTTCCCTATTAAGCTGGCCTTGTTCTCTCCCATCTACAGCTCCCCACAGGACTCCATCTGAATCATTCTCAGAGGACATATCACTTCCTGCCGTGTAGAGTAGTCATTTATGTGGCTTGCCCCTCAACACTGTGAGCCAAGGAGGGAACGGACTATGTCTGCTCACTGCCATGGCCCTGGCATCCAGGAAAGGGCTTGACATAAGGGAGATTTCAGTAAATATTTGCCTGATTCATAAAAATAATTGCAGGAAAAAACAGGTATATAATGCTTACTATGTACCAGGCATTATTGCAAATGCTTTGCATGCATTAGCTTACTTAATACCATACATATATTAGCATATTTAAGGTGCACAGCCTCCCTATGAAAGTATGTCCTATAATGATTCCCATTCTTCAGATGAAGAAGTCAAGTCATAGAGAGGTCAGGTGACACATCCAAGGTTGAGCAAGTGACAGAGCTTCTGCTTGAATCCAGACCATGTTGTTCTAGCAACTGTGTTCTTAACCACTGAGCAATAAATACCACCTCTGAATTTATTCACCTTTATAGCCTCAGTGCCTAGCAAAGAACCAGGCAGCTAGCAAGCACTCAATTAGCATGTGTTCCCAACACTTCTTGGTTGGAAGGCTGCCACCAGTCGTGGTGAGGTGCAAGATGGAATGGACACCTGCAGAGTGGATCCAACCCCTGCCAAGCCTGCCACTAGCATATTCTGAAGTGGGCTGTTCCTTTCTCTTAATGAGATGCACAATCTCCACTCCACAGAGCCTTCCCTGCCAGGGCAAGCTACTCACTCCATTCTTAGTAGTAAGCTGACACGGGAAGGCTGTGTGCTTTGTTTCCATCAGGATTCGCTGCCCACCTAATTCTACATTCATTAAGGCTTCCAGGAAACCCCATCCCTAGTCACTGTCAGAAATAATCAGCTTGTCTGTCTGGTGATGCTCCCTGACCTAAAAACGGAAGGCAAGGAAGTAGATCTTGCATCATACTTCTCCGACTTCAGTTGTTTTTATTACTCTAAGACCCATTTTCAGGCATGCAACATTCACTTTTCCTCAGATTACAAAATGGAAGGGAGTTTCTAGTGTTTGAGAATGCTATTCCAAAGCCAAGTGAAATTAATCCTTTCACTTATTTATTCCCAGACCTTGTGCAAAGGGAGCAGGGCTGCAGACAAAGACAACTCCAGCTGAGGGTTCTGAAGATTCTCATCCAGGTCTCCCCAACAAAGCATGCCAAAACACACGCATCAGACTCTCCTTTCCTGCCAAAATACATCCCATGTCATGTTCTCCAAAAGGATAAGCCTTTGCTAAATCCTACACAATCATTTCCAATGTTTGCTGGTAATGGACACCAGAAAGCTAGTGAACTTCCCTTAGCTCTAAATACACTTGCTAATAACTCTTTCACAGAAAGAGCTCCATTCCTGCTGATTTCAAGGATCTGGAAATCAGACTCCTAACAAATTTCCTTTGACTTTGTTTCACATAATCCTGCTTCTGTCTGCTTCATGCTCTTCTCCAAGTGTGTTGGGTCCCAGCAGGCCATTGTCCTCCATGAATGATGGCTTCAGACTCAACAAATGGCCTCCATCTATCATCACCGAGCTCCAGCAGTGACAACAGAGGCTCTTCTGTTTCCCTCCGCAAGCAGGCAGAGTAATGGCCCTGCCTCGGACTCATCTCCCCACTGTCTTGGGACAGATACTAAGATTACTGGAGTTCTGGGGAGGGGAGTAAAGGCAGGGCCATTTCCAGTTTCGATGTGAAATCCTTCTGGTCTGTGGAGACCCCATTTATTTTCTCTACTCCCCGGTGGCCAATCCTTTCTCCCATCCATCCTCCACTCTGCAGCCCAAGCCTTTCTTCTAAACCCGTCATTCATCTCCCTGTTGAGCTCTGAGAATCTAATGAGATAATCATGTTTGCAAGTACAGAATGTGCAGAGCTGTTAAGGAGGACTGGATTTGCAGTCATGAAGGCCTGGGTTCAAATCCAGCTCAGCCACTTTCAGAATGTGTGGCCTTGCAAGAGCTACTTAGCCTCTCCAAGCCTCCGTTTTCTCATCTGCAAAGTAGGAATGATAATGCCTGCCTCGTGGTGTCACCATGAAACTCAAGTGAATTATAAAGGCAATGGATACTAATCACTAAGCATAGTGCCTGGCAAACAGAAGGCATTTAACTGGGGCTGCTGTTATTTTTAGAAATGTATGCTATAATAATATTAATAAGAATTTTATGTCTTCCCTGCAACTCTAGAAAAATGGATGGTGGAGATAAATGAATTGAGTTTACCTGTGGTGTTGAGTCTTGCTGACCGGAAGTTGGGGCCGGGAAGCCTGGTGGTGCCAGTTCCAACCAGCTCCAGCACAACCCTGGATCTAGCGCAGACCCCAACAGGGGAAAACAAGATCTACCTCACAGTTCTGTTGTGAGTACTCGTGGTTACACAGATAAATGTCAGTCTTTGGTTCCCGGCATACAATAGGTGCCAGAGAAAGTTTGGCTAGTCATATTAGTTACTTATTTGTTAGATGCTTTATGGGAGTCTAGGACATTTTGCAAGGTGCTAGATGACTTTTGGAGGAGGAAGAGGAAAAGGGGTAGAAAAGGGGAGTAAGACATAATCCATATACTCATGGAGCTCACAGGGTAATGCAGTGATTCTCAGCCTTGGCTACACATCACAGTCACTTAGAAAACTTTAAAAAATATTGGTGCCCTGGCTCCATACCCAGAAACTCTGATTTAACTGGTCTGTGTGAGGCCTGGGTTTCAGTATTTGGCAGAAACTTCTCAGGTGATTCTAATGTGGCCAGGGCCAAGAACAGCTGGCTGATTTTTGGGAAGACATAAACACATAGATGTTTTTAATAATATATATGCTTAGGGTTCTAAAGAGTTATGCACAGAGGGTGGTAGGAACACAGATGAAGGCACAGATAACGCCTTGTTATTTAAGCTGAGTAATAGCGTGGGAGTAGGAGTTTACTAGAAAAAAGGATCTGCGAGAAGGGCATTCTGAGCCTTTACTGTAAGGCCCCAAATAAAGGCAGAGCTGCAGTAAGTCACCAGGCAGGAACTGGAGCAAACCAGGGCACTCAAGAGGGAAATGAGAAGAGCTGGAATGATTCTCACGAGCAGAGCTCCCTGGATCCTGTACCTGTCCCCTACTCCTCAGCTGGGGCCCTGCTCCCAGAGGTTCACCGCTCAAGACCAGAAGGTCCCCTCTGTGTAGAAAAGAGAAAAAGGGCATTCTGCAACATCACATGGCCCCTGGAAAGTTCCTTTGCTTCCTCATCAACTGTTGCCACATGTCTTGCAGAGAGGTCAAACACAGGGTGAGGCATAGGTTTGTTGTTTGGCTGCGGATAGGGGAGCAGGCACAGGTTTGCCTCCTGTCCATGGTGCTGAACAATCCTTGTGCTGGAGAACAGGGGTGCTCAAAGTGTGGTCTGTAGACACACGGCATCAGGATCCCATGGGAGCTTGTTAGACATGCAGAATCGTGGGTCCCACCCAGGACTTACAGAATCAGAATCTGCCACTTGTCAGCATCCCAAGGTGATTTGTGTGTACACATTAAAGTCCAAGATGCACTGCTCAAAGCCAGTGTTTTGAAACTGTAAGTTGCATCCCCTTCATGAGCTGTGAAATTAACTTAGAACATCCAAAAGAGAATTTTGAAAGAAAATAATGAAATAAAATGAAATGCAACGGAAAAGAATAACAAATGTTAGAGTTCATCACACTTATTAGGCTGGTGCAAAAGTAATTGCACTTTCTGCTATTACATTTAATGCATTACTTTTCCTGCCATTACGTTTAATGGCCGAAACTGCAGTTACTTTTGCACCAACCTAATAGTAAGAGCAAGTATTGTTACTCTATATATGAGTGTTCTAAGCAGAACCTAAAAAGTATTCATTATTAGGAATTGCATTTTCAACAATGTCTGAAAGGCGCTGCTTGTTTTTTCCTAATTCTGGGACACTGGTGATTTTTATCCAGTATCTCCCAGGATTCTGAGACAGGAGAGGAAGCAGATAGTGGGAGAAATGAGGGTTATAGGTTGATACAAAAAAGAGAATGAAAGATATAAAAACAGATTGAGAACTGATATAAAAAAAAGAATGAGAGAGTGATACTGAGCCTCCAGGAAATGTATTCACTGAGAGAACAATGGGGAAGGAAAAATATAAACAAGGCTGGTTTCGACATCTTTTACCAGTTACTACAAAAGAAACAACAGCCAACCATAGCTCAATGATTGAATGAATATCAAATGATGGAAGGAATATGGGTACAGCTTGGCGAATGTAGGTATGGACAAGTGAGTCTGTGTGGGCTAACAAGCGTACCCAGTTGTACAGAGAAGACTGGGTTGAGTATTACTGTCTGCAGAGTTACTTTAAAGTGCTCTTGACTTCCTTTTTTATTTCAATGAAATTTTGTAACAATTTACATCACCCTTAAAACAAGTATTGCAGTGAGTTTATATGTTTCGATGTATGTTGCTGATTTCATATACTGAGAATTCCCTAATATTTCTGATGGTTTGCTCCCCCAGCCCCAGGAGCAGTGGTAGAAGTGCAGGCGGGCAGGCAAGAGTGCCTGTGGATTATAGTCAATAGCCCTGGTGTTTTGCTCCTCACCACAGGCAGATTTCTTAGGTTTCTCACTGCCCACCACCAACCAAAAAATTCAGAGGCAAAACTCTACAGAACTTTGGAAAGAAATAAGCAGAGGTCTCTTTAAAATGCACAAAGATGCTTTGTTCGCTTCAAGGGGTGACAGAACAAAATGTCAAGAGTAGAAGTGACTCTGTGATTTTTCTTCCTTTCAGAACTGGGCAATGGGAGTTATTAACCTCTTGCCACACGTCTGTTATTTCATTTATACAACACTGTCCTACATTTGATTCTGCCTAGGAAATTGGTGTCTAATGGAAGATGACAAAAAGAATGACTTTTAAAATAATTTTCTTCCAGGCTAGCAGTTTATAAAATACTGAGCTCAATATTCCCACTTTGGGAAATTCTCCATAGAGGGAATGTTATGAGACAAAAGGTTTGTTAACACTCACACACGGTTTCAGCTTCAAGGAAGACACAACTCCATGTATCCAAACGTGTTTGTTCTACAAAATGGCAGAATGAAGACCAGCCTATCCTCCATAATGAGCCATGAAGTCAGCTTGGACACTTTCACTTTAATAAAAAATGACCAAGTGATATATCTGTAATCTATAAAGGTAATTTTTTCTGGGAAGGGGGGGTCAGGGCGCAGACAGGCTATCTAATTTTTAGGGCCCTGTTAAGTTCCTCGGAACCCTAAGTTAGTTGTCATGATGCTTGATATGATGAGCAGAGTGGCTGCCTCTTACTGGTAGCTATTATGTTCCTGGACTTTTATATCTTTATTAAATTCATTTGACAAACAATAGGGTGAGTATTACAATCCTTATTTTCAGAGATCGTAAAATGAAAGGTCAGAGAGGTTTTGTGACCTGCTCAAGGTCATATGGCATATCAGAATGCCACAAACAGAATCTGAACTGCAGCATGTCTGACCTCAAAACTCCAACCAAGTTGACCAAGAGTCAACTCATTGAACTGCCTTTCTGCCTTAGTTTCAAACGCCCCAATGTCCCAAAATAACCTCTTTCCTATGGGCTTCTGGCTGTTTTCCCAACTTGGCGCTTTCATTTCTCCGGGTCTTGCATCTGAGTAGGCTGACATTTCCCACTGCTTTTGTCTGTCACTGAGGAATTGTCCTGTGTGGGTGGATGGTCACTCACAGAGAGGGGTCTTCTGGAAGCCAACTAGCTTTCCATGGTGGCCCAAAATGACATGTGTTTCTCTATTCAGCCAGTGATTGTAAGAAACAGCCTATACTCAAAGAGGGAGAAATTCAGTAAAATTCAGCTTTGAAGCTGGATTTCTTTAATATCACAATTTAAGCATTTCTGACACTGGTTGATGCTTAGAGGGAAATAGTGCGCTCTGAGAAATGATGATTTAAAAATCTTGATCTGAATACAAAGACAGTCAATACAAATACAGCAACACTTTCCCCAGGGCCTACCGTGTTCCCCACACTGTGAACAGGGGGGATAAAAAGGCACCAAGGCACTATCCTAAACCATGACATTTACTTACCAGTGAGAAAGCAAACTCACTGAAAATTCTAACTAGAATTCAAGCTAGGAAGAGACACATTTCAGCTCAATATAATGAAGGATTTTCTTCCCATCAACATTTGTCCAAAAACGAAACAGCCAACCTTATTAATGAATTTTACCCACAGATATGCTGGTAAATATTTGACAACTGACTTTCCAGAAGAGGGGAAAAAAAAGGCTTGATTTGTAGTGTTTGCTGATTTCCATGGTGTAAATACTCCAACCATGGCTGGTTTCAAGCTATCAAGTTGACGTCATTGAAGGTGGAGTTGGAAAGAGATGAGTGATAACAGCCATCATATAGCATTTCCACCTATTTACCTGTTTTACACAGGTAAAATAGACATCAGTAACCTCTGGGGTAGAGTATAATGTAGTAAAATAACCAGAAACTGGTGAGTGTCAAGTACTTAGTCCCTTTGTTTTTAACATAATTTAAGTGTGAATTTATGCAACTTAATTTTTAATAATGGCTGTTTAATAACTAGCTCACAGAATTCCTGAAAAATTAACACTTGGTTCTCATGAGCCAGTATGAGGGTCCCCAAAACTCCATAGAAGAAAACTCCTCTCCATGTTTGGGAGAGGAAGTGGGTGATCTGACTGGATGGCTGTCATGGATGTGATTCCCTGTCTTTAAGCTGGTCCAATCCAGCCATCAGCCACAGCTATAGCTGCATTATCACTGCTGGTGGCACTTCAGGGCCAACCATGTGCCAGTGAGAGTGCTGAAAGCTTTGCCTGCATTACCTCATTGATCTTGATGAAGGCCCCATAAGGCAGATTGGAACTAACAGCAACCCCATTTTACAGATGAAGAAACGGAGGCTTAGACAAATTAAGTAGCTAGCCTAGAGTCATAGAACAGTAAGTGGCAGTGTTCTCGAAATGTTTGACTCCAAATCCCTTTTCCTTAAACCAGGACATTACACTTATATAATAAGAAATGCAGTATAGCTACTGGTTCATGTACCTCCATTATCCTTCAGTCAAACTCATTTGTAAAGTATAAAAAAAAGAAGACAGTCTATTTCCAGTTACAGGTTTCGGAAAAGGAAATCTGCTCACCCTTATGAATCCAGAAACTTAAATTGAACTCAGAGCACATAAGGGAAGTGTTTAAATGAACAGCATGCTCCTTTTTTTGTTTAATAATAAACAGAAAAAACCCTAAAATCTTAAATAGATTCATATAAAATCACCATCTTTGTAAGAAAAAATATAAAGTCAAGTATGTGCAACTTAATGTTGTTCCACCAAATGGATGATCCTGGGCATGCTGGAAGGACTGCCAGCAACGCGCAGCCTGATCTGAAGCCTTGAGTATCGATGCTAACAGATAACAAATGCTTTTCCTTTATCCAGACGATAGCAAAGGGATGAGAAATATGAGCAAACTAGATACCTAACGTGAGCAGGACAACATTATCTCTGTGTTGAAAGATGCAAGTGGGTACTGAAGTTTTGTCCCAGTACCTGCCACCACCTTCTCTACTGTGCAGTGAAGAGGAGGATCCCATGCTAAGCCAGCAGCCCTCCAACCTGTCCGGTCCTGAAGCTCCATCCCTAGTCCCCTTAGTCCACACTAGGTGACCACCACAACTGGGCTTGTAGTTGGTTGACAAGATTTTCTTATTAGGTAGAGGCTCTACCAGTGATTAATTTGGCTGCAGTGTACCTCCCTCCCTCCATGTGTTTCTCACCTACCTTCTACTGCAGTGGAGGTTCCTGGCAGGGCAGGAGAACATAGCTCATCGTAGAGCATGGAGAGCCCAGAGCGCATACGCAAGGCACAGTTCATGGGTTCCCCTTCCTCTTCCCTTCTGCACCCTCTGACTCCTGAAAACATCCCCAGGAGTGAAACTGGATGCAAGCGTTTGCACTCAGTGTTTACCTGTGGAAGTTTCGGTCACCCACTTAACCAAGATCCCTGAGCTGTGCATGTTAGTTGCTTTTTCATCATGTCTCCATAGCATGGAATTACTGAGGTACAGCTGCATGATGCAAACTATCTAAATTGTGGGCAATGGCTCCTGTTGCGACAAACACAGGGTGTGAGGAGGGCTGCCCGGCTTTGGTTGGAGGAATCTTACTTTAAAATCAATCAAAATAGCAGTTGAGAAAGAAATAATGACGTTGTAAATTTTTTACATAAATGATGTGACAGGTGAGTTATTTCTAGTCCTCACGAGCAGCTCCTCAGGGTAACTATTGCTATTCCACTTCTTGGATGTGGTAAACTAAGTCTCAGGAAAGTTGAGAAGCTTGTCCAATGTTACACTGCCAGTAAATGGCAGAGCCAGGTTTTAAACTCATGTTTGCTTATATCCAGAACCCGCATTTTAGCCACATTGCAACTCTGTCTACATAAAAGGGGAAAAAATAATTACTAAGGGCTTATTCTGTGCCGATAATGATGATAAGAATGAAGATAATGATAATGATAATAATGAAAATAGCTAACACTTACATAGTGATTACAGTGCTCCAGGCACTGCTGAAATTCAGGTTTTCAAATTCTCCCTATAGCTTTCATTTTAGGGATGAGGAAATTGAGGCTCAGAGAGGCTATACAACCTGCCAAGGCCACAGGGCTAAAAACTGAGCTAGGTGTCTCTGCATAAATGCTTCTCTTAGCATCCTCTTCTCAATCTTGACAAAAAGGTGGAAGCATCCCTGATTCACAGCTGAGGAAACCGAGGTTTGGAGAAGGTAAGAGATGTGCATTTATCCTAGCAATTATTCTATCTCAGAAGTAGAAGGAGGCCTAGCTTCAGGGTTAGTGTACCACTTGCTGGCTGTACAACATTAGACAAGTCCCTTGGCCTCTCTGTGCCTCAGTTTACTCATGAGGACAGTGAGGGGCTTTAATCAGGACATCCTTCTTATCTCATCCAGCCTGGACACACCAGGACTCCTGGATACCAAAACAACTAATGAGATGTTTCCTACACTAACAGGAGGAGAAAAGTGCTGCCTTCAGACTCAACACATGCATCCCCCACCACCCCGGCTGCTACACTTTCAGGCAAATAAACAGCCTCAAACGCTTCCCAAATTGCTGCTTAATGCTTCTCCTCAGAGCATGATCTCATTTATGAATCTGCAGAAAGCGTTTACAGCAACACTGTTGATGGTTCGATGTCCCAAATGATTCATCTGAAAAGGTGATGTAAAAGAGCAGCAAGAAATCACAGGAAAGGGGGAGGGGGCTAACTACCCAATTCTTTCTGGGAAGGAAAGAGGCAGACATTACCAGAGGAAGCAGGCGATCTCAGTTCAAACAACTCGTCACTGGGTGCCTGTGATGACTTTCTGCACAAGCAGGAAATTACCAAAAAAAAAAAAAAAAAAAAAAAAGGGAGAGAGAACTTGGGACATGCCAAAGGGGCTGACAGAATTTCACGGAGCTTGTTGACATCTCAAAGCATAACAAAGATGGAAATGCTGAGTGCAAAACATATCTCAGAGCCATCCCTATCTTAGCTAGTTTGGGTCAGACAAAAGCTTGAGGTATCAGAAGGGCTACGTATAGATCTCACATTATCAATGACTGTTTGGCCTGTCCCTGTGCATTGTGGGAATATCAAGCTACTTGGAAGAGAAGGCAGAGGTCAGATGCAACAGGGCAGATGAGGATGTACCATGTCTGGGCCAAAATGGGATTACATAGGGCCTGGAAATCAATGTGAGATCAGTTTCATGTGGACCTTCTGGGACTGGAATTGATGTAAATGACAGGAAACAGGGAGGGCTCACCTTGCCTTAACTTCCCTGCACCACCTCCTGCTACATCCCCTCTTGTGACTTACTCCATATCCCTATGTCTTAGTACTAGCGGTTCCCTCTGTCCAGATGGCCCCTCTGCTGGGCTCCACTGGCAAAGTCTTACTCTTCCCTTCAGCTTTTTCAAGTGACACCTGACTCAGGAAGCCTCTTTCCCTATGAGGAATGGATTCAGGGCCATGCTAATCCACACAGCTGCACAAGGCTAGAGGCTTAAAAGAGCCCTATGCCCGGCTTAATATTCTACTGTTGCTGTCATTAAATTCTTAATTTTTGAAAATGATACTCTGCATTTTCACTGTGCAATGAGTCCTGCAAATTATGTGGCTGGCCCTGCTCCTACCCGTTGAGGCTGTGGTCTCACAGCACCTCGTAGGCTCCTTTAGTATAGGATGTGTCACTGTTCTTAGTTATTTGTCTATATCTTTCCACCCTGCTCTAGTGCCAAGAAAAGAGAGAGATTAAACAGTTAAAAGGAATTCTACACTCTCCCCAAAACACAACACAACAAAAAGCAATTTGGCATAAACATAAAGCAATTTGGTAGTAGATGAGAAAGGGAAAAAAAAGACAAGCAGGTAATCAAAATTGAGCTTTGAATTAGTTTAATTCTCTTAACATGTAGACCTTGGTTTCTACTGTATATTCCCTAGAAGTCTACAAGGACAATGAAATGTTATTGTTCACACAATTCCATGTTTACTGCATAAAAATAAATCAACTTCTCTGGAGAGGCATATTTATTCTTAAAATTGAGAAGAGATACAATTTCTCTTGAGAATCCTCATAAAAAGGACCTTGTAAACCAGAGGGTTTTAACCCAGTACCTTCACCTCCTGAAATAGTCTACAACATTCAGTGTCTCTTGGGGTGAACACAGTTCTGGAGAAAGCTCCATGGCTGGTGCTGGATTCTCAAATGGGCCTAAGACTCAAAAAGAATTAAGATTCACTGTGCTGTAATCATGGGCACTCACAGTAGATACTTTGTCATAATGACCTTTAATCCAGGTTAATGTTTCCACAAAGCACAGTTCCA
The DNA here is from genome assembly GCF_000001405.40 of Homo sapiens. Classification (NCBI taxonomy): domain Eukaryota; kingdom Metazoa; phylum Chordata; class Mammalia; order Primates; family Hominidae; genus Homo; species Homo sapiens. The sequence continues at coordinate 79,323,129 of NC_000011.10, forward strand.
CACAACAAGTCTTATTGATTTGGTACTGGAAATTTGCTATAATGAAATTATTTGTGTATGGGCCCCTCTTGAGGCAGACACCTTTTTCTTCTAAATCCTGATCCCAGAAGGCCTAACCCAACACTCAACATATAATCAGCATATAGTAAAATTGGCTAGGCAGCTGGATGAAAGGACAGGTGAATAAGTGAACCAAACTTCTAATAATCTACCTGCTCTTCTTTCTACTACAGCATGATGAGGACTGAACACTTGCTCAGAAACGTTGACCCACTCTCTAGCTACATATCTGGTGATAATTCCCTGGGTTGGGGGACTCAGCAGCAAACTGGGCCTTTCCCAGACCCCTGAGCTTCCTAAAAAAGGTGATGCACCCTCTAGGTCAAGACTTCTCAAGGACTGTGGTGGTTAATTTTGTGAGTCAACTTGATTAAACTATGGTACCCAATCGCTTGGTCAAACACTAGCCTAGATGTTGCTGTGAAGGTATTTGTGGATGTGATTAACATTCACAATCACCTGACTTTAAGTAAAGCAGATTATCTTCCATAATGTGGGTAGATTTCATCCAACTAGGACTTAAAAGACTGAGATTTCCCAAGGAAGATGCAATTCTGCCTCAAACTTCAACTTAGAAATCCTTCCTGGGTTTCTAGCTTGCTTGCCCTGCACTGCAGATTTTGGACTTGCCAGTTCCTACAATCGTGTGAGTCAATTCCATAAAATCAATCAATCTATTTTTCTCCATCCCTATACACACACACACACACACACATATATACACTGACATACATGCAGATACACATACATACATAAAGCTACATATACACAGCCATTGTCCTTCAGTATCCTTGGGGGATTGGTTGCAGGAACACTTCACAGATACCAAGAGCTGTGGATGCTCAAGTCCGTTATATAAAATGGCATAGTTTTTGCATATAACCTACACACATCTTCCTGTATACTTCAAATCACCTATAGATTATTTATAATGCCTAATATAATGTAAATACTATATAGTTTTTATACTGTATTTTTTACTCATTATTTTTATTGTTGTGTTATTTCTTATTCCTTTTCCTTTATTTAAAATTTATTGTTATTGTTTTTAGAGACAGGGTCTCACTCTGTCACCCAGGCTGGAGTGCAGTGGTGAGATCATAGCTCAGTGCAGCCTCAAACTCTTAGGCTCAAGCAATCCTCCTGCCTTTGTATCCCAAGTAGCCAGGACTATAAGTACATACCACTATGCCCAGCTAATTAAAAAAAAAATGTAGAGATCAGGTCTCGCTATGTTGACCAGGCTGGTTGGTCTCAAATTCCTTGCCTCAAGTGATCCTCCTGCCTTGGCTGCACAAAATGCTGAGATTACAGACATGAGCCACTGTGCCTGGCTTGTTTCTTTTTTCAAATATTTTTTGATCCACAGTTGGCTGAGGAACCCATGGATGCATGGAATCCATGGATACAGATGGCCAACTGTATGGATACGGATATAGATATAGATATAATCACAAATACACATATATATGTGTATATATATGTAGATGTATATATAGATATATAGAGAAAGACACATTCTATTGGTTCTGTTTCCCTGGAGAACCCTCTACAGGGGCTAAGAACTCTTGATTATTCTGGGTAGATGACACTGCTGCTGTCCCCCGGAGGCCATCTCCATCAAGGGTTCATAGCAGAGGACACAGAGAATATCTAAAAGGGAGTTTCCAGAACCAAAATGAGTATTATAAATCAGCTGCTCTGCCTTAGGAGTCAGGTGAAATGGAAGTCAGAAGGGACCACTCCCAAGAGGCAGGCCCCACCTCTCTGTGCCTTCAGTCCCTTTCAGGGAAATGCCAATGGCCACTCAGCCAGGGACAGGTTTTTCTGAGAAGGAGGATACTGAAAGGCTCTAGTGGCCCTCCCCCATCTACCAGGATTCAAATAAATTGTTGGAATATTCCAACGTTGGCACGTGGAAGAGAGAGAGAGAGGAAGGATGTTTTAGGGAAAGGCTGGCAATGGCATCTTTTAGCTGGCTCTGCCCATTCCTGAGAAGTGAGTTCTAACCTGGGCTGGAGGTGTGGGGTCCCCAACGTCCACACTTTTAATGACTCTTCAAGAGCAGCTGACATCTAGAGGCCCAACACGGGCCATACATAGGCTACCTTCATCCTGTCAAGTGCACTATAAAGGAGGAATGACCACATCCATTTTGAGGGAACTTGGAGAAGTGAAGTGGCCAATATGGAATTAGAACTCACAGCTGTTTGAATGAAAAGACCCCAAAATTTCCCCTCTGCCTTGTCTGCTGTTTGTGTTGTGCTCTGAAAGGAATGCCCCACTGGTATAACCTTGGCTTCACCAGTTACTAGCTGTGTGAGCATGTGAGCATGGGCAGGTAACACAATGTCTCCAAACAGCTGCATCCTCCCCTGTCAAATGCCTCTCTGTCGAGATTAACTGTTAACTGAGATCAGGCTACCCAGTACTCGCTCAGGAAGGCATTTAGGCAGTGTTTATTATGAGCAAAGGCTCACTGTAGGAAAGTACCCAGTACCCAGTACTCTACCCAGGCGCTCAGTGAACAGAGGTTATTGTGATCATTTTATAATTCACTGGGTCAAAGATACAGATGATTCACCAGATCTCTATCATGTCTCCACGAGAACACACCCAAATGGCTCCTTAACCCCAGCAGTAGAAGTTACACCACCACACTCTGCTGCTCCTACCATCCTTAAGAGAGCATGAAACACCAGCTCCATCAGGAAATTTCGCACCAGGGTGGGAGAGCAGGGAAATGTGAAAATTAGGAACCAAAATCACTTTGTGAACTCATTAAACATGAGCCTGCTCGCATCTCTGCGTGCGTCTCCTGTTCCCGCTTTGGGTTGCATGCCTATTATTAACCACCACCCCCAGAGAGCAAACGTGCGCCTTATCCCAGGAACATATTGTGGGGTAAGAGATTTCCTAATATAGTGTGATCAACAAGTTGTTTAAAAAGTCCCACCTCTCTGAAGTAGAACCTGACTCAAAAACCCTCTTGGGCCCCCCGCGGCCTGCAGAATGAAGTACAAGCTTCTAGACAGTCGTGGAAGGCCTTTATCATAAGTCCCTAACCCCCTTTCCCCTTGGCTTCCATTTCTCCTATACACATCAACCCAGCCCTGCCAGGCCACCCAAGGTCAACTCAATGACCTTTCCTACATTGAACCTTTGCTCACAGTGAACACTGCCTAAATGCCTTCCTTGCCTGTATCTTTGCTCCTCAAGTGCTCAAGACACTTCTCAAAGGCTTCCTTTTCTGCAAAGCAAGCATGGACTCCCCATTCCAAACTAACCTCCCCCTCGCCTAAAGACCCACAGCTCCTCACTCATTTGTCTCTTGCAACACCTGTTGTATTGCATGGAAAACTGTCACTTTCTTGTATCCTTCCAATATCCTCTTCCTGTCCTGCTCACCACCAGATTCAGGTTGGATTCTCCAATAGCAACCAGGAACTAGGTTGGGATTAATAAGCAACCTCTCTCCCCTGAGAATCGCCATATTCTGACACAGAACCATGAAGCTTGGTGTTCCACACTCAGTTCCCATTTAACTGAGTCTCTTTGTCCCGTTCCCTAGAGCTTTTTCATGTTCATGGCTGTCTCCTAAGCTAGGCAGACACCTTCTTTTGGGAAGGAACCAGGTCTATTTATCTCTGTCTCCACACTCCAGTGCCAGGCATATGGAGCATTTTGGTAAATATCTATTCACCATTATATAAATTAGGAAACAGACTAACAAATGAGTAAAAAAGAAAGAAAAAACTTGATCAGAAGCTCCTTACGGGCAGAGCCTCATCTCACTTATTTTTCTCTCTCCCTTTAATGCTCTGGCTGCAGAAAGAGCTCAATTAAATATATGGTTTGCCCTGAACTGAGTGATACTCAGGACTTGATTCTTAAAACAGAACATTAATCTCCAGAAATGCTCAGACATTTTTCCCCCAGCCTTAGTAAAGTGAGGTTATATAAGTCAGCCAGAAGGTGAAGCAAAAAGACTGTGTTGACAATTTTAAGTGCCATAGAAATAGATAATTTTAATGGATACAGTATTTCTACAAAAATAAAACACTATAATTGAGACAGTGGCCCCGGGTTTCATCACTAGATGATAGTGAATTTTAAATTTGAATCAATGAGGAAGGTCTACAAGTCAATTACCTTTCATTTCACTCCTTTGCAAGAAATGAAGGTTTAGGGCCAATAGCAAAAGTACATTGGAAAGGACCATTTTACAGTTTCTCAATTCATACATCACTACCACAACAGATGTTCTCTCTAAAAGACATCCATATTTATTAGCTCATTGAATTTAAGTCAATCTTAAAGTTCATAGTGAGTTATGCAACACAGTGACTTAAGTTTCATTAACATTCCCATTTTACAGATAAGAAAACTGAGTCTTAGTGACTTGTGCATGTTGCCCCAAATCACTTATAGCGAGATAAAGCAGAGTCAGAATTGGAAAGCTTTTTTTTTTTTTTTTTTTTTAACCTCCAAGTCCTGTACCCTTTGCCCCAAACCAGACCTACTAAGGAAACCAATGGAAAAACATAGTGGCGAAAAGAAATCTAAGTCCAGTGATCTGAATCCTGGTACCTCAGAGTCCTCTGTGGGTGTCCTGAAAGAGGCAACTCCACCATTGTCTTTTAAATGCCAGTAAAATGGGACAGTGCCTGAGAACTAAAAATTTTCAAGCCCTGACCATGAACTATGAAAAGGAATGTTTCCAGGGCACAATTTAGGGAATAGATGCGTCAGTGCACTTAATGACAGCCCCACAACCTGATCAAGTCCCTTCTGCCACCTTAAGGGACCCAAGGGTACATAAGCATGGGGAGATTATTTGAAAAGCTTCCTTTGAAAGGCATCTCTTTCTTTTGTTTTCTGGAAGTCAAAACATTTCTCTTTCAGACCCATCCTAACATTTAGCCATCAGCTCTATTGAAGTTAAGAAAAAGGTGAAGGAAGAGAATGAACATTTAGGCTCAGTATTTTGCATAGACAATCACCTTCTCTTTCTATGGTCCTACTTGGATGTGATGGTTCTCATTCAACTAATGAGGATGCTATGGCTCAGAAAGATCAAGTGACTTACCCAGGAACCAAGAAGAAAGTGGCAGGTCTTAAACTCCAACCCATGTTTTTGGGTCTCTAACATTGTTCTTCTTCCTTCCCCAAGCTGGGAAGAGAGTGCTTTGTCTTTGTAACCCTCAGAAGCCTCAGAAAATCACAGCAGCTGGAAAGACAGAGTCTGTCTCTCAGGTATTGCAGACTGCCCAGCTGACTGCAAGAAAGCCCCTCTATCCTCATGCTAAGTGGCTTCTTGTTCCTGTGACAGCAAACCCCACAACTGTGACCCTGCAGCTGCCACAGGGTCCAGTTCTGTATGCCTGGTAAGAGGCGGTGGCGGTGGTGGTGGCGGTGTGGGGACCGAGGGAGGCGGGGACACAGGAAGAGTGTGGGAAGAAGCCTGTAAGCAACGATGTGGTGGACGAGGGGATCATCTTCTACAACGTGCCCGCTTCTGTTCTGAGTTGGAGAACTGAGGGAGAAATATAACATTTACTGAACACCCACTATGTACCATGCCTGATGTTAAGCATGCATATATATATGTAAGCACAGGTAGGTAACATAGCACCTCACAGTTTCTTCTTCTTCCCAGAAGAAGAAACTGAGGTTCCTAGGGGCTCAGGGACTTACCCAGCATTCCAGAGCTGATGTAGCCCAAGGCTGGGCTGACTCCAGAGATTCTTTGGAAATAACATAAAAGTTTCCCATAGGAAAAGCTACCGTCTCTACAAAACTGTCCTTCTAGCTGGCAGAGAACCATCCCAACTGACCTGTCCCAGTGAACCATGTGACTAGGCACTGACCTCTTAGACACCATTCAGAAGCAGCTAAGCTGTTCAAAAGCCATGGAGAATTCTGGGCAAGTGGCAGCCTTCACTAGATGAGCATTTTTGTTTTCTCCTCAATATATTTTTCCTTTTCCCTCATGGCATGTAGATTTCTGTTCCGTCGTCTCCAGATCTGGTGCTACCTCCACAGTTGGCACAAGGGTAGGAATAGAAGAAGTTCTTCAGAGCAGAGCTGGGTTCTTTAAGGATTCAAAGAGACTGAGGCTCAGCAGTGACGGGAGAGGCCTTTGCTGGGAACATCTTCTCTTGGAGACAGACTTTCATTCATTCATCAAATATTTGCTAGGCACCTCCAACATCCCAACCTCAGTTACTGGCAATATAGAGCTTTTGTTTTGGTGGAGAGATGGCAAATTAAGCAGCAAACATAAAAGACATGAGGAGCTATGATAGAAAGTGGCTTTGAGCAGGAGCAGAGGTAAGTAGACAGGAGGACTTGTCTATGCTGGGGGTGGTAGTCAAGGAAGACTTCTCTGAGAAGGTGGTACTTGGTCGAGGATCGAGATAACTAGAAGAAGCCAGCCATGCAAAGACCTGGGGCAGAGCAGTCCCAGCAGGAGAAGCACAAAGCCCCGAGGCAGGAAGGTGTCAGCTTTTTCCAGGAATACGAAGAAGGCCAGTGCATCAGAGGCTGGGTTAGCAGGGAAGGGAAGATGAGATCAGAAGTTGGCAGGGCAGGTAGAGTAGGCTGTGCAGGTCTCAGCAAGGAGTTTGGTTCTCATTCTGAGTGTTCTGGGAAGCCACGGGAAGGTTTTAAAGAAGGGAATGACAGCAGCTGATTTACATTTGTAAAATATCTCTCCAGCTGCCTGGTAAGGAATGGATCACAGAAGGGTGAGCGGCAAGGCTGAGCAGAACCTGCTGAGAAGAGGGGAAAGTGGCATTGACTAAAATGGTAGAAGTGGAAATAAAGAGCAGTGGAGAGAGATCCGGGCAATGGTGTGTTGTTAAGTGCTTAATGACTGGCTCTCTAGGGGAAAAGCCCTGTTTGCCTATTTCCATGGTATAAACACTCTTACTGTGGCAGACTTTAAGCTAGCAACATGGCATCACTGAAAGCAGAACTGGGAAGAATGGTATACAAGCAACTCTTGAAGCTGGTGTGAGCTGCCAATTCCAGCACACAACCAGGTTCAGGGGTAGACTTGATAAGCCTTGCTAATGGACTGGCCATGGGAGTGAGGAAAATGGAAGAATTGATGGGGACTCCTAGGACTGGGACTTGAGTGATGCGAAGCACAGAGAAGCCACTTCCTGAATCGCTGGCCTCTGCTCAGTCCCTGCCTTCTAGAATCCTGAAAGGCAGGGGGCTAGGGGGAAAAGCACACCCACTAGGCCCTGGGCTCTCTGAGAGTTGATCACAGGCCTTAATCCTCCCTCTTTCTCACCCAGCATTCAGCCTGGTGCACAGACAGAACTTAATAAAGGGCAAATGCAAGAACAAATGAGTGACCTCAGCTTCCTCATCTGTAAAACGGAATGGCCACATTAACACCCTCCAAGGGTAACTGTGAGAATCAAATGGGAAATAATATAACAGCCAGCAGAGTCGAGAGCTATGTGGTCCACAGGCATGACATCAGGATCCGCAAATTAACCCTGTGAAATTTTACTATCCCTCCTGGCAGATGAGGAAAGGAGGTTCGGAGCCATTAAGCAATGTGCCCAAACCCATCCAGCTAATGTGCAGCAGAGCTGGGATTCAAACAGCCCCAGTGTCAGATGACATTCTCAGCGCCTGGGGCCACCGCAGACAAGGCCAAGGGCTGGCCAGTTTCTGCTTTCTTACCAGGAGCAACAGAGACACGTGGGGTCATGAGGATATGTCGGCCATCCCTGCCTCACCAAGATCTGCAGATGAAACAACATGAATAAAGTGAAACTCAGGCAAGAGTTGGGAACCAGACGTTTCCCTCTCCTGGCCAGGAAGGAGGGAAAGAGAGGTCTTCCCTGGGGGCAGAAGAGGATTTGCTTGCCCTCTTTAGGATGAATGATTCAGAGTTAGAGAACTGTGTAGGGACGGAGGCATGGCTGCCTTGCTGAGAAAAGCCCTGGTTGTGCTCAGCATAATGGCGACTGTGTTCCCCTTGTGGAGACGGGCTGACCTGTCCCTGACTGATAAGTGGACTTTTTTTTTTTACCCCTTTGCACAGCCAGCATTTTTTCCCAGCCTGATATAGATGGAGGAGCCCAGGCCTTGGAGTAAGAGTCTTGAGTTTAGACTCCACTCCCACTGCTCACAGCTGTGTGATCCTCAGCTAATGGCTCATATAAGCAACCTGCACCTCTGTTGTTGCCTTATCTGTAAAACAAAGGCACAACAGAGTCCTTGTCTCAGTGGGTTGCAGGGAGGCCTGGGTGGTGCTCACAGGGTGCATTAAGAGGACAGCTGGGGCGCCAACCACAGTGACCATGCCTTTCCACTCTGTGGAGGGGCATGCCCATGCTCCCCAACATCTACCGGATACAGTGTCCCCAACATCTACTGGATACAGTGTAAGGAGACTGTGGGAGGAAAACAAAGAGCAGGAGGGAAACTCAACTCACTTCTAAGTGTTATACAAACGTAAGTGACACATTAGCTCCCTCTCACCCTGGGAAGGCTATAAATTGTCAAGCCTAATGGCCCTGGTAAATCACAGTGCTTCCTGCAACCCCGGGCAGGGGAGCCTCGCAGGGGCTGAGAGCTCAGCCTACCAGCCTCTCTATTCAGGTGGAGGCTCCAGACAGCATCCTTGCTTTGCCATGTAATGGCTCTAGTTCCAGCAGCCTCTGCTACTCATGCAGAAAGGACACTTGTTCTGAAATCAAAGTTGTCAAAGCCTGTCAGGTTTTGGTGCTCAGATGCACCGCAGCACAAATCTAATCAGCCAGAGGAGACAATGATTTGCATTACAAGAGGATGCTTTGCTTTAATAATAATAGATGCTGTTCACCGAGCATGTACTCAATGTCAGGCACAACTCTGATCCTCACACAACCTGTAAAGTAGTTTTGATTATTATCCCCATTTTATAGCAGAGAAAACTGAAACCAGAAAGGTGATGAAAGTTACCAGCTAGAAAGCAGCAGAGCTGGGACATGAGCCAAGGTAGCCCAATGCCAGAAGCCAAACCTTCAGCTATCACTCCAGGCTGCCATTTCAGTCCCGCAGTGCAGGAGTGGTTTATTTCCAGATTACAGGCTGGAATGTAAGGCTAAAATCCTAGAATTTAGCATGAAAGACTAAGGCCACAAACCAAATGGCTTCAGAGGCCAGAAGGCAGGTCTGTTCTCAGTCTCAGCTCCATGTGGCCAGGTGAAAATGAGGGCCCAGTCATCACATCTTTCATCCTTCTTTGTAATTAAGTTGAACAACTTGAACTGTCACATGAAATCTCTTTTAAAAAAAAAATAAGGCCAACCTTATGCCGGCCCACCGAAATCCATCTGGGGGCTAATTGTGGCCATGGGGTAGCAGTTTGCAAGCTCTGCTCTTTGCAACCTCACAGTTTATAAGCACTCTTCCCATCTCACCCATTGCTTCATTTTGTTTGGATATCCAATGTTGTTGTTCCCCCACTTCTCAGATAAATAAACTGAGACTAAGAGCTTAAGTAGACTATATATCTTTCCATGAATGATCATTACAAATTACTGAATATTAAGGACCTTGAATATACAGTCTGCACCTCTACGTTGTCCTGGCTAAGCAGCTCACAACTTCTGCTTGCTCACCTCCTCTGGTGCCAGGGATCTCACTCCTATGAGAGCAATGTGAATCATTTTTAAATTGTTCTAGTCTTTAGAAAGTCACCTAAACTTCAACCCGCCTGTCTCACTCTGAAACTCTGGAGGTATACCCAATTCCCCTTCTACATGACAGGATTTGTCAACCTTCAACAGTGAATATAGCAGGGGAACAAGGTAGAAATTTCACTGAACACCTCCAAGGCAGGAAGTTCAGTGTTCAGTCCTTACCATACTTTTTATCACTGAATCCCTAGAAGAGCATAACACAGCAGTCTTCCCTATCCCCATTTGCAAAGATGTTCGGGGAGACTGAGTACCATCCCCAAAGTCAAAGTTAATATATGATAAGGAGAACATTCAAAACAAGGTCTGTCAGATTTCATGGCCTGCCCATTCATCCATCCATCCATCTATCCATCCATCCATCCAACCAACAAACATTCACTGAGAACCTACTATGTGCCAGACACTGCTCTGGACACTGAAATATAGATCCAACTTCCCCTCTACTTTGCCATCATCTTCTTTTTTAGGCAAAAATACCTGGGGTCTTTCATTTAATCTTTATGTGGTTGGTTTCCACACCATTCCTCTTTCCCAGCTTGTTTGAATGAACATGTGTCAACATCCCTATTACCCAGAATGGAAAGTGATCTTTGAGCAGAGCCCAGACAGGCATGTGGCTAGGAGTGACCCATCCCTAACTTAGGGCTCTCTCCTTTTACTGACAGAGCCTATGCACATAGTAGTTTCTGGCGGCCTTCCCACAAGCAACTTTTCAACCAAAACCATAACAATTGTTTTCACAGCTGCTGCTACTAAACCATGTCTGGTCTTCAGATATTGGGTTTGAAGGCCTAAGAAAAATGAAACTACACCTAATATCTATGAAGCCAATTGTACGTAGTAAAGATTTTATCAACATCTTACATTTTGTATTACTATTTGCATTTTCCAGCAATTAAAAAGTAAGACTCAAAGAGGTGAAGTGACTTGTCTACGATCATCTAGCCAGTAAGTCATGGAGCTGAGATGTGAGCTCAAGGCTGTCTGGCTCTAGAGCCTGTTTTTTCCCTAATGGGTTTCACACTTGTACCTGTTCAATTTCCTCTCCCTTGAAAAGGGCTATTGCTGTGGACTATTGTCTTTGATCTAATAAGCTGACAACACATTCTGCCTTTTCTAGCACACAGAATGATCGTCTAAGTCATCTGTAGTTCATGAGAACAGCAACACCGAGCATGGCAAACATCATTGACTACCTAACTGGGCTTGTGGGACAAAGTAAATGGAATGAGAGCCCCAACAAAAACAAGCAACAGAATCAAAGAGCAGGTCCCAGCTGCTTTCCAGGTAAAGAACTGCTGCTGAGCAGGTGAATGCCTTACAGTGTCGCATATAGTCTGGCAGGACTCAGCTGGACCTCAGAGTGGGCCCATCTGGAGATCCTCAATGATGTCTCTGAATGTGATCACCCTGGATTGAGGCTGAGTGCCCTGACCTAGGCCAGGTGCCAGGAGATGCCTGTACATCCACAGCAAGAGATACCAAAGAGCAACTTTCACCGCAGCCTTCAACCTAGAATTTCAGTCTGCAGGCTCCCCTCCCTGACCCACCATTTCTCTATTCCCTGAGCACTTTCTAACACAGGGTCCTGCAAAAACCTTTCCATGGCTGCCCAGCACTGTCAGGGTAAAATCCCATTCTCACTTCATGCTGCTAGAGGCTCCTCACAGCTGACAGGGGCATCCCTTGCCTGTCTCCAACCATCCTCAGGAAAAAACCCTATCTGTAGCTTAGCATTTTGCAAGATAGGTTCAAAGAAATCCTACTCCTAAAAGATAGTCTAAGTGTCCTGAGACATCAGTAAGTCTAGGAAATGCTGCCAACAATCTTATGATCTTGAACAATCACAATGAACGTTAGCATGTTGCATATGACTGAGAAATCCTGTCATAAAGAGATCTGTTTCATTTTAAGCCTGAATTTCTTATTCTATAACAGAACTCCTAATCTGAATAACACCTAAGGGAAAGAGGTTTGGATTAGTCAGTGATGTCACCAACTTCCCATGATTTCTTTCTTGCCTTTGGGGTCCTGCATCATACCGTGCCCTCCAACAAATGTGTTATTCTTCTTTCGCCACCTTCAAAACTTATATTCATTCAAAGCCTAGCTCAGCTTACAACTCCTCTGAAAAATATTCCTGAAAACTCCAGGCTTGATTTTGTTCTTGCCTTGATAACAACACTTATCACAGGGTTTGTTACAATCCTATTTCCTTTTCGAGTGGGAGCTCCCGGAGGACAGGGATTGGGCCTGATTGTTTTCTAGAAGTACAAGTGTATGGCATAGTTCCAGGTTGATGTGGTTCAAGCTGGTTCTGCTACAGAACCTGACAGGTCTCCCGCCACCATGACTGGGGAAAGCCCCCTTCCCTTGGCAAGGCAACATGATCTCAAGGCAATAACTGCCATGCTCAAAGAGAGCCAATAGGTCACTTCAGGGAGATTCAAAATAGATGCCATCCTGCTACGTCACTTGGCATTGCTAGGAAACAGCTAGTTTGCTATAAGGCAGGTTGATTAGCATTGCGGAGAAGACATAAACTAAGAAATGGCTGTATCTTCTCAAGCTGCCCAAACCATCCATTGGTACATTTGTATCAATTTTTTTGCATCAATTTCCTACTCAGCTTAGGGGGAAAGGCAAAGTTTGAAGTCAGGATTGAAGACTGCAGATCCTTCTCAGAAGACACCAGAGTACCTCTGATGTATGGGAGTGACTCTATAAGCACTGAGACCAGAAAGGGACAGGATTAATTCATGAGGTCTGTTCCACCTCAGTCTTTCACATAAGGCCTGTGTGCATCTTGGCTCAGGAGAAGCCTAGAGGGGACATGGTCTGGGAAAATGTTTTGCACAAAGAGGAGAGACTGCCAACTCCCCCGACTGAGTTATAGGAGCCCGCAGCTTGCAGTGACTAATTCTGCCTGAAAGATAAGGAGAGGTTGCCTAGGGGTCTCAAAGGGTAACTGGGAATCACCAGACTAGTATGGGATGAGCTCTTACAGACAGCAGACCGCTCCCTCCCTTTCAAGTGGGCCATCTGGGACCACTTCCTCTAAGCAGCTCTCTTTGCTGATTCCCTGTCTAAGCTCCCTGAGCAGTGTGCTAGATGCTTTCATGGAGGTTATCACTGTTTATAGATGAGGAAGCTAAAGCTCAGGGGACTTGAATCCAGGCCTGACTAACACATGTGCCATGAAGTTAGCTAGATCTGAACTAAATGGGGAAAAAAAATGTAATTTTTAATCTTTGAATATTTTCCCCCCTCCAAGATGGAAGAGTGTCTTGAGGGGTGGGAAGGAGGTATGGTTTAGTCCATAGAGCCCAAATCATGTAGTCAGGGCATCCGATTCCACATTTGCTCCACCACTAACTAGCTGCATTGCTTTGAGCAAATCCCTGTCCTCCTCCAGGCCTCTAGCTTCTGATCGGTTAAATGGGAGTAACAAGAGCCATCTCGCATACTTACTTCCCTAGGTATTAGATGACAGAGGAAAAAGAGTATTAAATGATAGAGGTATTAGATGAGAGAGGAAAAAGGGTCTGTTATAAAAGGTATAACAGACTATGCAATAGCCAGCACATAGTAGGTGTTCAGAAAGAATCGGCTGGTTATGTGCTTATAAGCTATTACCACAATGCAATAAGGAATCTAGAGAGCCAGGATTGGGCTCCATTTGCTTTCTATCACTTTGGGCAAATTACTTAATCTCTCTAAGCCTCATTACTTCTATCTGTAAAATGGGAATTACAATGCCACTTTGAAAATATTGCTATGAACATGCAATAATTAAGGTATGTAAAGACCCAGGCCCAAAAGGATGTAACATATTTGAGTTTCTCTCTACCCCCCTGCCCTTTTTCTAGAACCATTAGAAGGCAGAGGCATCCTGCTAGCTGTCTGTCACTCCTGCTGGTCAGTGGCCCAGGAGGCCCCCAGTTGCTGGGATTGGGCAGTGTTCACATCGACATTTACTGAATTGTGCCCTGCAGGATGAGACAAACTGTAATTTCCAAGGCTGAGACCCAGCCCCACTCAGGGGCACAGCATGGAACCACTTTGAGAAATCCACATTCAAGGCACAGTCTCCCCAGGCCCCAGGGAAATGCAATAGCCGAGGGGACAAGGAGGTTACCAAGCTAACTGTTCCTGATTAAAGCAACTGGCCTAAAGCCAGCAAAGCTAGCCTTTGAAAAGTTTAAGTTTTGTCAGCAACTATTGCATCTTGCATCCACGTAGCAACTTACAATTTACCAAAGCCTTCTGTAAACAGCAATCACTCAATAAATCCTTTCAATATACAAGGAATCGGCCTGCCAGAGGCTTTTTAGAAAACCCCACATTACATTGGTCAGGGCAGACTGGGAGGAGCAGATGTTTGATGGCAGCTGCATAACAACATTTTCTTGTAAGAGAAACTGTTCCATCCACAGCCCAGCCATGTGTATACCATGTGATCGTGCCTCACCGTGATCACAGCTGATTAGGTCAGAAGGGGGTACTTGTCCCTTGGAAGGTCCAACCTTTGGCTGTCCAGTGACCTGTGATTTGTCTCAATTAGGTTCTTCCTTTGAGGATTTGAAATTGGAATTGAGGAGCAGAGACTGGGGTAGTTACCAGAGGGGAGAATAGCCAGAAAGGGTTGCTAAGAGTTGTAGGTTATTGAGAAGGCCAGGGTAGGCAGGACGGACCTTCGCAAGGTAAAGCTCTGTGGACCATAACCTATGAAAAAGCAAAGGAAATGGGGAAACTGGGGAAACAGAGCCACATGGACTCCCTGGTTTCTAGCAACTTCCATTTTTTTGTTTTGGTGGGGCCATGCTACATTGGAGTTCTCACCTTTGGACTCTCAAAAAGATCTCTGAGACCTTATCACAGCCATCCTTGCCAGAGTGGGTTTCTGCCCCATGCCATCGAAGGCCTTGCCAAGGACAGGGGCAAAGTGGGTATCGCTATCCACACTCTGCAGACAAGGAACCTGCAGCTGGGGTGGTACCTAGACTTGCTGGCATCTCACAGCCAGATCAGGGTCCTTCCTCCATGGCCCCTCACTGCTTTTGAGACTGTGAGAAGTTGTATGACTATCCACCAAGTCTCAGAGGAAGAGAGGGTCCTGCGCAAGCACGTATTTGGGATGACTGCTTCTCAACTGTCTCTTCCCCTAGAATGTGAGTGCTGTGAAGACAGGATCATGCCAGCTTGGTGACTGCTGCACCCCCACAGGCTAGAGCAGGGCTTGCCCCAGAACAGATGCTTAAATATGTTTGTCAAATGAATGATTGAATCAATTAAGCAGTCCCAGCATGTTCCAACCACAATAAAAACCAGGGAGGTTTGCATGTCCTCACCTATAGACAACAAGAAGAGCTGCTGCATCTGAGATTCCAGATTCTAGTGGGGCAAATTTTCATTTCCTTCTCCCTTGGGAATTGTTTCTGAAAAGCAGCTGCTGTCAGCTTGGGTTCAACTCCCGTTCAGCACTGGGAAGTAAGCAGACCATCTAATCCTTGAAACGGGATGGCCCCTGACTGCCACCCAAACAGCAGATTTGGAATTACCTCCTCAGCACCTCCAAGTGACCTCTGCCCTTGCCCAAATTGTCCAAGGGACCTGAGGTCATCCCTTCCATCACTGGGCAGCCAGAGCAGGTGGAAAGTTGACTTTACACTAATTGTAACTTCTTTCACCTTAGCCCTGGCTCTAGGCCTGAGGGTCTCACAGAAGCTCCCCAAACTATCCTAAATAGAGTATGGAATGAAAAATGTTCTGGAATGCAGCCTAGGGAGACAAGAATTCCAAATTTTCTGGGTGACCTTGAGCCAGTCGCTTGATATTCCTGAGGCCAAAAGGCCTGAAGTCTTTGGCTGGACCTAGGTTCAAAGTCCCAGCTGAACCTTGGACAAGTCACACTCACGGAGCCTCAGTTTCCTCAACTGTGGAGGAGAATGCTGCCATCCAGCTGAGAGTAATGTCTGCTCAGGGCATCCAAATGGGCTTTGACTCAAGACCAACATGGAAGTTGAGTCTACTCTGGAGATTGACTCAGTTCACTTTGGGGCTAGAAACCCAAAGGCCGAGCCTTGAAGCGGGAGATGATGGAGCTGTGTTGGCAACGCCTGCTCAAACCTCAAACACAACACAGTCACAAAGCTGGGGCTCTGAGTGCCAGGAAGATCCAGCAGAAAGTGGTTTTCCCTGTACTCCAACTCCAGCATCAGGAGAGTGGCAGGCCAAGCAGGGGATTGTTGGACGGGGCTGTCCTTTGGTGTCCCATTCCGTGATCCAGTGAGAAAAGAACAACAGAATCAATAGGCAGATGACACAAGTGCAGATGACAGAACACCAGACAAATCACTTGAATTCTGTGAGCATAGGTCCTCATCTATAGGGCCGGCTAGGATGCCTGCTCTATCTCCATCAAAGTGTTGTCGTGGAGATCAAACTTGGTAATAGGTCAGGAAAGTCCTGGTAAACTGAAAAGTGCTGTGTCTTTGAAAAGTATCACACTGCACAGTTTGGTTGCAGTTCTGCATCCTTCTTTATTTTATGAACCAGAGCCAAGGTCAAGGGCGCCTGTGCAGAGCTGGCAGGCCCAGCACTTGCTCCCTGCTCCTGTGCATATCCCTCTCTCCCTACTATTACTATGGAATCCTCATCATCCCAGTGAGATGTGCCTTATTATGCCCATTTTACAGATGAAGAAGCTGAGGCCCAGAGAGACCGAGTAACCTGCTGGGTCCCATGGTTAAGTGATAGCTATAATCCTAGGGCAAGAGTCACAGGGAGAGAAGGAAGAGACATGAAGGAGCAAGAGAGGGAAAAAAAATGGGAAAAATGCAATATCAAAAGAGAAAGATGGAGGAGAAAAGGGAGGAGAGGGAAAGAGAGGAGGAGGGATGAAGGAGAAAGAGTAAAGAATGAGAATAAATCAGCCCTGTTGGGGGCACAGAGGGGACAGTGTGGGAAGCTGCCAAGCTGCTCCCCGTGGTTGGGTGCAGGATGTGGGGTAGGCAGACCAGGCATGGGTGGGGGCCACAGGCAGCCACGTGAGGAAGTGACAGGTCAGCAGAGCCATTCAGCTGAGCTACAAAAGCCTTCTGCCAGGGTGGTGAAAAAAATATTAAACGAGACTTCCTCGAGCTTTAGAAATTGCTGAAATACCGAGGCCGCAATGGAAGATAAAGTGTCCTACAAAGGGAGCTTCGAATGGAATCAATTTCCCTGGACCAACTTTCATGTCCTATTACAAGAAATTGAAAAATTATTTCAGTGGAAATGTCACTTTGCTGGTCTACCTCTCCTGAAGATATTGAGAAGGAAAATGGCTTCCAATAAAGGGGCATTGGGTCTTGTCTTCCATTACTGGAGTTGATCCTCCAGGTGCTGTGTCTTGGGAGCCCAGCCCAGGGAGGTGGGGTCAGGGGGAGTCTGGAGGGCCCTTCTGTCAGAGCTTTGGTGCTGGCAGAGAAGGCAAAAAAATGGAGACAAATGTGACAGCCCCAGGGACCACCAGCTCTTGATGGCCAGACATACACACTACAAGCTGGAAAATGATACTCTTGAGGCTGGCTGGACTGGGCTAGGGTGGAATGTCAAGATTTCCTGCACGGGACATCATACCACAGAGAGGACTCTGGCAGCTGCTGCCATAGCACACGTTTGCTTCTAGAGTCACAGCATAAAAGGCCTTCCCGCCCATCATTCCTTCTCTCATATCCACTTTTTCCCATTGCCATGAACTCCTTACCTTTCTCTATCCATGGCAGGCTTTCCTTCTATGCCTTGGTGCTCTTGCTTTGTTTGAAAGACCCATTCCTGCACATCCATCTGGCAAACTCCTACTCATTCTTCAAGACCCATCTGAAATGTGCCTCCTTAGGAAATCGTCCCTGCACTCCCTCCCCTGGTGTGGTAGGCTGAAAAATGAGCCTCCCCACCAACAAAAAAAAATACTTATGTCCTAATCCCCAGAGTCTATAAGTATGTTACCTTACATGGTAAAAGGGACTGTGCAGAGGTGATTGAGTATCTTGAGATGGGGAGGTTATCCAGGTGGGCCCAGTGTAATTACAAGGGTTCTTATAAGAGGACAGTGAGAGACTCGGAGTTAGTGTAGGATCTGTGAAGCAGGAGGTTGGAGTGAGGCTGGGGAGAGACCACACACCACAGAACGCAGGCACCTCTAGAAGTTGACAGAAGTGAGAAAATGGATTCTCCCTTTGGAGCCTCCAGAAGGAACCAGCCCTGCCAACGCCTTTACCCCAGCGAGACTGAGGTTGAATTTCCGATCTCAGGAACTATAAGAGAATAAACCTGTGTAGTTAGGAGGCACTCAGTTTGTGGGAATGTGTCATAGCAGCGATGGGAAACTGAGATCTGTCAGCAGGGTTCCCTCTGCCTCCTCTGGGATCCCTTGCAACTCCATGCCCATGCTGCAGCTCCTCATGACCAGCACTTATCCAGTGCCCTCCACGTGCCATGCCTATCCTGAGTGCCACACAGGCATTATCACACTCAATCTTACTGCAATGCAGCTGGGCAGGTACTAGATCCCCAGTTTACAGAGGAGGAAAGTGAAGAGCACAGAAGTGAAGCAACTTGACCCAAGAAAGTCATACAGGTCATGAACATGACAGAGCTAGAACTTGAACTCAGCACACACTGTGCAGTGATTATGTATGTAAGCGTTGGTCTCTTCCACCAGAAAGTAGGGTAAAAGGGTAGATGTTGGGCCTCCAACAACTGTAGAATGAGCAGACCTCTGAATTGGGGCCTCTCTGTGCTCTCTGAGAGGTTCAGTGAATTCTTGTGTGAAGGATGTAAAAAATGGAATGTCTGCCCTTGGAAACTAGAACTTTTCATCAAACTAGATTATTTGTAACAATGACCTAAAGCACATTATTTCACATTCTCTATGACATTTCCTTATGGGTGGTGTGGTAAAGTAGGAGTCCAGGACTTATAGTCCAGACTATAATAACTCTGGGTGAGTTCCAGCAAATATACCCTAAGCCTCAATTTCTTCATCTGTAAAATGGATATAAGAATCCTACTGCCAGAAGAAGCCCTGGTGAGGACAAAGGAGAATGTGCACACAGAAGCATTGGGTGCAATGTGAATGCTGCTCTTGTTCTCTCTGGGCCATGAACAAAGCTGTGCAGCACACTGGGTGGGTGGTCTTTCCCCACAATCACAGAGGACACTGAGACCCCACAGGCAGCTATTGCACCCCACTAGAAAGTATAAAGCTGCCTGGCCCAAGTACCAGGGGGGCTGTCCAAGCTCTGTGCTGCCAGAATGCAGATATGGAGAGGTCATTTTGGGCTGACATGAGGAGAGTTGACCAGAGAAGCCAGCCTGTGATTGTCAAAGGTAGGTGTGACTGCATGGACCGCGATGAGATGAGGAGAGGGCTTCGCAATAGCGCACATGGGTGAGCAGAGGCACGGAAGAGATAAAGTCCCATGGGGAAGGCAGGCTCTGAAAATGTGGAACATGGACTTTGTGGCTAAGACCACAGAGCCAGTGGGCAGGAGGAGGCGAAGAGGGTGGGAGGGATGGTGGCTGGGAGTACAGCGGGCCACACAGAAATAAGGAACTGCGTGGCCTCCCTCTTTCAGTCTCTTGTGTGTCTAGGAGCTGAACATCCAAGGGGCTCCAAACCCATCATCTAGGCAGGGGTTCTCAGTCCTGGCTGCACAGAGAATCACTTGGGGGAGTTCTACAAAATCCCAATGCCCAGGCTGCACTCCAAACCACTTAACTCAAAGTCATCAGGAGTGGGACCCAGGCATGAGTATTTTTTGAAGCTTCCTAGGTGATTCCAAAGTCCAGGTGAGGCTGAGAAATTCTGCTCTAAGCCTCAGCTCCAGGGCCAGGAAGCCAGCCTGGCGTCATCTGGATTCCAGTTGGGCTCATTACCTTCAGCAGTTCTCAGTGCAGTTCCCTTCCCCCTGCCTGCGTCCCTGGCGCCCTGCAGCTTTGCATGAATGTGATACTTCACTTCCTGTCCTTGTCCAAAACTGGGCCTCTGGGGGGTGTTTGCACAGTTGTTTGAGGATAAGTCCACCACATTCATTTTTCTGTGGTGGCTGGACTGACTCTCCATGGCCTGGTGGCCCTGCCCTGAAGCGTGGTGGGCTTCCGAGGCACTGGCACACGCAGCTCACCCTGAGCATCAGTAAGCCTTCTCTGCAGCCAACCCCTAGCATGGATAGCTTGGGCACAAGGGGATGGGAATGAGGAGCTTCCTCCT
This sequence comes from Homo sapiens, assembly GCF_000001405.40. NCBI lineage: Eukaryota > Metazoa > Chordata > Mammalia > Primates > Hominidae > Homo > Homo sapiens. The sequence goes on from NC_000011.10 coordinate 79,343,160, forward strand.
CCTGGCCCCTGGAAGAGGGAGAAGAGAGCATTTACTGACCACTAAGCACTCTGTGCCCAGCATGGGAGCAGGTGCTTCACATGCATTATGGTTAAGTGATCCTTATCACTTTTCACCTTATGATGCAGATATTTGAAATCATTCTATTTTACAGATGAGAACACAGAGGCTCAGGAAAGTGAAGCAGCTTGGCCTACGGTTTCACAAATGGAAAATGTTAGAGCTGGGTCACACACAGAGGTCTGCTGGCTCCAGAGCCTGAGCTTTGGCTTTCAGGGTCTCAGTTTCTCACTTATAAAATGGGTATGACAAAAAAAATCCCTCCTTCACAGTGTTCTTGTGAGCATTAAAAAAGTAGCAATGTTAACCTATATAAAGCAGATAGTAGAGTGTTGGGAATTCAGCTGATGCTTGATAAAAATGGCCCTGACTCACCTTTTTAAAAAGGACTCCAATGCTTAATATGGTCTAAAGAAAATACAGTGTAGCTAAGTTTAAAAAAAAAAAAAATAGTTTGAGACCAGAACATTATTTCCATCTCCACTTTCTTCTCTGTGCTCTCTGAAAAACGAACAAGCTTGTTACCAGTACTAATTAGTTCTTGTCCTGGCACCCAATCAACAAGATGTTGAAGGTCAGCCATCTGGGGTCCTTTGGGTGAACTCTGAGAGCTGAGGCAGGGCTGCTTCCCCAGGCTCATGCCTGGGTCTGCAGGAGCCTGGATCTGCAGGGGCTTGTGTCTGCCACGGTGGACATCCCCTTAGCTGGCACAAAGAACATAGATGGGGTCTTGGAAATCCCAGATACTTCCCAGCTGCATTCACAGAGATGCTGCTTTTAGCATTTCTCCCTTTCAGATATCAGTGTTTTCTCCCTATTTTAAAGCATTCTCCTATCAATGAAGCATCCCAGATCACACAATGAGGAACTGCATTCCATCTACTCCCAGACCTAGGTGGGACAGTGCCTGGTACACAGTAGGCACTTAATAAATATTTGTTGAATAAATGAATGAGCATATGGAAACTCACTCATACTGCCCGAGTCTCCCAATTTCCAGGCTAAGTACTCCTGAGTTTTTCAACCATTACTCACACAGGTGGCAGAGGGGGTGCTCAAAGCATGAGGCTTTAGTGAACCAGAGGCTGAGGGAAGATACGTCTCTTCCCTATGGGCTAGGGGAGGTGAGGTGAGGAAGTCAGAGAAGGGAGTCTGACCTGGGCATGCACTCGCTACTCGGGCAGAGAGGGAAGAGCCAGAGAATGAGAAAGACACAGGCCCATGAGGAGATCTCATACCCATGAAACTGCCCCAGCCAAGCTGGTTTGGAGCTATGGAACTTACAGAAAGAGAGTACATGACACCCCCAGAAGGGGTCTGCATGCACCTGACCAGGTAGACTGGCACTGGAGTCTTTGAAAACAAAACTTCTCTTTGACCAACATGCAAGAGTGCAGACCATTTTGAAAGTCTCAGAATCCTTCCCTGTCTTCTTCCATCTCATGCTGGGCCCTTCCTTTTGACCCTTCCAGAATGACAATATTTCATTTTACTCAGGAAAAACCAGCAGTGCAAAGAAGGAAGCAGAGTAATCAGGCCATCTGCCCAATTTTACCTAAATTTTCTACCTAAATTGCCAAGACAAATATTTCAGGAAACTGCACTTGGCTGGAATGGTTAGGCAATTCATCTTATTTACCATCTAAATGCACTTGAGAGCTGAGATAGATTCACTCATGTTGTCACTTCTTAGTCAGATGCAATTCACAGTAGAAATCGCTGCCATCCAAAGCTTCCATAACTTCCTAAGGGTAATGGATTTTTTTTCAGCCCATCTTTCTTCCCCACTCATATTTGCTTGAGAATTCCAAATGGATTCTATTTACTGTAATTACTGTTCTAACTGCAGCTCACTTGCAATGCATCAGGTTAATGTTAACAAGATACTCAGCGGATGCTGGTAATGTGTATTCATTGTTCAAACTCTTTACCCACCCCCTTTGGTGTTGTCTCAATTCTATTCTCTGAACCCAAAGGGGAGGGAGCAAAGCCAAGAAACACGGGTGGATTTCTTTCTGTTTTATTCTTCTCTAATGTCATGGGCTTTTTCTCAATGGATATTCATTGTTCTTGGGTTTTCCTATTCCTGAATTTACGTGACATTATTACAAATGTTATGCTTTGCTTAAATACTGATTTACACACTTCCCTCTCTCATTTTTCCATGCTACTAGTGTCATTAAATTCCATGTTATTTGATTACTAATAACAAAAATTAACATCAACAAAGTCCTGACAATTTGCAAGACACGTTTCACCTATGTAATCTCTATAACAAGCGAAATAATGGCCAAGTGTATCAAGAGGCTTAATCTCTCACTTATGGGGTAGTTTATATTCATAATTTGAATCTACGGAAAAAGCACACTCTTCAGAGGGGCAAAGACTAGGGTTCATATTCTAGTTTCACCATTTAGCTGTAGGAGTTCAGGTAAGCTTATCTCTCTGAACTTCAGTTTCCTTATCTGTAAACAGACAAAACTATAACCTACTTCATACATTATTGAGAAGTTCCTTGCAAATCACAGGTGCTTAATAAATTATCTGTTATTATACCTTACCGATAATTTCAATTATCTGGCCACATCTGAGGACCCAGCACACACAGGTGGGAATGTATTTTAATAGGACTTCCAAGTGAACAGTTTTTGAGCTATGAGGAGCTTGGAGATGAGACCCTTACTACTCAAAGTGTGGTTCACAAACCATCAGCATCATTATTTGGGAACTTATTGAAATAGATTCTCAGGTCTTTCTTCAGAAAGAAAAATGTGTAATTATCACATGTCTCCATAGAGTTGACAGAAAAATAGACTATCCCTTCAGTCCTGACGACCTGATCTCAGTCTGAAAAGCATAAGATGGCTGAAGAGGAGACATTCCCAAATAAAACTCCGAAGTCCATTCTAGCTCATTCCACTATGCAGCAGCTGTAATCCCCCAGAGAACATTTGACTCTCCTCCTCGCGATGATGATCATTAAGCATGATGAATACAAATGCCATTTGTTGATTCAGGTGCTAAGAGTCTGAGCCACACAGCTTCGATGTCAGCCGGACAGTACCTCAGTGTCTGGGTAAGTCTCTTCTCCTTTCCACCTAGGTTACCTCATTTATAAAATGAGAATTACAATACCTGCCTTCGGGGGTGTTTGAGAATTAATGCAGACAGATGCTTATCATGCTGTCTGGCACACCGTAGGCACTCATTTTCAGCTGCAGCAGCGGTAGCCTTAGGAATAGTAATAAACATGTGTTTATTGAACACTCATTGAAACTGCTGCTTCAACCCCCACCTCCCACCACATACACACGCTTATTCTATTACGAGTAATTAGTAATTACTATTTATTACTGTTATTGCCATCTCTGCAAAAAGATCTACCATGTCCCTGTTCCCAAAGCCAAGTTCTTGGTGTCAGTCACCTGCTTTCATTATAGGGAAGCAAAGGAGAGCTGGAGCTGGAATTCTAAAAATCCGCTTCACTTTCCTTCTCCTGGTAACTTTTTTGGGAAAGCCACTTAAGCCCTGACAATCACACTTTCCTCATCTGTAAAATGGGCATAAACCATTTTCCCCCAACTGCCTCAAGGCCAAAGTGAAGAGCTCAGAAAATGAAGTATCTGAAAGTGATTTGCAACCATACAGTATTAGTTGAACAAATGTAAAAGATCCCTGTGATCTCTGCTTTCTCTTAGGTCCTGATCTCATGGTTCGGGGTTTCTCTCCTTATCCCACCAAACCACTGCCTTTGCAGAAGCCTCCATTACCACACAGGTCCCCTCCAAGCTCTATCCTGGGTTTCACTTTCCCCTTTCAGACCAATTTGCTCATCACTAGGGATGCATCTTACTTAGAAACTGTTCTTTCGCTTCCAAAATCAAAGGTGGCATTATTAAGGGTTGGGGAAGAGCAGTGTTTTAGCTTCCATGTAAACTTCACTAGTGCCAGCTCCCACCAAATAAACATGCAGGCCACGTCAAAAATGTGTCTGCTACATAAATAAAGCTTCCAGGCAGGTCCTTCAGCCTCTTACCCCCATACCCCACTAGTCACCACCACGGTGCCTTTACACTGGTCCTGTAGGGAGACTCTAGAGCTGCCTTATACCAAACCCTCATGGCTTCCTCTGCATTTTCTTAACCATTCAAGGAACTCCTAATAGGCCATGGACCTCAGGACAAGGCTATAAGGCTGGCTGACTTATTTTCCCCATGATGAACTCAAAGATGATGGAGACCCACTTGACTCACTTTAGGGCCAGGGTTCTTTCCCCACTGGAGGAGGTATAAGGTGGGGGCTCAGTGCCTCCCCAGGGAGGACCTCATTCTCTTGGCACTTTGGTATTACACTGTTTGCAGTAGGGCCCCGCAGACAGCCACACTCTCCAGACATCTGTGTGAACTTTGGCAAGCCGCTTCTCTGCTGCTTAGCATAGGGACCTATGCTTCCTTCAGCCTCCATTTCCCTGTCTATAAAAACAGGAACATGCAGCTGGAGTAATGTAGTATAAATCAGATGTTTAATTATATCTATCCTCTCCTTTTTTTTTTTTTTTTTTTTTTTTTTTTGAGACGGAGTCTCGCTCTGTCGCCCAGACCGGACTGCGGACTGCAGTGGCGCAATCTCGGCTCACTGCAAGCTCCGCTTCCCGGGTTCACGCCATTCTCCTGCCTCAGCCTCCCCAGTAGCTGGGACTACAGGCGCCCGCCACCGCGCCCGGCTAATTTTTTGTATTTTTAGTAGAGACGGGGTTTCACCTTGTTAGCCAGGATGGTCTCGATCTCCGGACCTCATGATCCACCCGCCTCGGCCTCCCAAAGTGCTGGGATTACAGGCGTGAGCCACCGCGCCCGGCCCCTCTCACTTCTTTTGATAAGACTCAAGGGGCCCCATTTCCCAGGATACCTGGACAAAACCATTTTTTGAGCCTTTTGTGCCCAACCATAGTCATTAGTCTTTTAACAGAGCCATCTGTTCATTTATGTAATAGACACTGATTGAATATCTTTCACGTTCTGGTATAAGGCTACACCGAGGATATAGTGGTGTGCAGTACTGCCATGGTGCCCAACTGTATGGAGGTGGCACTCATAGCAAACACCGGTTGCCTCCCAAAGAACTTTTCCAACACAGCAGAATCTCCTTCATTGGTATCCCATACCAAAACACAGGGATCATACAAGATGCCTCAGAGTCAAAATTCCAGCTACTGATCACAGTTAAGTTTTGGTTCTATCACTTGCTAGCTATGCAATAGTTACAGACAGAATGATTGCATCTTCACAAAATTCATTGTTGAATTAACCCCCACTGTGATGGTATTTGGACACTAGCCTATTGGAAAGTAATTAGGGTTAGATTAGGTCATGAGGGTGAGACACTCATGATGGTATTAGTGGTTTCATAAGAAGAGGAAGAGAGAAAGGCCATCTGCAAGCTGGGGAGAAGGTCTTCAGTGGGAACCCAATTGGCTGGCACCTTGATCTTGGACTTCCAACCTCCAAAACTGTGAAAAATAAATGTCTGTTGTTTAAGCCACCCAATTTATGGTATTTTGTTATGGCAGCCCATGTGAACAGTGACCTTATCTTCTCTATGCCTCAGTTTCCTCATCCAGAAAATGGGGATAATTATAATCCTATCTTACAGATTTAAAATTAGGATTAGATGGAATATTACAAATAAAGTGCTTCACACAGGGACTTGCCCAATAAATGATCGTTTTTATCGAAGTGCCTAACTGGAAATGCCAATCATAGAATGCTAGAGCTGGAAGGGATCTTGCCAAGCCCCTTCACTGTATGGAGGAAAGGAGGCTCAAAGGGGAATGGCTTGCCCAGGACTACAATACCAGGGTCCCGACTCCTGCTTTAGGTTTGTTCCCCTCCACCGGCTGGGGAAGGTCTCATCCTTCCTCCTATCACATGTCTCATCCCTGACACTGAGCACACCCACTTGAAATTGTCACCCCATTTACCTGGTGAGCAGCTCCTATGTGAGGTTGCTAAGAGATGAGGATCCATCACTGAGTTCCACACCTAGGAAGTCTCTTAAATTAGGTTGTCAGAATTCTTCTTTTTGAAGAAAACCCAAATAGAAAAAAAAGATTTCACCGACGTTTCCTTGGAAAATGCTGTGGGAGGAGTTAAAACTATGCTAAAGTGTGCAGCAGATTTATAATAATAGCTGAACACCTTTCATTTGCTTTGCCCTTTGTGGTTTGCAAAGCACATTTCTACATATTGTTGAGTCCCCAGAATCAATCAATCAATCATTCCTTCGTTCATAAATACATATTTAGCACTTTCTATGTAGCACACACCATTCCAGGTGCCAGAGGTTTTGCAGTGAATAAGACAGAAAAAAACCTCTGCTTTTATGGGGTTTATGCTCTAGCAGGCAATAAATGCAACACACACATGTACACCTACAGACAATGTTTTCAGATATTGGCAGGTATTGTGGAAAAAATAAGGCAGGGAAAGGGGAGAGAGAGTTAGGGGACTTGTTTTGAGTGGCCAGGAAAGCTCTCTCTGGAATGCAATCCAGGCAGAGATTATTAATATTGCTGAATAAATATCTGAAACCTCAATTTATAGATACAGAAACACAGTCCAGACTCACAAAGCAGTTAGATAGTAGGGCCTAGAGGAGAATTCATACTCTCTCTATCCCAGCCTGTGATAATGCCAAGTCTCATGTCTGGATCCAGGAAGCCAGACCGGAGGACGAGGAGAGTGCGTGGAGATCAAGTTCTCGTGTCCCATTCTATCACATTGCCCACCTACTATCGCTTACTGTGTGCTGGCCCATGGGCTGGGCACTGGGACTAATGGGATAAAGCAGACATAGTCCCTGCCCTCAGGAAACTTCCAGACGAGTGAGGAATATCAGACAAGTTCACACATAACTGTGCCTCCTGTTAGAAATCCCAAGTCTTCAGAATGGGGCTTCAGAACGGGGCTGCTTCTCCAGTACACACTAAGAAAAAGGTCTCCAACCTCCCAGATTTTCTTCTTTTTAATCAACAATCACGAATTAGCTGCCAACTCCATACTGACCACTGCTAGGGATCACCTTTGTCTTTCCCACCCAGGCACCTCATACGCAAATTCCAGCAACCTCTACTGCTAACACCTTAGTCCGTGCTGTCATCATCTCTTGCCCAGAATACTGTCACAGCCCTCTTTATTTTCCTTTCTTGGCTTTTTTTTTTTTTTTTCCTGAGACAGGGTCTTACCCTGTCACCTAGGCTACAGTGCAGTGGCACAATCACAGCTCACTGCAGCCTCGAACATCTGGACTTCAGTGATCCTCCCATCTCAGCCTCTTGAGTAGCTAAGACTACAGGTGTGCACCACCATACCTGGCTAATTTTTTCTTTTTTTTTTTCCTTGGTAGAGATGGGGGTCTCACTGTGTCACCCAGGCTGGTCTCGAACTCCTGGCCTCGAGTGGTCCTCTCACCTCAGCTTCCCAAAGTGCTGGAATTACACGCATAAGTCACCACTCCTGGCCCTGTCACAGTCTTCTAACTTCTAATTTCTAATGCTGCTCCTGCTCCCAACTACCACGCCCTTCAGGGTGTTCTCAACCCAGCAGTCAGAGTGATTTTTTAAAAAGTGTATCAATCATGTCATTCTTCTGCTCAGAACCCTCCAATTACCCTCTATGCTCTCTGAGTAAAAGCTAAATCCTCACACTGGCCTCCAAGATTCTATGTGGCCTGACCCCTCCCCTACCTCCCTCAGACCTCACTGCCTTCCTACTCGCCTCCTTGCTTGACCTCCCCGGCCATACTCTCCTTCCTTTTCGCTTTCTTCCTGTGCACCAGTCATGGGCCTACCTCAAGGCTGTATACTTGCTGTTGTCTGCCAGGAATGCTTTTCCCGCAGGTATTTTTAAGGTTTTCCCCCTGAAAGGAGATATCCTTTAAGGCTTTGTTCAAATCTTACCCTCTTTTAATTTGCAATAGACATGCCTTCCTCATCACAACCTTCCTTATTTCCTGGTTTTTCTTCCTATCACTCTTGCCTTCTCATATATGGTATCATCTACTCACTGATTGTGTTGCTGTCTGCCTTCCCTTACTAGAATGCAAGCTCCACAAGGACACAGACTTTTGTCTGATTTATTTAGTGTCTATCCCACTGCCTGGGAGAGTGCCTGCCATAGAGGGGATACTCAGTAAATCTTTGTTGAGGCCAGGAACGTTGGCTCACACCTGTAATCCCAGAACTTTGGAAGGCTGAGGCGGGCAGATCACTTGAGATCAGGAGTTTGAGACCAGCCTGGCCAGCATGGTGAAACCTCATCTCTACTAAAAATACAAAAATTAGCCAGGCGTGATTGGCAGGCATCTGTAATCCCAGCTACTCAGAAGGCTGAGGCACAAGATTGCTTGAACCCAGGAGGCGAAGGTTGCAGTGAGCTGAGATTGCGCCACTGCACTCCAGCCTGGGTGACAGAGTGAGACTCCATCTCAAATAAAAAATAAAAATAAATAAATAAATAAATAAATCTATCTCTGTGGAATAAACATCCAGACCAATCATCTTCTCCATCCCAAACTTGTTTCTCCTCTGACATCCCTTTTTTCTGTTGAGGGCATGATCATCTACCTAATCACTTGTGACTCAGTGCAACAGTTCAACAAGCCTAGATTGGAGCCAAGGAGGTGAAGAGCCCCGTGCTGGGTGCCATGGAAACAAATGAAACTGGGAGTCACTTCTAGTTCCTGATTTCCTCAGCCCCCTCAAATCCAAACTAAACATCAGTTTTCTGATTTGTAAAATCAAGATAATAATACCTATTTCATAAAATGAAAAGAGATAACATGTATAAAAGATTCAGGAAACATATGTGCTGCATAGTAAATACCTAAGAAAAAATAATTCGGCTGGCACTGAATTCTGGAGTCTTGTTCCTGAATATCTCCAAAACATGCCAATGTCTCACCCTTTCCCTGTCCTGCTGCTGCCAGAATGAATTAGAAGGCTGGAAGGAGCAGAGAGCACTGAGGGCTAGGAAGGAGAGGCATATGGTTAGGGGTGACCCTGACTGCCAGCCAGCTCTTGGTTTCAGCTGAATGCCTGACCCAAACACAATCACCAGTCACATAGGCAAGGGTAAGACCACAACCGTCTAGAGCCACAGAGGCTTTGGGTTCCCATGGAGCCAAGAGTGACCTCCCCTCTGCTGCCCCAATCATGCCCAGCCCCCACCCAATAGACCTGCTCCTTCCAAATGGGCTCCTCACACCACTGCCTGGGTGACATCGTGGGAACAGAGAGAGCCACGGAGCATGACTGCCTGCAGCAAATTGATTTGTGCCAGTTGCTGACAGAAGGATGTGCATGACCCCCATGGAAGATTAGGAGTGGGACATTCCCAACAGACAGGCCTGGGCAGGCGAGAGAGGCAAGGGGAAAATTCTGCCCCTTGCTCTCTTTGCCGGCCAGCTGTGGAGTCCCATAGCAGCCTCCTCTCTGGCCTCTGTGCATTTATTCCAAAGGGAAGAAAAAGGAGACAGAGAAGAAGGGAGGAAGAGAGCGGGAGACAAAAGGGCAGACAGATGGGAGACACAAAAAGAGACGCAACAAATTATGGTTTTTGAGGGCTTTCTGTGCACCAGGCCCAAGTTCTTTCTTAAGAAGTAGAAAATAAAAAGGCAGTGTGAGGGAAAGAGAGGTGAGCCGGAGAAAGAGGCAGGGGCAGAAAAATGACAGAGACAGGGACAGAAAAATGACAGAGAGACACAGGCAGACGGATACCCTCATTGGCAAGGCTGGCAATTTATGAACAAGATCACTTCTTAAATGTTGGGATAAAGCTGTCTCCCAGGTAGGGGGACAGGCAGGGGGAAAGGATGTAGGGCTCTTTGGGCCCTAAATACTTTTACCTTATGGGGCAGGAAAACAAAGCTTAACCAGCACGAGGCACCAATGAGAAATACTTGCTGAGGGCTGGAGGAAGATGGCCATCTGCCTCCTGGACCAGATCGTCATTGACATTCCATGACCTTATGTCTTAGTTGAATTGAGATTGTTTTCTTTGGGGGGTTTTCCTTCCCTTTAAATCTATCTGATAAAACAGATCTTACAGGGAAAGCCCAGCTTCTGGTTGATAATTTGTAGAGAGGGAGAGACTACATCCTGATGGTCAAGTCCAGGAAGGCTTTCTGACCTAAGCAATCTCATTTCTGGACTGTCTCTTAACGTGGTTTTTGGGGAAAAAAATAGTTTTCGCCTTGAACCTGACAAGCCAGACTCTGAACTGCTTAGACTTCCTAAGCCTCATCTGTCACCCCACAAACATGCCATCCTAGAAGTGTGACGATCTCTAATGTATCATGGTTTACAAATGAGTCTGAAGTGACGCTTGGTACCTGAAAAACACTTATAATCAATCAAGCAAATCAGAAAAGCTGTAAAAATAGCTTATAGCTTATATATCCACTGCCAAGAAAGGCTACAAAGGATATACTCATGATCAACCAGCCAGAGATATGTGATTAAAATAGAAGAAAAAGGAGGAAAAAAAAAAAAAAGAGGGTTTACCACTGGGGTCAGCAAACTCAAGCCTGCAGGCCAAATCCAGTTGGCCAGGTTTTGTTTATTTATGTAGTTTTATTGGTACACAGCCACGTCCATTTATTTGCATAGCCTCTATGGCTGCTTTCCACTATAAGACAGAGCTGAGTCGTTGTGACAAAATCTAGATGACCTGCAAAACCCAAAATATTTACTTTGTGAGTCTTACAGAAGAATTTTGCCAATCTTTGGGGCAAAACCTAGACTCACCGCTTTTCATCTGCAGAGGCTAAATGCAGACCCATTGTTTATTTTTGTTGTGACCTTGGTTTTTGCACTTACAAAGTCAGTTTATAACATTGCCCAGATAGAGAATAAAGTTAAAAAGTGAAAGCTACATAAAAGTCCTTAACACTCTGCCTGGCACATAGTAAGCCCTCACTGAATGGCATCCTTGTATTATAAACGTTATTTTAAGTTGACGTTGTTTCCAGGACAGGACACGGAGATCTTCGGGGAAGGCAGAGCTGGCTGATGAACCCTACCCAGTGTCCTGATTAATGCATTACAGGGAATCTTGAAGGAAGTCAAGGGAAATGAACATTTGGTGAGTGGCACTCTATTGCAAGTGCATTTTATTTCATTTCTTTGATTCTCATAAGGACTTGGTGCCATTTAACAAGGGAGAATGGATGTCAAGGCTCAAAGAGGTCACACAAAGATACAAAAAGCCTAGGAATGCAAGCACAGGTCTGTCTGCTTCAAAGCTTAAATTTATATTTTTCTCTACCTTAAAATAAGTAATGTGGTTGAAGGAGCTGGTGATTTTTACTTAGAAAAGAAAGACTCAGTGGTGACCCATCAGCCTGCCTCCAAATACTTAAGTGTTCCTGTGTACCAAAGAGGTCTGAAATACAGTAGCTTCAGAGGATAAAACAAAGACCCTCAATCCATCCCTTTTCTGATTATGTGTTGCTGAAAAATTAAAGTTGCACAGATATGTGATAATTCTCCCTACGTCATATGCAAAGAAGCCCCAAAACAATAACAAACAAACAAAAAAAGAATTTGAAGTCTGAAAAGTTTAAGTCTATCCTAAAGATAAGCTGGCATGAATAAAATAATATTCTATGTGTGCAGTGTGTTGGTAGGTTATGAAGAATTTCCATATGTATGATTTTATTTGATGTTGTGAACAAATGTGAACCTGAAAGAGCTAATCCTTCAAGATGGATCCCTAGCGGCTAACTGGGTCTACATTTAAAAGAGAGCCAAGAAGCCATTTGTTGACAAGAGTTCCCTAAAAACCAAAGCCAAACCTTTTTAACTTTTAGAATTTCAGAGCTCACTTGAACCAACTAGAGCTCACCTGCCTTTACCAATCAGGGCTCAGCCATGTTGACCAATCAAAACTCAGCAAGTTTGAATCCTTCATTTGCATGAACAGACTTGATTGTGAACTTAGGTGAGAACTTTTGCTATAAAACTTGAACCCTCAGCCAGTCATGGTGACTCACACCTGCAATCCCAGCACTTTGGGAGGCCGAGGCAGACAGATCACCTGAGGTCAGGAGTTCAAGACCAGCCTGGCCAACATGGTAAAACCTCGTCTCTACTAAAAACACAAAAATTAGCCAGCCGTGGTGGTGGGCACCTGTAATCCCAGCTACTCGGGAGGCTGAGGCAAGAGAATTGCTTGAACCTGGGAAGCAGAGGTTGCAGTGAACCGAGATCACGCCACTACACTCCAGCCTGGGTGACAGAGCGAGACTCCATCTCCAAACAAACAAACAAACAAAACAATTGAACCCTCTCTGTTCTCTGGAACACACCTTCTTCTGTTTACACCAAAGGCCATGTCTTCCCATTATACAAACTGTTCACTGGAATAAAGTCTCTTTCCCTCAAATTCCTTTTCAGAGAACCTTTGTTCACAGTCTGCAGCAAAATCATGTGAGCATGGTGAGACACATGTCACAGCCTCCCATTTTACAGAAGAGGAAAACTGAGACTAGAAAAGTAAGTACCTCAGCCAAAGTCATATAGCTAGCTGGCTTTAATAGAGCTGCAGCTCACACTGACACATGAGACCACAGTGACAAATTACGGAACCTCAGTGGAACAAATTTATGCAATACAGTATTTGTCAAGATATTAGAAATGAAAATTACTCTGATCTTCTTATGGGAGCACATTTCCTATCCCAGGGGTTTGAGGGGCCCAAGGCAGAACTTCTTTCATATTACTTAGGTCTACTGCCTCGAGGGCCCACAGACTCACCCCAGGCAGTAGCACTGTGAGCCACCCAGTGGTGGATCTCATCAGTGGTCAGGATGATGACCATCACCTGGGCAAGATGAATGCAAGGTGTAGGTGCCCATCAGCAGATCCCTGCCTTGCATCTGGACGTGAATCCAAGGAGAGGACCTAGAACTTCTCTCCCTTCTATATTTAAACCTCTTCTGCAAGAGTGTGGGGTAGTGGTCAAGAGGGGAGCCCTGGATCAAGTCCCCCCAACTAGTTGGGTAGCCTTAGGCAAGTGACAACCTTCTCCTCCCTCAAGTTCCTCATCTACTAAGAAGGGATACTAATTGAATCTGCCTCCTGGCTGGCTGTAAGGATCAAACAAGCACATTCATGTGAAATGTTTGTCCCAGTGCCTGGTGTAGAGTCATCACCACTACTACTACAGCGTGGGGCTAGGTTACAGCACAGTTTAGGAGAAAGACCACTTCTGGAATTGTTCAGGCTTCTAGCTTGACTCTATTCTCCATTTGACCCTGGTTAAGCCACAGAAGCCCTCTGGGCTTACAGTTTCTCCTTTATCACATGGAAATAATTAGCCCTGTAATATCTATCTAGTGGGGTCATTCAGAGGATCAAGAAAGATAATAGATAACGAAAGGGCTTTGTAAAAAATGGTGTTCACAAATGAGTCAAGGTCATTATCATCATCATCATCACTATTATTAGTCCTAAATGATGGAAGTGTTATTGTATTGGGTAAAAAAAAAAATCTGCAGAATGATTCCTATTCATTTTTATATCTAATAGAATAATGCCATTTTTTGGTCCTTTGTCTTTGATCTGGTGCTTGCTCTCAGCAATCGTTTCCACACTATATATCCATAATGAATATTATAATATGAGAGATTTCCTTTTTTTGATGTCTACCATATTCTAGTAAGAGAATCTACTTCTCAGACCTCAGTATGCTGCTGGAGGGAATTGGGTGGGAAGGTGTTATCTTAATTTTACCAACAAGAAAAATCTGTCCCAGGCCAGAGACCCTCTTCTCTTCTTTCACTCTGCCCCCAACAAAAGGCTAGGAGACAGAGCAAATGAGGTGCTGGTGCCACATTCCACATGGTGCGAGATGCTTCATTGAGTGACTGTGGGCAGCGTCCTTTTAAATGGTCCACTAAACAGGGCAGTAACTGGCACATGCCTTGTCTGAGGACTGGAGACTTACCTGGAAGTTCCCAAAGCAATGGCATGATCTCCAATGCTACACATTCTTTTAGGTTGTCCCCAAAGATGCCTGTGTTGCAGATTTGGTTCAGAATATTTCTCCTTCTGTCCTGAGGCCACTTTCATAGCCAACTCTTACATCAGCCTGACTTGCTGTGAGAGCATTCTGTTTGTAAAACCTAACCTGGGGACAATCCCTATCCAGTTTTCTAGGGAATCGCTTGAACCATTCTGAATTCACCTGGGGGTGTTGTCCACTCCCACCTAGCATTCTGCCTTAATCCAACTATGATGATGTGGGGTTTTGCAAATGTGACTTTGTCAAAATTCCTGCTCTTGAACATGGTGGTACCCCAACCTGATCATAACCCATTGACTTTGCAGTTCTCAAAGCATGTTTAAAGGCCAAATTTTAAACAGGCAAGTCATATTGGAAGACAGTATTGCCCATAGTACAGCAGGTACTAAATCTTTTCAAAAACAACCACCATTCACCAACTTCTTCCAACCTTCCAAAATAAAGATGGGGGAGACAAATATAATTGATGACAATTTATTTTTTGGTTAAATGTATGCCTTTGGTTGATAACCCCTAAATTATCTTGCCCACTTGTAGCAACAACTATCCAAGTGTGGCATATGTTTATAGGTAAATAAGGACTGTAAAACATACCACAAGAACACTCAATTCCTGGAACATCAAAACAGCTCAAGTGTATCACTATGCATTAGGCTAACTGAGAGATGGAAATAGATTAAATGGAATGGAAATGTTTCCACTTTGAAATATTAACGTCGTAATTACCATGCCCTGAGCTTTATTTACCATGCTCTAGGGCTACCCCCCAAAATATCACTCCTTTACAACACTCTCCTCCTAAAGGCTTCTGGGCTCTGGTAAAATCAGGGCTATCATCACAGCAGTCCTGCTAGATGAGGAATCCTCCCAGGTGCCTTAGAATTATTAGCTCTTCATCCACTTAGTAAGCTGCCCCCTTCCCCAAACATAGGATTGACAATTTCAGGAAATTAAATGATAAATATTACTAAAATGACCTTTAGCACAGTGCCAGCTGAGTAAATGCCAATATTACATCTTGTTGATCAGAAGCCTGGAAAGCCATGATTATCAGGCGGCTTATGAGGTGGTATCCCCAGAGAGCTCTAGGCCAGACAGGGACGCTCAGGACCCAAAGCAGAGGCAGGAAGCTCTGTCAATCATTCATGGGCCGGATGAAAAATGCTTATGTCACCATGTGGGGAAAGCAGGACACAAACTGTATGCATAGCGTGATCACAGAGTACCAAATTATGCCTTTGTAAGAAGCTGCATTCAAAAAACTAATGTGGGTAGTGAGGCTAAGCGTTCCTTCCCTCCTTCCCTTCCTCCCTTCCTGCCTGCCTGCCTTCCTTCCCTCCTGCCTGCCTTCCTTCTTTCTTCCCTTCTCCTTCCCTCCCTCCCTTGCCTCCCTTGCCTCCCTCCCTCTCTCCCTCCTTCCCTCTTCCTTCCCTCTTCCTTTCCTTTCCTTTTTTCCTTCCTGACCTCTAACTTCCTAACTTCTTAGCTTCCTCTCTCCCTCCTTCCTGCCATTCATTCAATAAATACTAACTGAACAACCACTATGGGCCAGGCACGGAGCTAGATACTGATGATAGTGTAGTAAAAACGAAAAACACCTTTATTTTTTATTATATTTTTGCAAACTTTTTTTTAAGTAAAAAGGCATTTTTTTTTTTTTTTGGCATAAGAATAAATCTATGGCTAGGCATGGTGGCTCATGCCTGTAATCTCAGCACTTTGGGAGGCTGAGTGGAAGGATCACTTGAGGCCAATAGTTCAAGACCAGTCTGGGCAACATAGCAAGACCCCATCTGTACAAAGAAAAAATAAATTAGCTGTGCATGGTGTTGCATACCTGTAGTCCTAGCTACTTGGGAGGCTGAGGCAGGAGGATTCTTTGAACTTAGGAAGTTGAGGTTGCAGTAAGCTATGATTGCACCACTGCACTCCAGCCTGGGTGATAGACTAAGGCACTAAAAAAAGAATGAATCCAGTATTAAACATAACTGGTTGTAAAACTCTACAGGATAATATGAACAGCAATGGGATAACTGATGCTATTAAGGAATTCTTACACATCATCCAGATTTTGTTTTTTTTTAAAAGGTGGGGAAATCTTTTTTTGAGATACACACTAAAGTATTTACAGAGGAAATAATAGGATGTCTTGGAATTTGACTCAAAATAATCCAATGACCAGATATTGATCATTGTTGAAGCTGGGTGGTGAATACATGAGGAGGTTATTACAGTCACTTCTAGTTTTGCATAAGCTTGAAATTTTCCAATAAAAGTAAAACAAAACAAAAGCATAAAAGTCTCATAAAAATTAATAGAACAAGTCTGCTGGGAAGTGCTGAGGTCGAAGGGGGGAGGGTGAGAATAGGGGCAATGGGTAAAGAAAAGCAGGGCAGTTACCTAGAGAGAAGGAAAACTGCAGATCAGACTTTTAAAAAACTTTTAAAAGTTACATCTTGTTGATCAGAGGCCTGGAAAGCCATGATTATCAGGCAGCTTATGAGGTGGTATCCCCAGAGAGCTCTGGGCCAGACAGGGATGCTCTGGGCCAGACAGGGATGCTCAGGACCCGAAGCAGAGGCAGGAAGCTCTGTCAATCGTTCATGGGCCGGATGAAAAATGCTTATGTCACCATGTGGGGAAAGCAGGACACAAACTGTACGCATGGCATGTACAGTTGATAACCTCCAACTGTATCCTTACTTAGATAAAAGTTGTCATCAGCATCAAAGTCTCTTCAGACACAAAGAACATCCCTCCTCTATTCATTACAGAGCCACAGCCTCTTCCTCAGTGGGTCCCTATGGTACTTTGTGCAGTTGGATAATATTTATTCTGCTTTATTATAGTTCATTTATGTGTCTGACTTCTCCATTAATTCCATGAGCAAGAGCTACATATTCTCATTTCCAAATCCCAGTTTCTCATACTGGGCTGGGCATACAACAAATGCTTGTTAAACTGATTTCAAAAATTTCTTGTACAATTCATAAGTTTCAGAATGTTTTCCCTAAAATCCTAATAATGTATGTGATCAGGCAGAAAGAAAGAATATATGAATGAAATAGAAAGGCACATGACATTTCTTCCCACTCAGGATCAGCGTGTTGATTCTGTTCACATAGGGAACCTCTCCCTCCTCAGTTGGAGTAGGAATTTATCTTTGATCAAGCTTGTCATCAATGGTATGACCAAGAAGCACGCAAGATGGTGCTGCACCAACCATATTCCTTCCTTCAAAATCAAGGATATAAAATCAGGCTGAAAATTGTCATTTGTGCCAGGAGATATCACTTCAACTACAAAAGCATATCCCAGTGACAATGATGGAGCTAAATGCCTCTGTTTGGTATTTTAATAGACTGTCAGATTTTTAGCCGTGTGAATTACCAATTCTCTCGAGACTTTATTTAAGGGTAACTTTATGGATGAGCAGGCTATAAATAAGACCTTCTTGTTATATACTGAGCGATCATCTTAAAGTGAAGAGGGGAATTTCTTAAATTTAACCCACAACTACAATGCAAAATGTGTTGTAGAAATATCAACCCATCATGTCTCAGAATGTACTAAAAACTGTCTCTGAATGATCTCTTCCTGCCCTGCCCACAATGCCCTAAGCCTGTGATACAGCAGACCAAATGTGCATTATTACAGACTGGTCATATTACAGAGCTCCATGTGACTGTCCATGTCTGATGCCTAGCAATTATCATGCAACCTGTGACAATGTAGTGAGATGATGCTGGTAGCATTGGCCTTAGAACCCAGATGTCAGGTCCAGATGATATTTAAGAGGATTATGCTAGACTTTTGGAATGACATGGGTGAAGGTATGAGATCCAGCAGGCATAATATCAGTGCCACCCCTCTGCAGAAATTGGGGAAGTTTGAGAGGCTGAACTCAGGGATCATCCCCCGATCTCTGGTGTCTTTAGCTGGAAAGGGATCCTTTGTGCTTATTGCAGTAAACGTAACTTGTGTCAGATTCATGATTTTAGAGTGTTCATTCTTACCAGCCTCAAATACAGTTCTCTGCTGGACTAGTTCATGTCCCTACCACAATGTCAGATAATTATTTTTTAAGTATGAACTAAATTCATCATCAGCTCCAAACCCTTCAATGAATCCTCATCCATCGAGCAAGTTTTCCTAGGTTCTAATACGTGTATCTTCTCTTCACCCCTTAGACTTAGTTTTGTCACACTCCCAGTGTTGCTAGTCTCTGGGGGCTTCAGCACTGCTTCTTGAGTCCCTGTCCTTATCCACACCTTTGTAAATAGTCCATTCATTGAACTCTTCAGTCACCCCTTTTGAGAGTGCTGTCTATTTCCTGCAGAGACCCTGAATGGCACAAATAGACTACTTTGAAAAGAAGAAGAAAGAAAGTACAGTTGCTTTTCCAGATAGCAAGATATGTTATTTAAACTGTGTGTTATAGATGGAAAATAAATATCGCAACAGAAAAAAAAAATACAGAGACTATGTATCTGTGGGATTTCAAATATGCTGGAAGTGGCAGTCAAATCAATAGGAGGAAAGAATAGACTATTCAGTAAATGGTGTCAGGACAATTTGGTTAGTCACGTAGCAGAATAAAACCTGTATCATAGAAATGCAAGTAACATATGTTTACTTACAAGTCCAGTCTAAAAACTAGGCCCTGTGTGCCTCAACACAGTACATATTTGTGACAAGTATCAGATGTTGGAGCAATATCATATGTATCTCGGGAGGCCTTCTGGATGAGATTCTTGCATCCAGTTAGGAAAAAGGGTTGTTCCAATTGAGAGATGAAGAAATAGAGACCAAGACTGATAAAATGGCTTGTCCAAGTTCATATAAGTAGCAAAAGAGATACAATCAGTAGAACCTGGTCTTACACATCTTTAAGCTTGAAGGTAAGATGTGTAACTGCTGAGTTTTGCACCATTTCACCTCACTTCCCAATTTCAGGTGCAGAGGCTTGAACACAATGAGCGCAGACAGCTGCTGCATGTCAGCAGAGGGGGAAATAATACCTGTTCATCAGGGAGCTAATTCTGCAAAATGCACCATCTAATAGGTACTGTATACACGGAAATAGGATGCTCTAATCAGTGGGAAGGCAGGAACTGCAATCTATCCCTCATGGACCTAAAATATAATGGAGCTAAATTGAAGGTTTTATGATGCACAGAGCACTTTACTTGGAAGACTGATGCTTTTCCAGGCAAGGTGTTCATTTCCAGAACAAGTTCCCACACTCTCTGACATCCAATCCTGGGGAACAACGGGAACTGAACAAAGCAATGCCTGGGGCAGCTCATCAGTATTTATAGAGCCTGTGGGAGACAGTACAGCGCAGAGGCTAAGAGCACAGATTTAGAAGCCAGCCAGACCTAGGTTCAAGTCCTATTCTACTATTTTTGTAGCTCTGTGACCCTGGGTAAGTCTCTCAACCTCTCTGAACCTGTTCTTTCACCAGTAAGAGAAGCATGATAGTCTACCATGGGAGTGTTGGAGGATTAAATGAAATTAACATAGACAAAATGCTTACAAATACGTAGCAGTCAATGAGCTTTAACCGTTATTTTTAGACTGATTTTCTGGTGTGGCCCACCTTCTTGTTCCAAAGAATATTCCTGGGAGAGAGCTCTAAGATGTCAGCAGTGGCAATAATGTTGGAACAAGCACATTGCCTGACTGGCGATTAGTCTGACGTGGATGACAAGCAGATCATTGGACACTGACTCACACAGGTGGATTGCAACTCCTGATATGTTTTGTTGGCTAGTACAGTTGCTTTTTTCTTTTAATTAAATTAACTGAAAATATATTAAAATAATAAAACTTTACATTAAAAATCTAGATTTCCAGTTTCTCTTGGAACAATAAAAGGTATAATGACAAAACACTCACCTTCCTTTCTGACCACAGGGTGCTGCAGTTCAGCGGCAGCTGCCCCTTTTAGGGCAATTGCTGTGTGTTCTCCATTCCCATCCAGCCCACTTGCTCCATCTGCCCAATTCCTACAGGCATTTAAGTTTAGAACTCATCCTTGGGAGGTTTTCTCCCAACCGGAATGTAAAAAAATGTGGAACTGGGAAAGGTATTACATTATCAGAAAATAACCTGCGATGTAATAACTATGGAATTTGACTAACCTGAGTTTGACTTGTGGCTGTGCCACTTCCCAGCTGTGTGGTATCGGTGCAGTCTGTTGTGACTATCCGCTGTCTCTGAAACTCATGTTTCCTCATCTGATAAATGGGGATGAAACACTTATCTCCCAGAGGCAATGTGAGGGTTACATGAGACAATGTGTGTAAAGTGTCCAGCACAGAGTCTGGCCAGTGCAGATTTTCATATGATATAATTATCATAGTAATTCTTTTGGAAAAGATTGAGCTGGGGGACCAAAGTTATGAATAAACTAATAAAATGTCTTCATGTTGTTTTACTAAATGATACTAAAAATAATAGATTGCACATACTTAGGAAAAAATCTATTTTATCCATCTAATTTTTATGTAGTATATCCTATACATTTCATCTCATACACCAATCTTTGCTACTTAGAAGCACTTTGGGATTTCCTTCCTTTATTGTTTCAGTGAAATGACCGTGACTTTGTTGGCTTGGTTGCAAGTGACACATAAGCTGAAAGAATTTTTTCTGGGTCTGGTCCTTCAACTTAATGTTCAATTACTTTGATGTTTTCACTTGGAGCTGTTGGCTGTCACCTTCTGAATGCCATCATATTCCCAGAGATGAATGGTTACTTTGCTGATCGAGATGGAAAAATGCTTTGGGTGACCCTTATTTTACCTAAGTTACATCATTGAGGAGATACTGTCTATGAAAAGAAAAGATGAGTAATCTTAGCTCTGTCATGGAAACTATTCATTAAACACACACATGCTCCATAACCGCATGTGCCAGAGCCTGTACCTGATGGGCACTGGAGAGGAAGCAGTGAATACGACAGACACATGCACCTTCCTTAAATCTCAGCACCCCCCGGCCCAATGGGCCTGCCATGGATGACAAGGCCTGGAGGAAAGGGTTCCTCTGTAGTCTCTCTCTCCTCTTGTTCCCTCATAATCTCACTATTTTTTCCCTGCCCAAGTCTGATTCCCTTTCCCCAAAACCCCCAGATGTCTCCATCAGAAGGTGGCTCCAAAATTCATGTAGCTCTACCTAAAATCTCCGTAGGTATGGGAAAGCTATGGTAAAAATCTGAATGAGGCCAATTTATTAGTGGGCAATGAAATATTATATGATATTATTTAACAATGAAAACAAAAAATAATGAGCACTTATTAAACATCTGTTACATGACATCTGCACTATCTAATTTAATCCAGTAACTCTTTGAAGTATTTTCATCCTAATTTTACAACAAGAAAACTGAGGCTTCTATCACACTGAGGCCCCAAGTTACACATCTGTAAATGCCACAGTGACAGTTTAACCCCAGCCCAGTCTAACACTCATGCCTGTGGTCCTGTCTACTGTACTAATTGTCCTACATTTGCTTTAAATATCAGTCTTCATAATTTACCACTTTGTAAATCTCTTTTCTCAAGTGCATTTGATAGGGATAATCAAAATTAGCTAGAGGAATTTACAGTACAACAGATACATTGCTTTTTCTTTAAAATTTAGTTGTTTTTATGAAGAAAGCAAAAACTGTTGGGAGACATGTTTCAAAATCTTACTAATGAGGTATTTACCTGATAATCCACAATGGCTTTGATTGCGAGGATAAATATGTGATTGCCACTCAGACTTTCAGGAAAATATATGTAATTACAAGGATTTAGCAAAGTATAAATAGAAAATTGTTTTCCAACTCCTGGCACTAAAAATTGCAGCCCCAAGAGGCTTTGAGCTGGGATAAGCACTATATCTACCCCAAAATACCCATTACACATTAGGTAAGTGTCCCTTTGTTGTGACAACTTTCTTCCTAAAGAATAAAGAGTTTGCTGGTCTTTGATGAAGGAAAATCCCAGCCCATGGGCCCTTCCTCCTCCTTAGGCCCATCATGGCCCCTAAAAAATCAGACAGCCGAAAAGCTCCCAGTAGCAACTGTATTATGAATGATTCCAGGATCTTTTAATTGGGAGGTTCTGAAATCAAGAGATTTTTAAAATAACCAAGTCCCTGGGTGTTAAAATCCTACCAGAGACAGAAGGCAAATACCCACAAGAGGCTGACCCCTGCTGCCTTCTGACCAGCCTTCTCTAAATCCCATTGTCTATTCCAGAAACATTTTTGCCAAGCTCTGGGCCAGGCGCTGAGGACACAATGATGAACATGACAGCCACAGCTACTGCCCTTTGGAGCTTACACTGCAGTGGGGAGACAGGCATTAGCATCTGACTACTGCATAGGTTAGTGTTCTACCATGACAGCAACAGGCACAGAGGGAAGCAGGAGGAGCTAAGCCCAAGGACAAGGGCAGCTCCACCAGATCTCAGGGGGTCTGGGAGGTTCCATGGAGGAAGTGACATTGGAGAAACCCAGTATGATTGAGGAACATGCAGATGCCCGGTGCGGGTAGAGGCAAGGGTAGAAAAAACCTGTGGTGGGGTAAGGCATTAGGAGCTGGATCATATAAGGTCTGAAAATGTTAAGGACTTTAAACTTTACTTTGAAATCAATAGGAAGACACTGATGGGCTCTAAGCAAGAGAGCCCATGCTTAGGTCAAAGGTCATGCTTCAAGTGATCAAGAGCCACAGTAAGCTAGTGGCTATCATGCTAGATCCTTTAAATTACTAACCTGTCTAATCCTTAAAACAGTCTGCAAAACAGGCACTCTGTGGCCATTTTATAGGTTGTATTCTTTCCACGAGACCTCCCCACAACTGTTTTATCCCCAGCTCTGATGCTGTGAAAAGGTTTCCACCGATGACTCAGGGCAGCATTAGCGGAGGTGCAGAGCCTTCCAGTCCTTCTCCAAGACTCTTCTCAGGAATGCCCTCTTTGTGTCACCTTCTTGAGGAAGACCCAGGCTGGTTGGGCTCCTAAAGGCCCTTGGAATAAACTTTACTATGGCATTTGCCAAGCTGCAAGGGAAATGTGCGTCATAGGTGTGTGTTCCTTATGCAACTGCTACTATACAGTTTGTAGGAGGTGGCAGACAGAGTGATTCACAGGTTTAAGGGCTTACTAGCCCCTGCAGCCAGTGCACAGGCTGTGGATTAGGGGATGTCCTGAGGAAGTATGATGGGGACTGGGTGCTCCTCTCACAGTGTGATCTCTCTGCTTCAGGAGCAATTCATGGAGTTCCAAAGGTAATGTAACCAATAGGTAATTTTCTCTTTGGGCACTAACATTAGGTGTTAATTCCCTGGTGCTGCTCCACTGTACAGTGCCTGGCAGTCAACTTCCCTGTCTCTGCCATATTCATTGTAAGCTCCTTGAGGCCTGGGAAGGTACTATATTCTTTCTTGTGTTTCTAGGCCCAGTAGGGTAGCCAGAAGTTAAAATAGATCTAAACACAGGAGAAATCACATCACAATAAACAGTGGATGGATCAATGAATGAATGAGTGATACAAGTCATTATAGAAAAGTTCCTATCATTCATTTTATAGCTCTGCCAGAAGGCTATATATCAGTGAAAGCCTAGTCACCCATTCACAGCTCCCATTTGAGACTTATCAATATTTTCTTCCTCCTTGGATCAGAAAATAATAATACAATAGGTATCATTTACATATCTTGGGCAAAAATGTGCTACAAAAGATGAACACTAAACTTTGGAATTATTTGAACCAGGATTCACATCCTCATTCTTATACAAATTGGCTGGATCACTTTCAACAAGACTTTTCTTGGGCCTTTGGCTCCATTTCCTTATCTGTAAAATTGGGAAACTAAGGGCTAATTCACATGGCAAAATTGAGAAGATGAAGTGAATCTATGGGTGAACACCTACAAAGGTAAACCTACTCAATACGTGCGGTTTTCTCTTTCTTACCTTCTGACCTTATATGCATGGCTACTAGAATCCCCGATACTCTCATTGGAGGATTCCTTTACAAGAAGCTACCACCTGTGAGTCAGCCAGAAAGATTATTTTTATTTCTCTCTCTTCTTCTGTCCCTCCCCTTCCTCTCCCTCTTCTTTTCCCTCTCCAGGAGAGTCTATGAAAATGATTCCTTTAAATTCCTATTCCTTCTGCCAAGAGTTAATACATATCACACCTTCTCTGATGCACATATGTTATTGATTAGGTACAATGAAAGAATTGCCATCATTTTGTCCATAGCTACTTGTGAAAGGAAAAAATATATTATTATTTACTTGCTTATAGTTGTCTTGGCAATATGAAGGAGCTTCAGAAATAACTGACTTATGCTAATCCAATGTGTCAACAACCTGCTGAAACTACCTAAAAATAGAGCAGTTTTATCATCATTTTGACTCAAATTATTGGAAGAAAAGAAAAAGAAGAGAGACATAACAAATGTGACATTCAAATGGCCTGCTTTGACCAAAAAACACAACTTCTTCCTTGAAGGCTTCAAAAAGCAACAATTTGCAAAGTTATTGATCTTTCTTTTGGCAGGGTGGTGGGGTCTTTTATTTCTGAGGATCAAGAGTTTCAAGCCTCCTTTGTGTCAGATTAATAGCAATAATAAGTGATAATCACTTGCTACATCTAAATCTGACTAAAGCAGGTGGAGGCTGCTGTTTCTTTAGTCAAAAGGAAACCAGCATGGGGTTGAAAGAGGCAAAGTCCTACCATGTGAGTTCGCTGCGGCCCTTGGGGATTCGGGGCAGGAAGGCACCAACGCCAGAGTCCCACCCCAAGACTAGGGACTCCTCCAGGGCAGGACTGGGTCAGTCTCATCACTGTGCTCATTGGTCTCCCACCACAGAGAAGCCAAGAGCAGCCACTCAGTTTGTTGAATCACTGCTCATTCAACAGACCAAGCCTCCAGGAATTATTTTATATGTTTAATGAAATAAGCCAGCAAGTGAAACCACGTAGCTTAAAAAGTGGCCCAGAGCCACAGTTAGCATTTGTGATCCTGGGCAGATCAGCTGACCTCTCTGAGCTTCAGTGTCCACCAACCTCGACAGAGACAGTGAGAATTAAATACGCAGTAATGTCAACCAAGTACAGAGGCCACCCTTGGCCAACATTCCATACATGCTCACCTGTAATACTATTTATATCAGTATGAGATGGGACAGCCAGGTGTGGCTGAAAGGGCAAGGATGTTTAGACTATGTCAGTCTTGCTTTCCAACTTCCATCCTAGTGGTTAAAAGCACAGGTTCTGCAGGCAATCTGCCTACATTTGAACCCCAGTCCTGCCATTTACCAGCTAAGGGGCAAGTTATTTTATCTTTCTAGGCCTGATTTTCCTCATCTGAAGAATGTGGATCATAACAGCACCTACCCCACAGGGTTATTGTGAGGAGTGAATAATGCAGATAAGGAGTTTATAATAGTCTCTGCCATATAAATATAAGCTTTTATCACCATCGTCATCATTGTTGTCATCATCGTAGTGGGCAAATTAATTAGCCTAATTTCTCCACATAACAACAGCTGTCTCGCGGAGATGTGTGGAGTCAATACGTTCAGGAATGACAGGTACTTGGTACACAGTAAATGTCAAATAAATGTTAGTTTTCTCCCTTTTCTTTCCTGATTCCAGTAATGATGAAGCTTTGTTGAGGGGGCTTTGGTGGTTGCAATGTACACAAGCCCATTCTTGTCTGCTTTTATTTCTTTGCAGAATCTCCTCCCCACTCTCTTTTCCCTTAACAGTCTCCGGTCCCCAGACAAAAAAAGAACAGACCACATCCTAGCTGAGAATGAAATCATTTTTTTTTTAACTGGGAACTGTCCCTGCAGCTGGCAGGGCCAGGAGTCACTCCAAATGACACCACCAAATTACCAACGAGTCTCAGAGGTTTCCGAGAGATGCTTAAGAGCCTGGGCAAGGGTTTGCAGCACTTAACCTGCCAAAGCCTCTTCAATTGCAGCCTGTCACCCCCTGAGTTAAGTAGCGGATGAAATCAGCATGTATAATTTCTCATCTTCCAAGGTTCAGAGGGGCGCATTACATTTCAGCATGATTAACACTGCTTTCACTTTTTTTTTCTTTTGCATTTACCCTTCCCAAGGACCAGTGATAGGGTTCAAAGAAATGGAGAGGAACAGAGGTGGGCACTTCAATAGAACAGGTGCTCAACTTTAAGTGAAACACTCAAACAATTGATAGCCAGGGAAAGAGATCTTCCTTTCCTCATTCTCTGCCAGATTTAGCAATTTACCAGCAAGCCTTCACAGGCTAAGAGAGAGGACAGGGTGAAGAAATAGTCAACCTCTTAAACTCAGGCTCATGTCACTCATCCAACCATCCCTCTGTCCATCCTACAAGCTCTTCCCTCTCTACCAGCTTAACTTTTATTCATCTGTAGACCTTAGCCCATATCCTTCCAGAACCTTCTCTCAACTGTGACTGGGTCAAATTCCCCCAAGATTTCACAGCTCTGAGTAGATTCACTTAAAGCACTGACCATGGTGGCAAACATCACCTTTATTTGTGAAATTATTTAATAAATGGCTCTTAGAGCTAGGTTCAAACCCAGGACTGTCTGTCTCCAAAGTCCAGGATTTTTCCAGGTGAAGCAGCTGGAGCCCTGGCCCTGGGTCTCCAGCCCACAAACCATGCAATTTTCCGTAAGCTGCTTCCTCATTCTGGGTCTGTTTCCTCATCAGTAAGAAAAAGGGTGACATTCAAACTCCCCCTGCCCTGCTTTAATTTTCTAGAATTCATCATCATGTAGGAGTGATGTGTTCAAGGGATGGCCCCAGGAAGCAAAGCCCAGCCAAGAATAGAGGCCCCAGGTTCCCTGAGCCAGGCTCCTGCTCACAGGCCATGGAGGCCAACCCTTCACATGGGCCCCCTACGACGGAGGCCAGGGCCCTCCATACCATGACATTATCATGACAGCACAGGCTGTCACCTTCTTCCTTTCCACTGTCTTCCAACTTCACAGGTGCCTCTGTGCCTGACACCACAGCTTATCAGACTGGAGTAGAGATGGGGGCTGCTGGCCGCCTCATCTCAAGCCGTTGTGGTGGCAGCCCTCCTGGGGGAAACCTGCACTCATTAACTATTCCCTCCATCATGCGAAGTATGAGCACCCCTGAAGTTCAGAAAAATTAAAAAATAGAAAATTTAATTAAAGCCCTCTCTGCCTAGTTGCCTTCCCCTTGGCTTATGAGGTCCTCTGAAGGAGAAAAAACAAAACTCTTTATCCTCCATGTCCATCTGCAATTCCTAAAGCGTGGGGCTTCTGTTGGGAGGAACCTGAGCCTCATGCTCCTGTCCTCTCTGTGAGTTATTAGAAAACAACATAGAAGAATATCTTTGTGACCTGGAGGTCACTTCTTAAATAACTTCTTAAAACTCCTAAATAACTTCTTAAAACTCCTAAAGGCACAACTCCTATGGTAAAAAAAAAAAAAAAAAAAAAAAAAAAAAAGTGATAAATTTGGTAATCCCAGAATTAACGTTTTTGCTTAAAAAATTAAAATAGATGTACATAGTTTGGGAAAAGATACTTACCTAAAAGTGACAAGGGATTGGTATTTATAATACACTAGGAACTCCTTCCAATTGACAAGAAAATGTCAGGAACTCTAATTGATAAATGGACAAAGGATGTGGAGAAGTAATTCAATGAAGAGAAACCCAAAAAGCCAACAAATGTATGTAAATACTCAAACTTATGTAGTGTCAAAGAAAGGATAAAACAAAAACAATTAAACAATAAGCTATGTGTGCACCCAGCAGATTGGCAAAAATAGAGAGCTCTGTCTCAAGTGTCAGAAGCTATGCAGGGATAGAGGATACAGGTGGCTTCATGTCAGTGTGAGTGCAGATTGGGGTAGCACTGGAGGAAAGCAATGTGGCACTACCTAGTCAAGGTAAGTACACATGTGCTTTCTGTCCCAGGTGCACAGCCTACAGCAATTCCCACTCAGGCCCATTAGGAGGCACTGGGTGATGCCTACTGCAGCTGGAGAAGAGTTGGGCTTGCTTCTGGTCACCGGCTGGGAATGTTGTGGGCTTGGTTCTAGGACTCTGACATGTAGAAAAAAAAATCACCTCTACCAGTTTGGGATATGGGCCAAGACAAGATCCTAACAAGCCCTGAAACACAGTGCTCACCATTGGCTTTAGTTCTCCAAGGAATCCTCACAGCCCCCATGGGCTTCCTTATCACATATTCTAGAAGGATAAAATCTGCCTGAAGAGTTTGCCCTTCACAACATCCCAGATCTCTTTGCTTCTCTTCCCCTAGCCATGCCCCTCCCCAGGTGTGCTTTCAGACAAGCTAGGGAACTGTGGTTCCCAAATTTCATGAGTTCCTTGAGAAAATTCACAAAGGAAATAAGATCTGTTGTTAATATGATAATTGTTGTTACTAGTGAAGTCAAGAAACCCCCTGGGGAATGCACATAGCAAATATGATCACCTACATCACCAGCCCCCTGTAATTCTGAAGAAAGAGACTTTATTTTACTTCCTGAGCTCAGAGCTACCTTTTATCCTGATGATTGGGGCAAATGGTCCCCAAACACCATTTACAAAGTGAGCAGAGATAAGAGGTAGGTGTGAATGGCAGCTGCGATGAACTGAGGAAGAGAGCCCAAGGTGTCAGGGATAGAATTTGGAGTAGGAAATGAAAGAAATCCTTTGAGAGCCCAAACAGCAGTGCTCCTGCCCTGCCTCTATCCCCCTCGTGTATAGATGAACTTCATGAGCTTTTAGAAGGGTCACCAAAAGTTTGGAATAGAAAGATTGACTTTTGTATCATTACCCCAGCTTGTGATATATATTTTGAGTGGTGATTTTATTTTTATTTTTTCCAATCCCAGTCTCAAAGGGTCAATCCAATACTTATTAGATGGACATCCCAGGGTTTACAATACAGTCAAGACCCATATGATGGGATTTGGATGGCAGAACCATTTTCTTTTGCAGTAAAATGTAATAAGAGAATCTGCAAGAAAGGGAGTTTAAAATTATATGTTTGCAGAAGTGAATGACTTTGCTGTGTCAGAACCACACAAGCCCCTGTTCCTTTAGAAGAACCAGGGCTCTCCCTTTCCAGAGTTTCTACAGAAAATCAGCAAGGATGTGGGGTAGGGAGATGGAGCTTATCTCTCAGCTGCTATCCTTACTAATGTGTGAAACCAGAAACTGATCCTTTGCTCAGAGCCAATAATGTCAGCAGAGAGGACTTGTAACAGAATCTGGTAGAACTAGGTGTGAATGCTGGTCTGCAACAACCAGGCTTTGAGAATGTGGACAAGTCATTTGACTTCTCTAAGCATCACTTTCCTCTTCTGTGAAATGGGAGGGGAGGGGGGAATCTTGTTTGGAAGGATATATGAGCTCATGAAGATATGGGGCTTGGCATGCAGTAGGCACTCAATAAATATCAGGTTCTACATTACTCTCCTCCTTCTTTCAAGTTAACTTAGAGAACTACACATAAGGGAGATGGATGGCAAGCCTTGGCATTGTGGATATAGCTGACTTGGACAAGGTGACTTGGGCAAGGCATTGTGGACACAAATGGACTCCACAGCCTGCTGGGGAATCAACCGTGCAGCCAATAAAGTGTATTATTGGAGCTGTATTCAAACTGCAGATAAGAGACAACGAAATGCTTAGGATAGGAAGTTTGGGCCTGTTTTGTTCATTAGGGCAGAGTTTTTCTTAATTATGAAAAAAATATATATCTAAAGACATTAAATATATGTAAAGAAAAAGAATCTTGTCTTTTTCACTGCTGTATCTGATACAACAGTATCTGATAAACAGTAGATACTCAACGCCTGTTAGATGCATGCATGGATGGATGGATAGATGCATGGGTGGGTTGATGCTTGGCTGGCTGGCTGACTGGATAGATGGATGAATGAATAAAGGTGTAGATGGATGCATGGGTGGATAGATGGCTGGCTGGCTGGCTGGCTGGCTGGCTGGCTGGCTGGATGGATGGATGGATGGATGGATCGATAAATGAATGAAGGTGTGAATGGATGCATGGGTGGATAGTTAGCTGGCTGGCTGGGTGACTGGCTGGCTGGCTGGATGAATGGATGGATGGCTCGTTGAAAGGTTGGCTGGCTGGCTGGTTGGATAAATGGGTGGATAGGTGAATGAATTCATGGGTAGATACATGGGTGGGTGGGTGGATGGATAGTCAGGAGGCATTTCAAAGAGAAGGTGAGAAGAGAATCAGCAAATAAACGCAGTGAAGGAAAGAAGAAGGAGGTCGAAAGATCATATGAAATTATCAAATTCCTGTACCTTCTCCAGCAATACAAATTATCATTTTAAAAAATGAAAACGTTTTTCTTAATCTAAAAGGTAACATATGGTGAGGTAGTTGATTCAAAAAATGAAAATTAAAAACCTTATATGAAATGTTATATAAAATATATTTGTTTTCTATAAAGGCCTGACTCACCATAGAGTCAAAAGTAAGCCCCAAGATATCATTAAGTCAAAGGCAAATATATTTATTTCAAAGCTCAAGGGCCTGATTACTAGAGATTACTTTCATTTTCATGCATTCCCAGGCAGAGGAAAGCAAGTGTTCCAGGACAATTGGGGTGAGGGCCATCCAAGGCTGGGGCAGGAAAGCAGGTAGGAGAGGGGGGCATGCAGGCAAGCCTGGGTTGATGGACCAGGAACAATCAATACTTATCCACAGAGCTCAACAAGTAAAAGAGGACATGACAATTTTCATGAATTCAAGCCAGCACGAAGGGTCATCTGATGATTTACCAAGATAAAATTCAAGACACTCTTTGAGGACCGAAATCTTCAAAGATCAATCTTCCCATGCTATGACCACAATGACCCCTCCAAATCGCCTCCAACACACATGGCTATTAATACATAATTAATAGCAATACCCGTACTTTTGCAGGGATTGAGGTGGGTGTGGGGAGGACATCTGTGTCCCTATGTGGCAAAGTCATTTGTCGCCTCAATCTTTATACATAAATTTGCACACACCCACACATCGACATAGAAACTAAGGCGATAAACATTTTACATACTGACTCCTGTTATTTAAAACTAGCATTTCAAATGGTTGCATTTAGCCCACTGAGTGAGCACAATTACTGGAAAGCCCATTTCCTTAGTGTCAGATATTAATTTCACCTTGTTTCCAACTATATATATCTATATCTATATATCTATATAGATATAGATATATCTACACATAAACCTTGGATTATATCCTGAAGAGTTCAAAAATGATATCACTAAGTCATGGTATAAGCTTGGTCAAAAAGTTTTCTAAAATTTGTTTTATATGAGGATCCTAGTTTTTTCACAGGCTCACTAATAGAAATTATTACTAAGCTTTACTCTTGGTAGTTTAAGAGAAAAAAATGATAATGGGTTAATTTCTAAAATAGTTATAGTCTAGAGAAAGGCATTACTACAGTGAAGTTTTAACAGAGTCCCAAAGTGCTTACGAAGCAGGCGAATGCGGTTGCAAGCCGGGGGTAATTAGTAAACACACACGCACTTCATGGGAGTTCTGCTTTGGCTGCAACGACGGGCAAGCCTTGAACTCCTTCTCCTTTCAAAGACTCTAATGCCACTTTGCCCTTTTTTCTGGGCATTAGTCCCTGTGGGAATTCCATGAGAAAGACTGGAAAGAAATGAGAGAGAGGGATTTCAAATATTTTCTTTGTCCAGCCCATAATAAGGATTATTCTAAATCTTTTGTCTAACACACAGAAGATATCATGACAGTTAATGAACAAGTTGATTGGTTAAATCATTCTAGTGGGGGCCTCCAATTCATTCCTAGTGAGCCTGTAATGTGTGTAAAAGATTAAAGCTGCATTTGAGGAAGGACCAAGATAGCAGATGGCTCAAAGGAGCCTCATTGATACTTTATTTTTATTACAGAAGTCATATGTTCTTATTTAAAAAATTTGGAAAAAAGAAAAAAGTAGGACAAAAACAACAGTCATCCTATAGCTTCACAATCCATAGCCAATATTTTGATAGATTTTCAAGTGAATATACATGAATTTTATAAACTTGAAATTAGACTGTGCATAGCTCTTTATCCTTTTTCCATTCAGTATAATAAACTTTTCTAATTTAAAAAATGCACTGAAAACTTATTTAATGGTTAAAGAATATTACCTAGAGTGAATGTATGATTATCCTCCTGTTAAGTATTTTACTTCTGAAATTTTATTTGATTTTGTTATTATTATTTCTTTCACTCAACATATATCTAACACATACCTGCCACGTAGGATAGACCGGGTCAACAAAATAATCATAGACCCCTGCCCTTCGGAAGAAAAATGTGAAGCAATTAAGACATACACATATTTAATCAAAGCTGTATAAATGCAATAAAAGAAGTGACCTTTAAGAGGAGACCTGAAGGCCATAGGATTTGATGGGGTCGGAATGGGAGTAAGAGTGTCGCAGATGAGGGGTATATGTATGCAAAAACCCAAGGCATTCTAGAAGGGGGCGGTGTGGCTGGCAGTAGGAAGTTTAGCATTGTGGGATCACCACAGTGGGAGGGGAGGAAAGCAGCTCTGCTTTCTATCCTAAGGGCATTGAAAAACTACTCAAACAGTGAGAAACACAGGATGCACTTTTACATTCTAAAGGAAAAGTTGTGTTAACACCAAGAACACTGGGGGACTGGATTCCTTAGACCTGACAAGCCTTTAATTAGCAGACAGTTTGCATTCAGACTTCACTGCTGGCCAGTCTGCCTGTCTGCACACTACTGGCCACATGTACAGTACAACAGGGAACGCATCCAATGGAAGACAAGCCCTGTCAGCTGCAGAGACTTGCAGAAGCTGTCCCTTCTCCTTTGGTGGGTTTCACCTATGTGGATGGAGGGATATGAGGCACAAAGATAGTAGGTGAACTCAAAACAAGATCAAATACCTGTCTCTTGATGTCCTCACCCAAGATTTGTCTCAGCCTGAAAATGAACGATTGGGCAACCTCAGCATGTAGAAAACAGGTTCAGTCTTGATCACATAGCTTTGCTAATGCTGCTCTGCTAAAGTGTCCTTTCTCTGTCTTGGGGCTACCTGCCTCACTCCTACTTATCTTACAGTCTCAGTTTAAGCCTGGCCTGCTACTGGAAGACTTCCCTTCTTGATAGCACATTTCTCCATCCCAGCACTTGCTATAGTCTATATAATAGTCCCTTGACCTATCTATGAGCTCCCGAGGGCTAGGTACAGAATATCTGCTCAATAACTTTTCGATGAATGAATGAATGAATGAACGAACAGTGGTCCCAACATCTCCAATTTAATTCTTGTTAGAAGCTGGGCAATGTGTATGTCCCTCCCCCAGGACAAGAATGGCACCACTGCTAACTGCCTATCCTGCCCTTGCCAGGGTGGTATGTCCCCTCAGAGTGGCTCACACTCAGCCCCTCCTCCTTCCTCTCCACATGTACTCTCAGAATCTCAGGATCTGTGCTTATTCTCTATGCAGCCCCTAGTGCTGGTGTGGTCGGCTGAATAATGGCTCCCAATGATATCAGGTACTATCCCTCGGAACAGGGACATGTTATCCTATTTGGTAAAAGGATCTTTGCTGATATGATAAAGTTGAGAATCTTAAAATGAAGAGATTATCCTGGATTCGCTGGTTGGAGACTAAATGCTATCACAAGTGTCCCTATATGAAAGAGGCAGAGGGAGATTTGACACAAACACACAGGCGATAACATGGAGATGGATGCAAAGTTTGGAGTACTGTGGCCACAAGCCAAGGAATGCTGTCAGCCACCAGAAACTGGAAGAGGCAGAAACAGATTCTCCCCGGAGCCTCCAGCACAGCCCTGTTGAAAGCTTGTTTTAGCCCACTGATACTGATTTTGAACTCCTGGCTTCCAGAACTGTGAGAGAAGAGATTTCTATTGTTCTACATCACCAAGTTTGTGGTAATTTGTTATAGCAGCCACAGGAAACCAATGCAGCTGGCTAGTGGATGGTTCTGAGGGTCCAGACACCCAGCATGTCATCCCAGCTCTGAAACTCTCTCTCTCAGAACTAGAATTCTCATCCAGGCTTCATCTCATTCACAGCTAACCCTGAGCAAGTCCCTTCTCTCTCTGGCCTTTTTTTCCCTAGCTGATAAGATGGGAGAGTAACAGTTCGCACCTGCAGAGTGGTTGGGAGGATTAAGAGGGACACATACATGCAATCCCTAGTATAATGACAGGCACACAGCAGTCGCTCCATGTAAATTACTTCTGTTCTCCCTTTTTTGTTATGCAAATAAGTGTCAGTGCTAACCTAGTGCTCACTATGTGCCAGTCACCAAGCTAAGCCTTCACTTGCAAGGGAAGTACTGGACAGCATTCCCAAGAGGGAAGCTGGATGGGTTAAATGTGGCCCTAAAAGAAAAGTGTTCTGTACTCCCTAGAAAGTGGAGATGTGATTTACTGGAAAGCTATAACGTCCTAGAAAGAAACACAAGCCAAAAAACAAAACAAAATACAATTAAAAAAAATAGAGATATTTTACTCTGCCAAGGGCACCTTTCCCATCCTTTTGTAACCAGCCAAGGATCTTTTCCCGGTAAGTGTGTCTTTCCCATAATACAGAGGTCAGGCTCAAACACTAAACACAGTTGAACATCCTCTCATTTCATCATCTTTACTCTCCGTGCCTTCCTTGAGAATTGACTTTTCTAGACCCACTGGTCTAAAATTTTTATTTTAAAAAAAGGCAAATTAAAGTACAAAGCTGCTGGTACCACCTGAAAATGTCAAGGTTAGAAAGGCAACAGCTTCTCCCCAGGAACTAATGCTTTTCTGTCTCATAGGAAATCTTGTGCATGCCTGGATCTTGGGCACTGGAGACCTGTCGCCACCAAGATCTGTCCTGCACCTGTAGGGGCCAATGGAGTAGGGGGCCTGGGGCCCTTCTCTGGCTCTTTATCCTGGTCCCTGCCAAGGCCTTAGTCTGGATGTGGGGATCACGCTCCTGACAGGGCAACTGGGGAAGAACAGGGGAAAGAAGATGATGAAAACGAGCAAGACTGGTGGAGAAGGAACATTGCATGGCTGCCCAGCTAAGTGAGGAGCATGGGAGGAATAATCTAGGTCTTTCTTCTGGAATCCCGGTCCAGACTGTCACCTGGGGGCATGCCTTGCTCTGAACCACTTCCACACTCCACCTTATGTCCAGACTGGGCTCCCACTCACACAGTATGCAGAGAAGGGGCAGGTGCAGGCTCCAGACTGCTGGGGGTTGAATCCTCGAACCACCACTAATGAACTGAGAGGCACAGGAAATATGTCTTAACCTTCCCTGCCTCAGCAGCCTCACCTGTAAAATATGGATAATAGAAAGAAGATGAGAGCCAGGCATGGTTGTGTGCACCTGTTGTCCCAGATACTCAGGAGGCTGAGGTGGAAGGACCGTTTCAGCCCAGGAAGTTGAGGCTGTAGTGAGCTATGATTGCACCAATGCACTCCAGCCTGGGTGACAGAATGAGGCCCTGTCTGTTAAAAAAAAAAAAAAAAAAAAGGAAAGAAAGAAAATGAGGAAAGTGTGGCTCAGGAAACCTGTAACACAGTCCTTCTTTATTCCTTCTTCTGCATTCTTTCTGCAAACACACTGGTAAGCCCAAGCCTCTGCCCTCATAGAGGTTACAGTGCTTGTAGGGGTAAGAAAATAAGACAATGAGAGTGTGAGGAAATGCACATTTTGCTGGCAGAGACAGGCCCAGGGGAAGGCCTTTACAAGCGAGGGTGCTGGACGGGTTAGCAATAGGTAGCAGCATATGCAAGGCCAGGAGGAGAGAAAGGCTCGTGGGTTCAAGGACAGAGCAGAGGTCAGAGTGCCTGGAGCAGTGGACTAGGTTGAGAACAGCACAAGGAAAGTCAAAGAGCTACCTCCCAGGCCAGGTCAGGCCTGAGTTGTTTAAGTTTTATTTTAATTGTGATGCTAAACCTACTTTGAGGGTTTTTATGCAGGGGAGTGAGGCTGTTATAGCCGTGTTATCGGAAGACCTCTCTGGATGCTGTGTGGAGACTGTACTAGCGTAGAGTGGAAACAGGACCCCTTTTAGATACGATTGACGTGGTTCAGGGAGAGATGACAATGGACTGGATCAGGGTGGTCCAATTTGAGATGGAGAGACGGATGGGTTCAAGGAGTACTGTGATATCTGATGTTCACTTGAGTGCTGCTTGGCACTGTACAAAGCACTGAGCATCCACTATTTTATATGCTCCTTCTGACAGCCATATGAAGTCAGTGCTCATGTTATCTCCAGGTGAGAAAATTAAGGACCAGAGAGGTTAGGTGATTTCCCTCAGACCACACAGTGAGTAAGTGGCAGAGGCAGGATCTGGACCAAGGCCATCCTGTTCCAGAGCCCATACACCACACTGCTCTTCCTTGAACAGGCCTGGACAATGGATGGGCTGAGGGTGGTGAGGGAGAGGAAAAATGAGACAGCTTCTAGGGTTTAGGCTTGAGGAACGGGGCTAATGGTGGTGCTGTTTACAGATGGGGATTAGCTGAGGGAGAGACTGGCTTGTCAGGGGCTGGGGGATCAAGAGCTCTGCTTTAGACATGTTGAGTTCCAGCCACTTTCGTCTGCTCTTCAGCCCTTTTCTGTCTCCACGGGGCAGTCAATAATGGGGGTGAAAGTGAGGGCAGGGCTGGTGGGGCAGAGAGAAGCAGGACAATTGTTCTCTGTCTACAGAACCTCCTTCCCCCAACACATGCAGCTATGAGCCTCCCAATGTCCTTTTATAAAAGGAGGTGTGATGGCAACATCTCCAGAAATGCAGCAAATGTTGAATGAGAAAAGCAAAGCAAGATTGTCTAAACACCTTTTGTTTGCCTTCAAGATTTCTCATAAGTTATCAATAGTTCTTGGGAGTGGCACACATGGGCATTTTCCACATCAAGACAGTGTAGGGAAAAAAAAAAAGAAGAGAGGAAGAGAATGAATGACAACACAAGGCTGCACTATGCTTCTGAATGCTGGAGGCGGGAATCCAATGCTATTTCAGGGACTGGGGTGGTATCATGGGAGAATCTCCATCCTTGGGGGCCCACTTGCTGAGTCAGGTCTTGGGAACAGGCTGATTGATCTATTTCAGTGTTTACTGAAGAGTCATTTGGCTCTGTAGGATGTTAATAAGCATTAACAAAGCAAAGATTCCTTGTCGCATAAGCTTGGGAAAAGCTGGCTTATTATAGCTTCTTTACTGCAGGACTTCTCAGAATCTTGAACTTGGGAATGCACACTGTGAACCTCCAAGAAGGAGGGGAATTTCCCAAATGTGTTTAATCACAGAACGCTTTTGTAGCCAAGCACTCCAAGGATGCTTGTTCCAGGAAACAGATTTTGGGAAATGTTCATCAAATTCGTTTCATTCTTACGGAAAGGCAATAGAACCATTACTCAGAATTGAATGTTGGAGGTTCCTGGATGTGCAGACTGGAAAACCAAGCCAGAAGCTTTGTAAGGAAGATCGAAGAATAGAGGCTGTGTAGTAAGGCTTGGGGCTGTGTGACCATAAGCCATTCTCAATCTTGGTTTCTCAACTGTCTGGTGAGAATGAGAATAACTTCCCTGTAGAATTCTTGGAGGATTAGTGGAGATAACTCACACTAAGGCCCCAAATGCAGGAGCCTAGAACACAACAGGCCTCTCTAGATCCTCCGAGGCCTCTGGCAGGCTCCTTGTAGCCCTGACTCTTGAGTGCATGATCCGTGCAGGTCAGATAGCCCTTCTGACCTCCTTGCTACACCAGCTTGCTTTTTTCCTTGGCAACAGTGCTCCCCAGGTAGCCCAATTCCCTGCCATTATCAGGCTTCTCAAGTGGTCAATCAAGGGTAGCCAAGTCCGGCCTGGAACTTCTAAACAAGTACCCCCTCAGGAAAGCAGTCTTTATAGCCAATGATGCAATTATGTCCCACAGCTCAAATGGCCTGGAAAAAAAAAAAAAATCCAGGAGGAAAGAACCAGTGTGCACAGCTTTCTAAATGCATCAGGTTTCTAAAATGCTCCAAGGCTCCTTGTCTGTTGTAACCATGGCTTCTGCAGTGGCTAACACACAGGACCTAGCCCTGTGTTTCAAGAGTCCCCAACGTTTGCTCACCACTCAAGCGTTCATTCAACCCGTTGACCGAATTGAGTTCATTAAACTCTGGACCGAATTTGGGGCCAGGTATTAGGGTGCAAATGAGCAGCCCATCTAGTGTGCAAGGTAGACAGTGAGTCAGTAAGCATTGGGATATTTGAATTGGATGGGTTCAAGGAGTACTGTGATATCCGACGTTCACTTGAGCGCTGTTTGGCACGGTACAAAGCTCTGAGCATTCACTATTTCATATGTTCCTCCTGACAGCCATATGAAGTCAGTACTCATGTTATCTCCAGGTGAGAAAATTGAGGACCAGAGAGGTTAGGTGATTTCCCTCAGACCACACAGTGAGTAAGTGGCAGAGGCAGGATCTGGACCAAGGCCGTCCTGTTCCAGAGCCCACACACCACACTGCTCTTCCTTGAACAGGCCTTGACAATGGACGGGCTATACACAAATTTCAATGACAACAAGAGGGTCCAGGCTTTGGTTCATTCCAAGGTGGGGTTTCAAACTAGGTCACATTTAGGGAGCATTTGGCACGTGCCAGATATGGTGGTAGAATATTTTTGCATAAATTATCTCAACTTAGACATAATTACAACACAATTTTCCGAAGGAGAAAATAGCAAATCAGATAGGTACAGGGAGTTGCCCAAGGACACACAGCTCATTAGGGGGAGGGCCAAGATTCAAATGTAACTCGTCTGGCCGGGCAGCCTTCAGCCAGCCACACCTGAGCCAAATCAACTGAGGGAATTGGCAGTGGCCGTGCCAGAGGGTTCTCTGGGGATTAGAGGTGGTGGTCTCTGTGAACACCCTTCCTTAACCTGGGGGCTTCAGACACATGCTCTTTTGTTCCTTCTGTCTTGTGTTTCTTTTCCTCTGCCTTGTGCAGGCTTCGCTTTCGGTGGAATGAAAGCCTCCTACTTATGTACATGCCACTCTCAGTCCAGAATTTAGTCAAAATGAGCAAACATGGAGTTCTCAAGAAAGTTTTTACCAGCATCTGCAATCCCCCATGCCCTGCAGAGATCAGCCTCAGGAACTCTACTGGCAGCAATCCTGGAATACTTCCTGAAGGAAGCCTCCTATGTGGCAGAATCCAAGCAATTATGAAGTCCAGAGCATCTTGTAAACATGGAGACCTGAGTCCTCAGTGAAGCAGGGAGAAGGGATGGAGGGTAGGGAGGGGGAGGAGGACACTGGGGAAGGGGTGCTACCGTGAGATTTGTTTCCCGAGAAGAGGCTGGGAGCCTCTTCTTCAAAGGCTCAGAGCTGGCTTCAAGCCTGAGAAATGAAACCACTCCTCTCTATGGGGAGAATCCTTGGAAGAATATTTATGAGACATTAAAACCACTGCCATCAACCCTTTAAAAAATTCCTGTACATGTAATTATGGGTCCAGGGATGAGATTCCTGGATATGGTATTAATTACTTCCCTGAAGCACACAGCCCCCAGGGGCTGCGAGCAGGCACGCTCTGCCTGTGGCCTCCTGGGTCTCCCTCTGCCCCTACAGACCCTTCCCTTCATGAGTGTGCTGTGGCTTCTCCAACTGCACCCTGGCCCCGCCATCCATCTTCTGCCTTTCTGCCCTGCTCTGTGCCCAGGAGGCTGGTCAAGTAGGTGTACCCTCTGAGTCCCCTTTCTGGCCACCCCTCACTGGCTTTGGCCAACAGAAAGCACTAGCAGGAGAGGGGAGGGCAGGAGGGGAAGAGCCTTGCCTCCGCCTTGCTTCAGTGCTGCCTAGCACTACAATGCCAGCTCCTGCCCACAGCAGCCTCTCCATCAGGCCTTGCTCTCTTTTGGCTTCAGAAATACCACTTTCTCTCCTTGCCTTGCCCCTTTAGACCTGGGTGGTTTGGTTCCACCCCCAGGTGCCCTCAACATCTCTTATTTGTTCCCTTAACCCTGACTGCTCCACTTCCACAAAACACTTCCTTCATTCAAGTCTCTTTATTTGGACCATCTGGGATGAATTCTATTTTCTGATGAGAATCTGACAAGAAGCAAATCAGGAAGGGAGCTGCGATATTTCAGGCCCATGGCCACAAACTCAGTAAGGAGTAAACCTGCTCAATCACCACCTCACTGGTGTGTCTTCATGTTCTGTGCCAGGTGTGGGTGCTGGAGATGCAAGCTGTGGGCCAGGGAGGGTGCTCATGGCCGGTGGGGAGCTCCTGATCCTGTTTCTCTCTCCTCTTGACCCCTCCCACTCCCCACTATATATACATGTGTTTCTATTTTTTTACTGTAGTCTAAAACAAAACACCACATTACTGACATCCTTGATCAACAAAATATTAGAATAATAGAGATTTTTCAATTCATCATTCATGCACCAAACCTGCCCTGCTTTCTGTGTGTCAAGCCTTGAACAAGAAACCACGGCACAGAAATGAATGTTCACATAAGGCACGTCCCTGCCCTTCAGCACTGCCAGAATATTGAGCCCCATATTTCTATGAAGCAACCAAGGAAACCTTCTGCACTAGAATCAAGATAACCTGCCCCCCCTTCCTTTCTTCCCCATGGGTTCATCTGCTAGAACACAGCTAACCAGCCAGCCAGCCAAATAGCCAGCCAGACAGACAGGCACACATGCCAGCCTGATGACCAGGAATTTCATTCAGTGCCACAGCAGTGTTAATTTACAGTGTTTTAGACCCAGCTTGTGGAGGAATGAATAGAAACTGAACATAGCAGAGGGCCTGAATCCATACAATTCCTTCATTTTCCTCAATAGGACCTAATCAGTATTTCTTTTGCGAAATGAAGAGTAACATTGATAGTAATAACACGATGCTGTGCAGGCATGCTTCTTGTTTTCATTCAACAACAGTCATGGAGCACCTGGTCTGCGTCCAGCCTCGCACTTGATCTGTGGGCTTCAGAGCATCCCCATTTGGTGTCCTTCCCTCCAGTCAGGGACACCCACTTCCCCATGCTGCTCATCATCCTCACCCCTCTGCTGACCGTGCCAGATTCTGAGCTCCTGGTCTGAGATGCGGGGGGGTTGAATTTCAGTCCCAGTCTATCACTGACTCACCTGCTGTATGAACATGCACAAACTACTTCTTCCTTCTGACTCTCGGATTTCCCACCTGCACAGTGAGGCATTAAAATGGATGGTCAGCTTAACAATAACCCACAAAACTCGGAGCACGCAGTGGCTCACGCCTGTAATCCCAGCACTTTGGGAGGCTGAGGTGGGCAAATCACTTGAGGTCAGGAGTTCAAGACCAGCCTGGCCAACATGATGAAACCCTGTCTCTACTAAAAATATAAAAATTAGCTGGGAGTAGTGGCAGGTGCCTATAATCCAAGCTACTCGGGAGGCTAAGGCAGGAGAATCTCTTAAACCCAGGAGGCAGAAGTTGCAGTGAGCCGAGATGGCACCACTGCACTCCAGCCTGGGCAACAGAGCAAGACTCCGTCTCAAAAAATAAAATTAAAATAAAATAAAATAAAATAAAATAAAATAAAATAAAATGGATGGTCAGGAGCCACCCTTTCATGAAAAATCACTGCACATTCTAAAGCCTGTGGTCACCGAGCAATGATGTGGGCTGCACAACATAGGGTTGCAGCCCAAAGTGGCATTGGAGAGAAAGAAAGGCTAGTTCCATGAGAGTGAATTAACTCTCTCTAGGCCAGTGGCTTTCACCTTGGATCCACGTTATAAACACCTAAAGGGCTTTTAAGAATCCAGATGCCCAGATTGCTGCCAAGACCAATCAAATCAGAACCTCTGGGGCTGTCACCCAAGCATCAGTATTTTTTTCAAAGTTCCCTTCATGGTGTGCAGCCAAGATTGAGAACCACTAATCTAAGTTCACTGTCAACATTTTGGGTAATTTCCACCAGATGGTCAATAATGTTCATTCAGATCACATATTTTAGATCGGGAGATTTTTCAATCATAGAAGACTGAAAGAAGCTAGGTTATTAAACCCTCTATTTGTGCCTCATCTACAAAAAAGTAATCCCCTGTTAAGATGAGAGTATATATGGATTAACTTCTATAATCAAAAATGCAATTAATTACCCAGTTAGAACAAGATTTTGAAGAGCGAATAATGCCTAATTACAAATTATGTACCCTCATTAAAATCTAACTGTTACAAATTCTTATTCAAAAAATAACCCCTTTTCTAAAGTAAATTTGCTTTACTTTACAGCTATAGAAAATATAGAAAGATTTGTGAGATTTATCCATGTTATTCCATGAAAAACATATTTTTCCCCTATCCTTTGGGAATCCCCAGAGCTTTTCAAAGGTCCTGGTTCACAGTTTCAGCCTGTTGGCAGCACTTTTCCTAACACCATCTCTCTTAGTCTGTGGACACAGGATCCCTGTGCCCCTCCTCCCTCCAAGTTACCACACACCTGCACCCTCCAAACCCCACTTGCCATTTGAGACTTTGAGTACCTGTTGTGTCTCTATTAAACAGCACAGAACAATCCCCCTCAAAAAAACAGCATATTATGTTCTTTCATCCTTAGATTGTTCCAAAATCATTTACTCAAATTCTTTCTATTATAGAATAATGAAAAGAAGATACACTTTAGAATCAGATAGCCCTGGCCTGAAACTTTAACTGCAGGAGTCCAGAAGCAGACCCACAAATGATCAGCCACCTGATCTATGGCAAAGGTGACCCTGTGGTACCGTGGGGAAAGAGTGGTCTTTACAATAGACGTTGTTAGGTCTATTGGTTATCCATATGCAAAACAATGAACCTTGATCACGATTTCATACTTCACACAAAAATCAATTCCAAATGGGCCACAAACCTAAATCTAAATGGTAAAACAATAAAGATTTTGCAAGAAAATGTAGAATGTCTTCTTGACCTTGCAGCAGGCAAAGCTTTCTTAAACAAGACATAAAATGTGCTAATCAAAAAGGAAAAAGGTTAATAAACTGAATTTCATTAAAATTAGGAACTTATCTTCACCAAATGACACCACTGAGATAATAAAAAGGCCACAGAATGGGAGAAGATATTAACAATATCTGGCAAATGACTGATGCCAGAATATATAAAGAATTCCCACAAATAATTAAGAAAAAAGCAGACAACCTGATCTGGAAAAAAGACTTGAACAGGCATTTCACAAAAGAAGACATCCAAATGGCCAGTAAACACATGAAAAGGTGCCCTATTTCAGTAGATACTAGGGAAGTGCAAGTTAAACCATAATGAGACACAACCATACAACCACCAGAATAGCTAAAATGAACACGGCCGTTGAGTTCATTTTTTTTTTTTTAAGTGAGCAAAAAAATTTTTTTTTATTTTTTTAGTGAGCAAAAATATCAGAACTCTCATGCACTTCTGGGTATTTGCTACAATCACTTTGGAAAATTGGCAGTACTTACTAAATCAGAACAGATACATATCCTATAACCCAGAAACTCCACCCCAAGACCAAATTAGTACCAAAAGACATGCATAAGAATGTTCACCGAAGCACCATTTGTAACAGCCCCAAACTAGAAAGTAACCGAATGTCCAGCAAGAGCAGAGTGAATAAATAGATTATGTATACTCACAAACGGCAATACTATGCAGCAATGAAATGAATAAACTCCGACTCTATGGAGCAACGTGGATAAATCTCACAAACACAATGTTGAGTAAAAGGAGCAGACAAAAAAGAGTATATGCTCTGTGACTCCATATACATTAAATTATAAAATGGGCCAACCAAATCTATAGTATTCTAAGTCTGGATAGCAGTTAACTTTGCAAGAAGTAAGGGGAAAGATAGAGACTGGGAGGGGGGATCACATTCTATTTCATGTTCTATTTAAAGTTCTGGTTACATTGGTATGTTAATTTTATGAAAAATCCACTGAGCTATACACTTAGGAGTTGGGCAGTTTTCTTTATGCTATATTATGTCCATAAAAAGTTTATACACACAAACTTGGCTGTTCCACCTTTTAACTGTGTATGACCTTGGGCAAGGCATTTAATCTACCCAGCATTGTTTCCTCTTCTGTAATAGTTGGAAGTATAATACCACATATATTGCAAGGTTGTTGCAGGATGACAGTGGGGGAAGCTTGTACCCACACTTACATATGGAACACACATAGCATGTACTTCATAAATGAGTTTCACTTCCCTTCCCTTCCCTTCCCTACCCTATTGAAACTCTCTAATATCCTCTTATGACCTGAGACCTAGTCTCTTCCCCTTATGAACATTAGAAAATAAACAAACAGGCTGGGTGTGGTGGCTCATGCCTGTAATCCCAGCACTTTGGGAGGCCAAGGCAGGTGGATCACTTAAGCCCAGGAGTTCGAGACCAGCCCGGGCAACATGGTGAAACTCCATCTCTAGAAATAATACAAAAATTAGCCAGGTGTGGTGGCATGTGCTTGTGG
The DNA here is from genome assembly GCF_000001405.40 of Homo sapiens. Taxonomy (NCBI): domain Eukaryota; kingdom Metazoa; phylum Chordata; class Mammalia; order Primates; family Hominidae; genus Homo; species Homo sapiens. Next base: position 79,387,886 of record NC_000011.10, read on the forward strand.
TCCCAGCTCCTTGTGTGGCTGAGGTGGAAGGATTGCTTGAGCCCAAGAGGCTGGGGCTGCAGTCAGCCATGATCATGCCTGGGTGACAATAAGACCCTGTCTCAGAAAATAAAACAAAATAAACAAAGAAACTCAAAACTTGAATAAACAGAAGATGTTTTGAGTGTGAAAGGTGGTACAGGGCCTTTCACAAATAGTCTTGAAATGTTCTGGGAGTTTCTATATGGAAGGAGACAGTTGCCACCTTCACTGAGGTTAGAGCCAGGCCTGGGCCCCAGCAACAGAGATGTGAGTTCAACACAAGGATCGACCCCAGAGCAAGGCTGGTTCAGAAACAGTGACAGTGGGGACTGCACTAAAATTACAGAAAGAATGCAGTGGGATGCTGCATGCCAATATAGCAACCATACTTTCTTTCCTTTTAACCACACAGGGACTCAGTTTTTCAGCAGCAAAATTCTTCACAGACCAAAAACAAAACAAAACAAAAAACCAAAAAATTCAAGGGAAACCACTTTGTTGCTTTACAAGTGCCAAGTCACAATGTGAGAAAATGCAAGTTACAGAAAACATGAGATTCCCAGAAAATAAACTGGTGATTATTGTACCAGGAATAGGAAACAAACCACTGCCTGCCATACCTTCATTCCCACCCCCACTAGATCTGGCTCCTTTGGGCGTAAGAGTGGGGCCTCGTGCACACAGGCAGGAGTTCCTCCCAGGCTACTTAGTTTGTGCCTAATCCCTTTATTCCTCTGGCAAATGTTTACTGAGCACCACTCGATGGGATGCCAGCTATAAAGCATCCAAGAAGAATGAGATGTGGCCACTGCCCTCATGGAGCTCACAGTCATGGAGGGTTCCAAGAGGTAAATGAGCAATTCCATGCACAGTGTGGCATGCTAAAGCATGACAAAATACAAGTGACTCCAAAACTGGAGAGGAGAGGGCATCTTCCTGGAGAAGAGGAGGACACCGGAGCTAAAGCTTAATGGAGGAAAACTGGGATGTGTGCATTCCCAGAGGGAACAGTGTGAGCCAAACCCAGAAATAAGAAAGTACCACTTGGTGTTACTGGACAAAGGCTGGACACAAGAAGAGCCAGGAAAAGAGGTTGGAGAGGTTGGCAGCACCAGATCAGGGAAGGTTCTTGGCCTCTGTCCTGTAGGCCAGCAGTGCTCAGTACTGGCTGCAGGTCAGAATTATGAAGCATCTTTCAAATCATACTGATATCTTGCCCTCATGCCCAGAGACGAGTGGGGTTTTTTTAGTCTGTTTGTTTGTTTGTTTGAGAAGGTCTCACTCCATCCCCCAGGCTGGAGTGCAGTGGTAAAATCATGGCTCACTGCAGCCTTGACTTCCTGGGTTCAAGCCATCCTCCTGCCTCAGTCTCCTGAGTAGCTGAGATTATAGGCATGTGCCACCACGCTTGACTAATTTTTAATTTTTTTTTGTAGACAAGGGTCTTGCTATGTTGACCAGTCTGGTTTCAAACTCCTGGCCTCAAGCAATCCTTCTGCCTTGGCCTCCCAAAATGCTGGGATTACAGGTGTGAGCCACTGTGCCCAGCACAGAGATAAGTGTTTAATGGGCCTAGGCCCCGAGTCCCATCATCAGTGTTTCTTAGAAGCACCCTAGGTGATTCCAGCATGCAGCCAATGTTGAGAAGCATTGCTATAGTCCAGGCATCTGCAAACTATGGGCCTCAGGCCAAATCCATTTCTGTATGGCCTGAGAACTAAGAATGGTTTTTACAGATCAATATTTGCAATCAATTTCATTGTAGGGAGCATGAACTCCAATTAAGCAAACTCCAATTTGAACTCCAATTAGGCAAAATGTTATCCCCCACAAAAAGAAGTTCCATTTCTCCCATCAGTAGACCTGTGTCACAAAAAAGTACTCAATTATTATTATATTTTGAATGTCATCAATACAGATTTGTGAAATGTGTTTTCTCTCTTATTAGGTAAGTACTCACATAGTAGACTCAATTTCACCCCTTGGATTGTAAAGCCTAAAATATTTACTACCTGGCCCTTTCCAGAAAACGTTTGCTGACTCCTGCTATAGTTGATGGAAAAGTAACATGGTGGGTTTTTGTTAAGAGGAGGACTCTGGCAGCTGTGTGGGGATAGATTTGAGGAAGAGAGACTGGGGACAGGGAGGCCAGGGAAGCAGCCATCGTTTAGTCTTGGCTTGGGCAGGTGAGGCCTAATACAGAGCAGTGGAATGAAGGTGGGGTGGGAAATGCAGACCTCAGAGGTTAAAGGAAGAGGAAATAGTGCAGGGCTTGGCAGCCAATGGGCATAGGAGGTCAGGGCAAGAGAGGGGTCCAGGAGACCTTCTTGGGACCACCAAAGACCAGACAGAGCCACCAGCACCATCCCTTCCTTGTCTTGGGGGAGGGGTACTCCAAGGCCTGTGCCAGCACAGTTAATGGGAAAGGGCTAGAGTCCCTTCCCCTTCTGCTCTTCTTCCAAAAGACGCCATTTGCTCTCTACAGTACTTGGATATAGTTCCCTTCCTGGCACCTCTGTGCATAGACAAGAGAACAGAAAGAACCAAATTGTGCTTTAATATCCTTTAGCTCCCTGAATCACAAGTATCACCCACTATAACAGTCAGGGCAGGTACTGCTATCCTCATTTTTCAGAAGCTGGGGCCCACAGAGAAAGTGAAACTAACCAAGAATACAGGGTCAGGAAAGAGAGGCCGATTCAGAGTCTTTCTAGTCCTCCTCAACATGCTGGCATATAACCTAGAGATCGGTCTGGCTCCAGCTGTTCTCAGAATGCCACATTAGTCCCTGGGCTTCCATGTAAGCTCCTGAAGGCCAGTATCTGTGACCTCACTCCAAGATCCTTGGCTCCAGGCCAATGTGTCCTGGGTTTGAATCCTGCCCCACATGTCCTCCACTGCTGAGCCTCAGGTCCTTCACCTGGGAAGTGGGGGATGAAACTCTACTTTATATAGTTATTTAGAGGCTTAAGTAGAATAATACAAAGAGCTGAGTATAGAGCCTAGCACACAGTATGTATTCAATAATGCATATTATTTTATTAAGGAGGTTCATTCTTGCCAGTCTAACTCTTGTTTGCTTGAGCCTGGCTTTAGTGGACATGGTTTTTACATAAGAGGCAGCGTCATTAAAAGTGTGAACTCAGAAGCCAAAATGCTGGGGTGCCAAGCCCGGCTCTGCCACTTACTATGTGAACTTGGGGGAGTCATTTCTAAAAATAGTTGCCACCTGATAGTGTAGTCATGAAAATTCAGTGAGTTAAAATATGTAGGGCATTTGGAACAATGCCTGGCAATAGTAAGAGTTCTACAAGGGTGAGCTATTGCTATTGTTTTATAGTTCCTTTTTTTTTTCCATCATAATTTCAACAGTAGGCCAGTTCCTGGGACCCAACAGACCTTGTGCCAACAGTGAGCCTGCAGATGCATTTACTCACCCAATGTTTCTCAGTTCCTTCCTCAGGGCCTGATCTGTGCTAGCCTGTGGGATGCCAAGTGGAACCAGGCTCCCCTAGGGTACCTGAGGTCCACATGTCTTTGGGAACTACTGAAAATTGATTTATGCAGTCTCATACAGGCAATCTTCATCTCTCTATGAATTTATATAGTAAAGTAGCAAATATTAATCAGAGAGCCACAGGCCCTTATCAATCCTGACACTCAAAAAATTCTAAAACCAAAAGGTTGGGTTTTTTTTATAACTCATTGGGTGAAAAACCTGACATGAAGTAATGTGAAGCTATTTACTGTCTTTATCTTTCCTACTTAGTGTGTACAATCATACATTTTGCTGCAGAGAAATTAATGGCTTTGATTATGGAGCACAGCCTCAGACGTATCACATAATATACAGTATATGCACCCTATTTCCTTTCAAAAATCTAAAAACAAACCAAATTCTGAAACACACCTCACCCCAAGGGCTTTCAATGATGGACTGTGGACATGCATTTATTATTTCTATGGGACAGCTGTGAGCACTCCTATTGTTCCCCTCCACCAAAAGATACAGAAAATTGGTTTGGCATAGCCAAATGATTTTTTATTTCCCTTTGAAAAAAAAATCAATATATTATTGGGATCCAAGAAATAAAATTGGCTTTCCTCTTTCATGCAGTTGATATTACAGAAAACATTTACTTATAACCAACACAGACTCCATCAGCCTGTTCTCAGACAGAAAAATCCAGTTCTGAGGTCAAGGACAGCCAACATCCACAGTGGCTTAGCCCCAGGAACTCTGAAGGATGGGTTTGGAGATGGAGCTGGGTCTCAGAGCGGAAACCTTAATCCCCTGTCTTACATCCCAAGATAACCCTTTCCTTATGATGTTTGCTCACAGGGAAGTTCTGGGCAGAAACAGAAGACATGAGCTGAAGCTGAGCAGGAGAGAACATATTGTGAACTTGGAGGCAGAGGGAGCAAGGGAAATGGAACAGTTACTTCATTGGCTAATTAGGAGATACGCACGTTGTGAATTGCTGATGGCCTTGGGGCATTGAAGTGACAGGTTACATTAGCAGCCAGGATGGCTGGGTTGCTTGCTAGTGAAAGTCCCTTTAGAAAAGGAAAGTCGCAGGGAGAATATACACCCACATGTTTCTTTGTGTGCTCCTGGATCACAAGGATTTGGGGTAAGGAAACCAGGATATAGGCAATCAACCACAGGTCCCGGCTTCCCAGATTGGGCTGCCTGGGCCCTGCCCCTTCTGTCCTGCATCGCTGTGACACAGCAGGGATAAATAGGTCCTGGGAAACAGGTGTCCTAATCTCTGCTATCTACTTGCTGTGCAACTCTGGGCAAGCTACAGAGCCCCTCTGAATGTCATCTTCCAGACTTATAAAGCATGACGTAGGGTTTAAGGTCTTCCTAAACATGTTTTCTTTCTTGGGCTGCTTCAGTCACCCATCCTGACCTTTGTCTCTCCCTTTCTCTCCGTTTGACCAAAATGACACATGAATTTCCCAGCATGTTAACATTCCGAAGGGACAGAGTGATCCACATACAGCAAGGGAGTGAAGACACAACTAAGAATTTAGTGAGAAATCCATTTTGGCTCCTATCTTGGACACCAAATATTGAGCACTATCAGGCCCTAGTGTCATTTCCCAAACCCCCCACAGTGCCTGATAACTCCCCTTTTCGTGCCTCTTCTGCACCCTCCAGGCTCCTAACCTCTTTTCCTTGTAGCTATTTTTCTGTCACGGTTTTCCCTTCTTTCCACTCTGAAATCCAGCTACAGTCAACTGAGTGCTTACTGTATGCCAGGTAGATTACTGGGTTTAGACCTCAAAACAGCCTTGTGGAATATAAGAGGAGTCTCAGAGATCCTCCTGTTAAAAAAGAAGAGGCTCCGAGATCAAGAAATTTGCCCAAAACTACATGACTGGCAGCTGGTGGAAGCGATATTCAAACTCAGCTCGTTGGGCAAGTTCCTAGACAGATATCTCTCTGGGTCTCCGTTTCCTCATCTTCACACTAAGTTAATCCTAGCACCTTCACAGGATGCTTTTAAAGACAAAATGGGACAACAGCAAAGCCATCCTTCAGTCCTCAGTGGCTGTCAGAGTGGCTTCTTATAGCCTAACAAGGGGCAAAAGCACACCTGCTGTTTCCCACTTCTGAAGTCTTAAACTGATGGGACTGCGTCAGCCCTCTGGTCAGCTCCTTTATTTTAACAATGGCAAATGAGATTGAAATGCAAAAAAGGCAGGCTGAGGAAACAGGGATTTCAGAAAGCTTGCCCAGAGGAGCAGAGGCGGGCACTCCACGATGCATATGGGCACCACTGAAGAGCCAAGTCTTACTGAAGGGACTCGGTGTGTTTCACAATTTGTGTCATACACAAATGTGAGGGTGTGTTCCAATAGGTGGTGCTGCCAGAGGATGCAGTGCGTGCTACAGTCAGCAGGAGTCTGGACTTTGCCCTGGGGCCATCGGAGACACGGGGGAGTGAGGAGCAGATGGCTGTCTGGCTCTGGCAGTGGGGGGTTGGAGGATGCATCAGAGTAAGAACAGGCCTGGAGGAAGAGGGTGACACTGAAGGAGGGAGGGGAGCAGACGAGAGGGGAGAAGAAGCCTTGGCAGGGGCCTCAGGCTTGTTCTCTGAAAGGAAGAAAGTGAGAATTGAACCCTGGCTCCCCGCAGCTTGGAATGAGGTACAGTGAATTCAACACCTCACCTGCGGAAATGCCCACAGACTCACTAAACCCTAGTTCTCTCAAAATTTGGCTTACACTCTCTGACATGTTCAGTAAAAGTCATTGTTTGCTACCCTTGAAGGTTCTCTCCAGAGCAAGGGTGAGCTTCTGAATGCAATTCAAGCCAACAAGTATTTACAGAGCACCTGGTTCTCCTCAAGCATCCTGTGAGCCCTGTGGGGATGTGAGGAGGGTGGCATGCCTACCCCCGCATCCCAGCAGCTCCCAAGGTCAGAAGCACAAGGGGAGAGAACAATATATGAGTTGGAAGTCCCAGCTTCAGGTCCTCCTCCTTCTGTCACTTCTACACTGTATAATTTTGAGCAAATCACTTTTTGAACCTCAGTTTCAGAATATATAATAGGGCTGATTATGCCAGCTACCCTTAGGGTTAGTGTGAGAATTTAATGCAATCATCACTGTCGCATGACCCATAAAACACCATATAGAGGTATTATTTTGTTTAACACTAATATGTGATAACGAACTACTGAGAGTTGAATCATGTTCCTCCAAAAGCTATATTGAAATCCTAATTTCTGGTACCTGTGGATACAACCTTATTTAGAAACAAGGTCTTTGTGAATGTAATCAAGATGTAAGTTAAGGTGTAGTCCTGATGGAATAGGGTAGGCCCTTCATCCAGTATGACTGATGTCCTTATAGGAAGAGGAGGAGACACAAGCAGGCACACAGAGTGGGGAAACCACCCTGTGAAGACATGAAGATATAGAGAGAAGATAGCCATGTGAGGGCGGAGGCAGAGACTGGACTTATCAGCTGCAAGCCAAGGAGCACCAAGGAGTGTCACAATCACCAGAAGCCAGGAACCAGACAGAGGCATGGAACAGATTCCACCCCTGGAGCCCCCAAGAAGGAGCCAACATTGCCAACACCTGGATTTCAGACTTCTAGCTTCCAGAACTGTGAGAAAATAAATTTCTGTTGTTTTAAACCATTCCATTTGTGGTACTTTGCAATGGCAGCTGTAGGAAGCTAATATGCCAATCAAGACAGGGAGAAGGTGCCCAAACAGATGAGCCAAGTGTTGCAACACAGAGAAAAAAACAACTAATTCCTCCCTGAATTCCTACATCTCCTGCCATCTCTTCACATCAGCTATTTTCCTTCCAGTCCCTTGCTGTCAGCAAGACGCCTCTGGAAATGATCTGTATAGGTACCAACCATCGTTATCTAAAATTGACACATCAGGTGATAGTTGAGTGCCTACTATATTCCAGGGCCAGGCATTGAGGATCCAGGGGTGAATCACACAGACTCCATTCCTAACTGCACAGAGTTCACAGTCTAGATGGAGGATACTTTGGACAAGAACTTGCCACCAGGAACACATTCCTGAAGAGGACCGGGCATACAGGGTGCTCTGAGGAAATGCAGCAAGAGGATAAAACATGACCCACTCAATCGGTCACCAGCTCCGTGTTGTTGTTGACAAATTCGCCCAAGTTCCAAAAGGCCACAGGCATCGGATTACTCAGCCCAGGGGCTTTCTATGGCTCCCAGAAGGTATAGCATCAGGTCCTACCTCTTGGATTTTACTCAGAATTCCCCTCAATCCTCTCTGGACATTTACTGCCCACTCCTCTTTTAGAAACACTTTCATACTCACTCCAATAACTGGATAACACAGGCCTTGGGGGGATTTTGAGTTTGAATCCTGGCTCTGCTTTATGGCCTTTAATATCCGTGAATATTTATCAGAGGCCTGTTCTGGAACTCTGTACTCAGGATACAGAGATAAGTAAGACATATTTGTCCCTGTTCTTGAGCAGCCAAAGAGCTAGTTGGAGCTCCTTGGCCTCAGTTTACTCATCTGTAAAATGGAGGCAATAATATTAGTCTTAGTTTATAGTTGGTAGGCATACCAAGTGTCTAGCTCTCAGCAGGTGTGCAACAAACATCAAGTCCTCATGCATTTATTTTCCTGGATGCACCTTTGCTCAGACCTTCCCCCTGCCTATGTTCTTCCCATCCATCTCTAGTACTTCATGGCCAACACATTTTTAAGACTCAGATGAAAGCTTGATCCTTCTGTAAGCTTTTCTTGACCAGCCTAATGGCTTCTTAGAATTCCAACCACTCCAACTGTATGAGTCTTAATATTCTCCCCCACTGTATGGTCCAATTAGGCATTTTTTAAATTTGTGTCTTACCCCATCCTAGCTTCTTATCTCTCATGGTTCTTTGTATCATGCTTTATATCTAGTTCTTGTTCAAGGAGTAGCTATAGATTGGTTTGCTAATTACTTTATTATTGCAAGTCCCAGAAAGTAGGAGGTAAAAATATCACACAAAATTGGGCCATTCAGGGTTCAGTCCCTCCTAAAAGTTGAGACAACAGGACCATTCTTAATAGAAGCCCTGTGATCCCCAGACCTAAATGGTCACTTCTGCCTTCCTGGCTCCCAAAGCAGCCCAACTGTTCATACCTTTGCAGGGACCCCTTCCACCCCAGGGCAAGGAAATGGCTGCCAAATTGCAGCCATAATTGGGAGGCCGGCAAAGGAATGGCTAGAGGCATAATAGCGCTCCAGCGGCCAAGCCAAAGCGTCCACTTCCCTTTCTTTTGTATGACGCATGCATGGTTCTCCCCTCTAACCTTCAGGCATGGTGGCCACTGGGTCTCCCAAGACCTCTCTCCTCTCTGGTTCACACTCCATAGGACCATTTAGTCTCTCAGGGGCAGAGAAAATAGAGTGGCTTGAATAGCTTTATGAGTCACAACCAAAGCCAAGAAAGACAGAATCAAATGAAAATACTGTCTGAGTCGGTTTGCCAAGGCAAAGGTTGAGGGAGCCTGGGCTGCTGTCATTGATACAAGGGACTCTGCCTTTCATTTCCTCTTTGAGTTTCTCCTGAGCACTGTGTCAAGGGGGCTTCAGAACCCAGTCAAGGACGCAGGTGCAGGGACTCTATAGGTCAGATGGCAGACCTCTGGGCCTCAGAAGAGGAAGTCACAGAATTTGGCTTGACGTGTTAGGGCAGAACACTCAAAGGGATGAGATTCAAGGAAAAGCAGGAGCTAAGAAGGAAAAGGCCATTCCAGCTAGTCATGGCTGAGGACAGAAAATTCATGGTAGCCCACTATGTACCAGGCAGTGTTCTCATTGATTTTTATACATCATTTTATTTCATCCTCAACATAGCCCCATAGTTATAGGTATTACTGTTATTAACATCCCCATTTTGTAAGTAAAGAAACTGAAGCCCAGGGGACTGAGTAACTGGAACAAAGCTGGAAAACCAGTAAGCCACAGAGTCAGGATTCTAACCCAGTTCTGAGTGACTCAAAGCCTGCCCCCTCCAACTATGTGCTACATGGCTACCCAGGAACCCCAAAGATGTGTCACTCCTGCTTCTTCTCCGGATACCATTTCCTGAGTTAACTGGCTATCTCCAAATTTTTGGCATCTGAATAATTCCTTTACAGGCCAGAGGTAACTGCCACTCATGGTCAAAAAGGAAGGATACCCCAGCAACCAGATACAGAATAAGAGTAAGTAGAGAATGCAAAGGGTTAGGAGGCTTTGTGAGCCAGGAAGGCAAAAGCCAGGAAGGGCACTCAGGTCTGGGGGATCACAGTACTTCTATTGGCAATGTTTCTCTTATCTCAGAATTTTTAGGGAGGGCTGGCTGCTGAGTGGCCCAAAACTTAGGGCAGTTTGTATGATTTTTCCCCCTCCTTTCTTCTGGGGCTTGTGAGCAATCAGCAAACCAGTCCACAGATACTGTCAAATAGAGGTTGCATGGTAGAAAGTTAGAAGGAAAACAGTCTGGAAATGCCAGCTCTGTCACCATGCAAGGCCCATTTATATGAGTTTTCTCATTAAATTTGTGTGACATCCTTGCACAAAAGACTATCATTCCCAGCGAGGAAAAATTAAGGTTCAGAAAGATTATTTTTTAAATGAATGAATTTACATATGTGTGCTTGTTTGTATTTATCCCAATTTGTGCAAGACAAATTATAAGGAATCCAGTGCAGACAGAAGGTAGAAAATGCAGCATCGGCCCAAGTTTGCTACACATTCTGTGCTTTACTTTTTTTTTCCTATGCTTTGCAACTCCCCACCTCATGTGTCCTTTAATCTAGGACAACCCCCAGCACCATGAGTTCAAAATAGAATCCAATAAGAAGAGGCTCAATTTACCTGTGAATCTTCAGGAGCAGCAGACAAGTAGGGGTGGGCGCATCTCACCTGGCTCAGTGGTCAGGTGCTTTTAACAGTCAGCAATGTTCATCCAGCCTTACCTCTCAGGGTCCTGAGAGAGAGCTGGGCTGTGGGCCACTGCAACTTACAAACTGCATGACCCTGGGCAGACCATCTAACCTCTCTATGCTTTGGTTTTCTCATCTATTCACATTATGGAAATACTAACAGTGGTAGCTCCTCTTCACTGAGTGCGGACAGGAATATAAACCACTTGTAATCAGAAACTGCTGCACAAACAAGTGGCTTAGTTTTAGTCCTACCTGGGTTAGGCTACTAAATAGTATGGACCCAATAGAACTTAACATGATCAGGGATGATCACAGAATATATTCAACTGTATTCAATAAATATATTTTGAGTACCTGGCCCTGTGATAGAAGATAGTCAGATGCTTTAAAAAAAAAAAAAAAAAAAAAAGAGTGCCACAGTGTGTTAGGTTCTAAACTGAGGAGATGGAAGACAGATAAGGTATGCTGGGGGCCCAAGTAGAGGCTGGTAGAGTGGACCTAGGGCAGATGGGAAAGCACTGCCTGCCCTCGAGGGGACACTGGAACTGAGGCTTGAAGAATAGGTAGGAATTGGCTAAGTGGACACAGTGAATGCATTCCAAGCAGAAGGAACAGCACAGCCGAGGCACAGAGGCCTGAGCAGGATGGTGTGCAGAGGGAAGTGTGCTAGGCCTGGCTGCCATGCTTCATTACAAAAGAACAGGATTTATTCAGCAGGGAGATGTCACTGTAACTACCCTGTATCATGACTTTCCATAGGCAGAAACATAAAGACAGCCCCAGATCTCACCCACCCAAATGATTCCCAGCATTTTTTGTGCCATTTCTCACTCTGATTAGCGAGCAATTTCCTGAAGGCAAGCCAGTCCACCAGGCACAGAATATGAGTTCCAACTCTTTCAATGAGCAGAAATCTACTGGTTCCATATTCTTCTCTGGGGAAGGAGAATCAGCTGAAATGAGTAGTTGTTTCCCATATTTACATGGGTATTTTCTTCTTATTTGAAATGCTTATGGACAAGGACTAATCTGTTAGGAAGGCAGAGAAAGATTGTGGTCCCTGCTACCATAGCCAAGGAAGAAGAACTGGGGAGTGGGAGAGCAATAAGTTTTTATCAGAAAAATTTAAAACTGATTGTTTGGAATTTGAGAGGAGACCCTAAAATTAGAGAGGAACTTGGAGGCGATCTTGTCCAAGATGCTACTCAAAGCAAGGCTCCCTTATAATACAGCCTGGCTAATTAACAGGCATCGAGTCTTGCTTGAATACATTTGTTTATTAATTTGATAACTTGATGGATCTTAGTTCTGGTGGAAACACATACATTCACATCAAAAAAAAAGAGAGAAACAGAAACATGTGGAATCTTGGAAACAGACGTAGAGTCAAATTTGGCTCCTCTACTTACACAGATTGAATTACTATGACCTTAGGCAAGATATTCAAACCCTCTGAGTTCCTTCTCTGTAAAGAATGGGTTATAAAACCTTCCTTGTCGGTGTTGTTGTGCGGATTAAGTGGAATCATGTATATAAAGTGCCCAGCAGAGTTGGCTGGCACACAACCAACACTCAATAAATGGTAATTATTATTATCTCTTTAGCCCAAACTCCCACCCAAGGCAGAAATCCTTCTTTAAACAACCCTGACAAACCAGAGAGCTATCAAGTCTCTGCTAGAATAAATATTTGTTGATTGATTTGGTAATCAGTTGATTCTAAATACCTGGGAGACACATAAACACACACCACACACACACACACACACACACACACACACACACACACACACACACCCTCCAGGATTATTTCTCCAAGTCTTGTGTGAGGGAGATGCTTTATCAACAAGACCATATCCCCATATCCATCCTGTTGGGTGATATTCAATGGTTAAATTTGCAGCCTGGAGCCAGAATCCAGTCACTGCAACTTTCTGCTCCATGGTCCGCTTCCTTAACCATTTTTTTTTTTTTTAACCACACAGACTCCTTTGAAGACCTTCCCAGACAATGCACATACCTGGAACAAATTGCCTACAACTTCAGGAGTGTCACAGACTTTGTGAAGGGCTTTGTGCCTTCGGGGCTAAACTCCTCTATGCTGGCACATCCCCAAACAAGGCTCTGAAATTGCAAACACTGCTCCTTTCTCCTGACAGGCATCTCTCTTGCCCTCTCCTCCCTGTGCTCTTCCTGGAACTTCAGAAGAGGGATGCAGTGCTGGACTTAAGCTCTGCAATCAGTGCAAATTCCAGTTTCCCCATCTAATGCATCTTTAAGCCTCAGTTTCCTTGCTTACAAAATGGCAATTGTAATAGTGCCTGTGTCACAGAGCTGCTGTGAGGGCTGAGGGGACAGTGCGTGTTGATGCATAGCACAGTGCCTGCACAGAGGAAACACACAATTGAAGTTTGCAATTGTCACTTCTATTCTTATGTTATCTGTTCCCTTGCTCTCCTCCTCCCACAGACATTGCAGTTTGCCATCGTTCCACTTTAAAAGAAGCTCCAGAAGGTACACTCAGCTCCAGAGAACTGGAGATAGCCCTGCATGCCATGACCTAGGTGTCAGGCAGGGGGCACTCTGCCCAAGTCAGACTTGGGACAGCAGGTGGCATATGCCAGACTTGGCCCTGAGAAGCTCTGATTGGGATTTATAAGGCCTATGATTACTAAAAAACAGAAAAATTCAAACTACCGAGTGAAAAATCAGTGGTACAGTAGATTCAAAAGCTTAATAAACAAAGGATCTTGGGGACAGGAAATAATACAAGGGATCCATGGAGGTATAACATTTGAGAATTCTGGTGTCCTTCACCTTTTTGTTTTCCTGCCTCCTTCCCTCCCTCTCTTCCTTTAAAGAACAAGCATGTATTGAGCAGTTATGTATGCAAGCCTTGTGCTAGGCACTGGAAATGAGAGATGAATAACCATGATTCCTGCCCTCTCGGAGCTCACAGACTAATGGAAGAGCCGATTTACAGAAAGAACACAGTGCAACAAGTTCCCCAACAGGGTAAGCACACGTGCTGAGGCTGTCTAACCCCGGAGCCTCAGACTCTTTGAGATGCAAAGGAATAAACAATAATTCCCAGAAAAGGTGACACTCAAATGGAGACCTGTCAATCATTTTTATTAGGCATTTTTGCTGGTTACAAAAGTAATAAATACTTTTTGCAGGAGATTTGGAAAGCACAAGGGTGTCAGAAAAAGAAAACGTCAATCATTATTTTACCATTAGAGGCAACCACTAATACATTCTGAAGCATTTCTCTTTCCATCTATGTACTTAACATCAATGAGTTCATCATGTCTATACATTTGATAGGCTCCCCAGTTTACTTAACATTGAAACATAAGCACTTTTCCATCAAGCTCAGTCCAAATGAGTGACCCCTGGATCTTTGATCTGGGGGACCAAGTCCAGGAGCCTGGAAGCCAGGGCTGGCCCAGAGGAGATATGACAAGCTGGGTTTTGGTGAGCAGGTTGAGTTGGCAGTGCTGTGGAGCATTCCACCCGGGGAGGAACACTGAAGATGCTGGAGAGCTGGGTGTGGCACTCAGGAGACAATTCAGGCCTAGAGGGTCCTCAGGTGGTGGTTGACGCCATGGGGATGGATGAGATCCCTCAGGGAGGGTGTGCAGGGTGAGAAGAGAGATGACTAGGGTAAGGTCCCTGCCCTCTAGAAGCTCACAGTCTAGTTGTGTTCATGTGCAAGTCATTTACCCCCAGCTAGATTGTAAGCTCCTTGAGGGCAGTTACCATTTCACACACAGCAGTCCCTCGCCAACCATGGGGGTTAGGTTTCTGAAAACCCCTGGGGCAGGAGAAGTCAGGCTTCAGGAATTTAGGACCTTATTGGGGAAAAAATAGGGTTAGGGGAATGAAGTCACCAGTGAACTTGTAAAATTATTATATTTTTACATAATGAGAAATGACAATGACAACATATTCAAAACACTGAATATCAGTGACACAAATTATCAACATATTCTTCAATTAACAACATTTTACAACTTATTTTCATGTACCATCTATCCCTTTAGTAGAGCTTGCCCCTTCACAGCTACAACAATATGCTTGTAAATTCACTTTTGCATTGCTGGAAAAAATACACTTGCTAAGAGTCCTTTTCTTATGTGTGGTTTCCCATCCAATTATTCAATGCATTTTGGTTTTTATAACTCCAGGCTACTGACACCTGTCTCTTGGTCCCACCCACAAGTGCAAGCACACACCTACATCCTAACAGGTAGGAGTGTGTTTCTGAGGTCTGATCCACCCCCTCCCACTCTCCTCTCTTCCCCAATTTTACTACAAACACCTCTCCTCTGCAGCCATTTCACCTACTTCCCTCTTCCCCAACCTCTGGGCAGATTTCATCAGTTCCCCCATAGGAATGAGCAAAGACTCCTGACCTTGGGATTCTCCAAGGCTTCTGACAAAGTATGCAAACATGAAGTTGTCAATATTAGAATTTGGTGTCTTTCTTTGGTAGACACTAGCATATCATTCACTCACTAGCTCATAGTAGGTACTCAATAAATTCTTGTTGAACTGAGCAATTTCCAAAGTAAAGGATGTGGACTTTTTTTTCTCTTTCCCCATTCACTGCTCCAAATGAATATTAAACCTTCACACAACATAAATATTGAAATATTTGTAGGCACATTTTATTTTCCCTTCTGGCAGGTCATGATGACAAGAGGCAGCTAATAGATGCAATCTATCTGCATTCACGAAGGCAGTTTTGAGTTCCACATGACATGCTGTCAATAGAGTCAAAAGATATGGCCCTTTAGTGAAGGAATTCTCCATATTTTCCAGCTCAGACCACTTGGATAAAGGAAAACACCTACTAACCAACGATTCTCCCATGCACATTTATGACAAAAAGGTTGTCGCCATGACTAAATGGGAGGACTAGCACTGTTTTTCATGAGATATCAACAAAACCATGTCTTTTAAATGAAACAATAATCAGTTACATTTATACAGCACTTTACATTTTACAAATGCTTTCAGGTACATTTTTATCTCACTTTTTCTTCACAGCAACTCTGCGAGGTAGTCAGAGAAGGCACTGATAGTTCCATTTTGCAGATGAAGAAACTGAGGCTTACTCTAAGGAAGGGACCAAAAGGGGCAACTCACTAGTCAAATTTGATACCCTTTCCATCTCCCATCACTGTTCTGTTGCCAGTTGGGTTACAATGAAAAACACAAAACTAAATTGCAATGCTGTTCCACTGTCATGTAATTGCCAGTGCCCAAGAGGTAGCCCACCCCTCGACACTCACATTCTCCCATTCCTCCCACCCCCAGTTGTCTTCCCTCAACCACTATCCACTCCACAAGTCAGTACCCAGACTGGCACATGAAGAATCTGAGTCAGTACCAGAAATGGCATTCAGCACTTCATGCATAGAAGCAAAGCTATGAGGCCAAAAAATCCGGGGGGTTGAGGGGGGTGGTGGGGGTGGTTCACCAGTCTTATCTCATTTAATCCTCTGCAAAATACTCACAATGATCACCCTTTCAAAGATGCAGAAACTGAGGCTCATCATGTGTATTAGCTTGGCCATGGTCACATGCCCAGAGAATGACAGTCAGCATTTGAACCCAGCTTCAGTTCCTGGACAGCAGGGCAGTCCCAAGAAAGCACTTCACTGGCTCAGAGCCACATGTGTTCCATTTCAGCCTCCCAGCTCAGAAGGACCTTGACCCTCCGCTGAAGCTGCTGCCCTCATGGCAAAGCTTCTTACAAAGGGTCCTCATCTGGACTAAAGCTGGATCACCTGACATAATAATTAAGCCCCAAACAGCCCCAAATCCTTTGTGGAAAAGAAAATCTGCTTTTTAAATGAATTCACACAGACATTTTGGTTTCAATTGCAAAGAACCTAAAATTTCCAAACAAGGAAGTGGGGATTCAGTCCACTTATTCATTTCACAGGATCTTTAACCAAATGGCAAAGGGGAAAAAGCTCAATGAGCACAACTAAGAAAACATAAGGGTTAAATTTTATGTGTGGCTGCAGAGAAATTTAAAAGCCAAGTTGCAGAGAGAGAAAGTAGACTAGAGGCTGCCAGGGGATTGGGGAAGGGGAAATGGGGAGTGACTGCTGAATAGGTACAGTTTCCTTTTGCTGTGATGCAATGTCTTGGACCTACATAGAGGCGATGGTTGCACAACACTGTGAATGTTTTAAACACCACTAAATTGTACACTTTAGAATGACTAGTGGTTAACTTTATGTTCTGTGAATTTTACCTCATTTTTTTTAGAAAAAGACAATAAAAAGAATGTTGCGTGTGCTGAGCAAGGAGTCTGACAGATAAAAGATGCCTCAGGAAGTGTTTATATGCACAAATGATTGGAACATACCCACCTGCTCAACATTAAGATAAGAGTTAGTTATGAAATCCCAAGACAAAATACTGTATATCTATTCAAAATGATATATATGGGGAATTGTAGAGCCGTAGAGAAATGTTTATGGTACAATAGAAGACAGCGGGGGGTGGGGGAATAGTAGACAAAATAGTAGACAAAGAGGACCAGATGAAGCTTGTCCTCTTGTTCCTGAACCTGTGGATATGGAAACTCCTAGCACAGGGAGTGTGCAGCACCAGAGAAGACTGTGTGCACATGTGCATTTGTTGACTTATGTCACTCTGCATGCCTGCGTGTGTTTATGCAACAGGCAGAGGGGAGGAACTTCAGAATTACATTTTTTACAGCTTGACTCTTTGGTTTAGTAAATTGTTATGCCTTTCAAATTCACTAGTAGTAATAATGAGGAAAACAATAACAACAATAACATTATTATTATTATTAACATTATTATTATGCAGGTACTATTTCTTCCGAGGCTTATGAGCTAGGCACCCTCATAAGTGTCTCTCATGCATCATCTCACTTACTGCTCACAGCAACCCATGAGAAAGGAACTCTTCCCAATTTTCAGTGGGGGAAACTGAGGATCACAAAGTTAAGGACTTCTCCAAGGTCTCACATTAGTCAAGACAGAAACAGGATTTTAATTAGGTCTGATTGATGCTCGTCATTTGACAGGAAAGGGAGAGCATAGTCAACATTTAGAATTGTAGAAGAAGGCTTAGAATGTAAAAAAAAAAAAAAAAGACATTTTTTGAAAGACACATAATCACTTTAGCTAGAAATAACAACCAGTAACACTCTAACATGTTTACTTGTAATTGTTTCTATGTCTTTTACATAGTTGAAATAAAGCTATAGATGCAATTTTGTCTACTATTCCCCCCACCTTCCATTGTACCATAAACGTTTCTCTACATCTCTACAGTTCCCCATATATATCATTTTGAATAGATATACAATATTTTGTCCAGGGATTTCATAACTAACTCTTATCTTAATGTGGAGCAGGTAGGTGTGTTCCAATGATTTACGCATATAAAAATGATGTGGTAAACATTTTTGTCCATCTAATTTCTCTGAATGCATTGTGATTTCAAAAAAAAAAAAAAAAAAAAAAAACAACTAGCTCCTAGATGTGCTCTTAACTGCATGTCCTTATCTGGAACTCCGGATGGGCGAGAACCCCATCTATGGAGGTGTCTACAAATGCACACATCTGGCCCTGCCCCAGAGCTGGGACCAGAATCTCTACGGTGATCTCCAGGTTGGAGTGGGGGCTCACTTTGATGGTTCCAGCCTTAACCACCGCACCAGGGCTGATGTTTCTTGGCCTGACTGTGCAGACATACAATCTTGACCAAAGACAAGGTTCTGTTCTCCCTACACTGTAGCACCCGAGACTTGCTGACAGTCATTGTGGCATGAGGCTCCTTCCATCTTTTGGATTTCTGCCACACCCCCAGCCTATCTGCTCTATTATTAACCTAGTGCAATTTTTCTTCACATTCAACTGACTCTTTGTTTCTGGAATCAATTTATTTTAAAAGGAAAATGTATCTCATTATCTTAAGTGAAAAAAACACCATCTTTTCATGAATAGAAAACAAAAAGGTTAAAAAATGAATATGATGAACAAAACAAGGTGAATACTGTTGCCTCCTCATCCAAACTCAGGTCTCTGTTAAACAGGGAGATGAACAAGCATTGGCGAGGTATTAAATACCTACCAGTGCCAAAATCAGGCTTTCTCCTCCACTAAATCAGAAAGATTAAAGAGGAAGTGAAACAAGACTTTCTCACCATGTGATCCAATGTTACTTAACACCGTGCTTAGGTAACACACGCAACCATTTGGTCCCAGTCCCCCGTGGAAAACACCTATCTAGTCCAGCCTTCTCCATTTACACAGGAATAAAAGAACCCAAGAGTTAAGCGTCAGGCCTTTGTCACATCTAAGCCTGGCAGCAAAGCAGAATGGAGAATCTAGGTCTCCTGGCTCCTAAGTCTTATTTGATAATTCTTTAAAAACTGTATTTTTAAAAAAATATGGGCAGCAGAGTATACAGGGAGAGAAATATATATTTACTCTGATCTTTCCTTATCAGATCCCAAAGCATATTATGATAGAAGAGGTTAAGGAAACAAAGCATATCTGTATCAAAAGGAAAGCAAAAAAATTTGATCATCAAGTAATTATTGACAATCTACTTCTGTGCCAGGCTCTATGCTCTGTGCTGGGCCCATCAACAGAGAACAAGAGACAGTTTCCTGCCCCTGACCCCCAACCTGTCAGTGTATGGGGCCAATATTTGGACTAGAAGTGGCCTGTGTGGACTGATCATTCACTCAATTCATTGCTCCACGAATATGTATGAGTACCTAACTATGTGTCAGATTTCCATAAATAATTTTTATGGGAATATTGATGGTCTCTTCCAGACAGTTACTCTGATCATTCTACTTACTGCTAAGAGTCAAACATAAGAATGGCAGGATTTAAAAGTTAGGTCAGTTATAGAAAACTGTTTTATAAAACTGATGCTGGACGTCTTAATGAGGGATATAATTTAAAAGCATTAAACAGTTTAGAAACTGTTACTAATAATAGCTAACAAGCAAACCAATCATGTAATTAGTAATAATCAGCTAACATTTGTTAGATATTTATGATATGCTTGATATCGTGCTAAGCACTTTCGCAGATCCTGACTCAATACTCACAAGAATCCTGCTCATCTGCAATACACAGACTTGGAACCAAGGCTTACAGAGGTTAAGTAACTTTCCCAAGATCCTGCTGCTAATAAGTAGCGAGACCTAGATATAAATCAGGATAGGTGACAGAAAGTTAAAACCTCCCAAAATGTAAAAGACATGCTTTCTAGAAGAAAAATATACATTTGTTGAAATTTGTATCACTTTAATTACATTCACAAAGAAGAGGGGAAAATTTTAACCTCCTTCAAAGTTCATCTACTAGTTGAACTCTTTATCAGTAGTTAACAAATGGGTGAAGATAGTGTTTCCCAAACTTTTCTGTGCTAAGAATCACCTGGAGGGCTGGTTAACAGGAATTGCTGGGCCTCATCCCCAGGGTTTCTCATTCAGTAGTTCTAGGGTGGAACCTGAAGATTTGCATTTTTTCTTTTTCTTTTTCTTTTTTTTTTTTTTAAGAGAGTCTTGCTCTGTCTCACAGGCTGGGGTGCAGGAGCATGATCTTGGCTCACTGCAACTTCTGTCTCCCAGGTTCAAGTGATTCTTCTGCCTCAGCCTCCCAAGTAGCTGGGATTACAGGCACCGGTCACCACGCCCAGCTAATTTTTGTATTTTTAGTACAGACATGGTTTCATCATTTTGGCCAGGCTGGTATCGAACTCCTGACCTCAAGTGATCTGCCCACCTTGGCCTTCCAAAGTGCCAGGATTACAGGTGTAAGCCACCATGCTGGGCCAACCACTGCGCCCAGCCATCTTTCCTTTTCTTTTCCTTTTGGTTAAAATCCTAGAGAAAAACTTAGGAAAAACTCTACTGGATGCTGGCCAAGATTTGCATTTCTAACAAGCTCCCAGGTGAAGCTGATGCTGCTGGTCCGGAGACCACACTTAGAGAAACGCCAGGTTATGAGTTCGTGGGCTTTAGAATTAGACAGACTTGGGTCGGAACCTTGATTTTTCCATTTGCTTTATGTGCAAGTCACAGAGGCAGAGCTACTTATCTAAAAAAGAGAATATCACTATTGAATAAAATCGTTTTGAGGATTACATTAAACAAGAATATGTAACCTCTGTAATAATCTCCCAAATACCTGGCATATACAGGTATTCAACACACTGGCTTTGTTAATATTATTGACAAACAATCCACTAGGAAAAATGTCTAATAACTTTTCCACTACATGCTTTATTGGAGATGGAAAGGAAGAAAATTGCATTTTGGGGGATTGTGATATTTCCTCCCAATAAGTTTGTCTTTTTTATGCATAAAGATGTTAGAAAATGGTGGCTGATGAAAAAGGAAGGCATATGCAGTGGAAACCCATCAAAGCCAAATGCCAGGAGTTGAGAAGGGCAGCTCTTTTCCCAGCACCCATCAGGTGGTACAGAAGGACTTGTAGGCAAAATTAGAGGTGCTTGATGGGATCTGGGCTCAGTGGAAGCTCATAGCAGAATTAATAATTATCACATAACAATATAATTGCATGGCCTTTTTAAGGCACTTTACTGTTGAATGGAATAAATAAGAAGTATTAAGTTCTCCTTTTGGTCTTCCTTTGCCTGAATTATAAAGTGTTGTCTATGAGGGATATTTTGTGTGTGTGTGTGTGTGTGTGTGTGTGTGTGTGTGTGTGTGCGCGCGCGCGCGTGCGTGCACGCGCACGCACATGCGTGAGAGTTAGTGGTTTTAGAATAAGCTGTAGAGATAAATTTTGTTGTGAGCTTCTCTTCCAGAAAAAAAAAAAAAGATTATACTAAGGAATAGAAATTGGCATTGGAGCTAAAAATAGCTGTGTGGTAGAGTGGTGGGAACACTTGGGCACATTTTAGAGCTGTTTAGGAGTGTTTAAAGCATTTAAAGGTAGATTCTGGGGCATAGAGCAGGACTGAAATCATCTGATGAGGCATACATTTCTAAGGCTATTCACAGGTTCATAAGAGTGAGGCATATTTGTGTGACCCAGTGGAGAAGGGTTAAAATGGAATGAGGGGCGGCAGGAATCCAGCGTGGCTAGGGAATTTCACCAGCTGCGCCTTTGCTGATGCACTTTAACTCTTGGAGCTGCAGGTTCCCATGAAGGAGGGTGGAAGAATAGCCCCCCCGGAACCATTCTGGCTGCTCCATAGCTGCCCCCTCTAGTCCAGGTCTCAGCTCAAATGCAGTCTGCCTGACCACGCACACCAGCTGTAGCAGACACTACGGATGCCCTCAACCCACCTGCAGCCTCCATAGACTGCTTCCACTCCATAAATGCTTCCTAACTCAAGTCAGACACATATTTCTCTGCTTTGGGACTCTCTGGAGGTGGAGGCTCCACAACCAATGAGGAACATCTGTAGGTGGATACATACCCCAGCTTTCTTGGCCCCTGATGGAACAATAGTCCAGCAAATGTGTCAGTGTCCCTCTGAGGGTCCCAGCAGGAATGAGCTCTAGTTGCCCACAGTGGTAACCTAATCATTAAATTACCCTCTGTTTACAGGGGTATCCAATCTTTTGGCTTCCTTGAGCCACACTGGAAGAAGAACTGTCTTGGGCCACACATAAAATACACTAAAATGATAGCTGATGATCTAGAAAAAAAATAGCAAAAAAACCCATAGTTTTTAAAAAGTTTACGAATTTGTGTTGGGCCGCATTCAAAACCATTCTGGGCTTCATGGAGCCTGCAGGCTGCGGGTTGGACAAGCTTGCTCTATTAGCTTCCCTTCCTTTCCCATTTCACTTCCTTACTTTCTCAGCAGGCTTCCTGGAATCACCTTGCAAATTGTTACCTACACTCAAATCCTTTTCTCAGGGCTTTAGGAAGAACCCAAACTAAGACAATATCTAAGGTCCCCAGCACCTCTCCAGTGCTCCATCATACCACACTGTTTAATTTCCTCTCTGATCACTTTCTGAACTTACTTGTTTCCTCTTCTCAGTTCTCCACAAGGGCAGAGAGACTGGTTCTACTGCATCCCCATCACCTAGAACTGTGCCTGACTGGGGCTCAATACATATTAACTGACTAAATGACCACTTTGAAATGGCTTCCTCCTACAATTGTTTCTATAAACAGGAATTACACTATTATCACTTGATATCAACTCCATCTTTTTCCCAGAATATAGTCCTGTCCTAACACATATGTATGAACAGGCAGAGAAGTGTATATGAAAAGAGTTTTGGAATTCAAAGAGCTGTGACTTTGGGCAATTTATTTGCCTTCTCTGACCTTTCCTGAGGCCATCTCAAAATTAGGAATAGTATTGCCTGCCTGATGGGTTTACAGTGAAGGCTAGGAGCTTAGGAGATGTGAAGTGCCTGGTACGTGGTAGGCATTTAATAAGTGTGAGTTTCTTGCTTGCCCGTTTCTTTCACTTACCTTCTCTCTAAACCTCCATAGTAAGTCCTGTACTCTACAGGGAGGGTTCTTTGAGAACCTTTCTCCATGTCGGGCCTACCTCTGTCCTTGTTAATCATCCCTGTGCCCCTCTACACACACATACACACACACACACATACAAACACACACTCAAGTGGATATGGTCACTCATTACAGGGCCAGCACCCATATTCTCTACTAGCTTGTACTTTCTGCTTCCATGTGGTAGATCCTGGCCCTTCTATCCAGGCTACTTGGCCATTTCACAGATAGGAAAAGTGAGGCTCAGAGAGGGTAAGTTTAAAGCTTCTGGGCTAGTAGGACACACAGACTGCCTGACTCCTGAACCCTTGATCTTCCCCAGGCCATGGTATTTTCATTAGGCTCCCTAGAAATCTAGAGGCCACAGTGGCTGTGACTGAGTATTGTCCTAAAAGCCTGCTGAGATGTGTAGCAATATAAACCCTTGTGCTAAATGGCTCTCCCCTTGCTTTTGTTTGATGATAACTAATACAATGCCCTAGGCACTATCCCACACAAACTCTTCCAGGGGGTATTATTAGCCCATTTTACAGTTGAGAAAACTGAGACTCAGAACATGATAGAAGCGATTTGCTCTCCAGCGTGAAGCAAGTAAGCAGTAGAAGCAAGAATCAGGACTAGGTCTGTAAAGCCTATGCTGCACTTAGGCTACACCACCCTCCTGGCCTTGCGCTGCAGCCTTCCTCTCTTCCCCCTTGTCATTTATTGCATCTTCTTGGTGCTCTTCTGCTACAGCCCTTCTCCCTCCAGTCTTTCTTTCCACCAAAAGCTGGAAAGAGGGACATCCAACAGATTGCAAGCTCCTTGAGGTTTTGGGGTTTTTGGTTTTTGGTTTCCTCTATCTCATCTCCAGGCACAGTTGTAAGCTCAGGAAGAATTTGTTCAATGGAAGTGATCAAAGCCTTAACAGAGTGGATGGGATGTTTCACTTCTCTTCCAACTCTAGAAGGCTACTCCTCTGATAGTCCTATTTCAGCTCTGTCAATGTGTGAAGACAAGTATTGGGCAGCAATTCAAACCACTGAACAACATTATTAAACATCAACAAATGCTCATCTTCAAGAGGAAATTCTATGGTAGTGGGAGCCGATATTCCTGACTCCAGCTTCACAAAGGAGTCTAGCAGAGCACTGATGCTTGGCTCAGCCACAACCACAGAGCTGCACTGGCTCAGCCTTCCTGTTAGAAGTCAGGCCCTGGTGGCCAGGCCTGGCATGGACTGGGTGCCACCACCAGGACAGCTCAGGAGCCCTCCCGAACACCCCAAGAGGACACAGCCTTCCCAGCTCTGCTAGCAAGTTAGCCGGTTGGTAAAGCCCAAGAGCATTCTCAAGAAGCATCCGCATCACTGAAAGCCTGCCACGTAAGGATAACCAACAGGCTGTGAGATGTCAGGCCCCAGGAATGGCAAAGATGGCCAGCTCCCTCATGATGGCCCAGCTGGGTGACAGACCCTCTGTTGTCTGTAAGCCCAGGACAGCCTTAGCGACAGCCCTCGTAAGACAGTTGGGGTCCACCAGTTACCAAGTGATTTCCCTGACTTTGGAACACCCAACCCCATTCCACACAGAGTGAGGTGGCTAACAGTAGACTCTAGAGCTGAATTATCTGGAATCAAGTCCCAGCTCCAACTTACTACCCATGTGACCTTGGATAAGTCACCTAACCTGTCTATGCTTTGGTTTCCTCACATACGAGGTAGGAAAAGTAACAGTCCTTACTTCCTAGGTTTGTAAGAAAATTAAATTCATTATTTATAAAGTGATTAAAACAGCACTATGGCATAAAAATACTTTATAAATATGTATCAAATAAATACTCATCCCATCTCCCAGTAACTTCCAACTACTAACCTCTTGGAAAACACTCCTGATTATCATGTTTTCGTGCATGCATCCATTCATTCATTTATTTTTTCTTCTCCTATCTGCTCCCATAACATTCTGTCTTACAACTCTGGATCACTGCAGCCTATTCCATGAGCATCTTCTTTGCACCACAGCCAGGCACTGTGTCAGTATTAAGAATGGAACTAGACAACACTCAGTCCAGAAAGGAAGGCAGACACAGATATGAGTCACTACATAACAAAGGCAAGGGCAGGTGCTAGAGGCACCCATGGTGGGTACCTTTGTGAAGCATTAGTTACAGCATGTCCTAATGATGTGGTAATAACTAAAGGCCATCAAATCAGGCTACTGCAAATAAAAACCTATTTATTTATGTCCACAAGGGCAGGTTCATTTTCAAAGGGCTGTAACCAAAAAATAGAATGAGAATCAGAAAATGAAGTCAGAGTAAAAACACACATTCTGGGCACCTTGTGTTCCAAATCTGCCCTCATTTCATCACATAGGATTCCCAAATCTCCCAGCAATTGTCCCCAGTTCCCAAGGTGTCTACAGGCTCACACTCCAGGCTGCGCACCACTCCTTTGGGAAAACTCCCTGCTTCCTAAGAAGCTGGCTGTGGACTGCAGGTTTCAGCTCCTTGGACTCCATAGCCTTTTCCAGCAAGAAGCTAGGCAGCTCTGCCTTTCCCTTTCCCCGCCTCCCTGGCACGCTCCATCCTGACACAGAGAGTCCAGCTCCTCCTACTGATTGGTCAGCAGACATGAGAGAGAAGACACAAGGTTCCCATGAGACCTTCACGGCCAGCCCCTAACAGCTGCCTCAGCTGGAGAGGGTTGTTTCACTCTAATTTGCAGATGATTCTAGCTCATGAAAACTGCTTATTAGGAATGTTGGTTCAACATACCAACCAAATGTAATGCATAAATCTTGTTTGTATCCTAGTTTAGGAGAAAAAAAAAGCCATAAAAACATTTTTGAACAATTGGGGCAATCTGAATATGGATTAGAAGTTAGATGATAACTGTAAATTATTATTACTTTTCTTAGGAATAAACATCATATTGTGGTTATGTAGAAGAATGTCCTTGCTTTTAGAAGTGGCATGCTAAAGTATGTAAAAAAGAATCATGTCTGCAAAAAAAAGGAGAAAAATATATATCTACACATATGCATGCACACACTGATAAGTCATAGACGGCAAATATTTTAAGAAAAAGAAAGATCAATTCCTTGTGGCTCTGCATGGAGCTTATTCATGTACCCTATATTAAGAACAGAAAAAAAAAGAGTAACAGAAACACAAGATACGTATAATTTATCTCTATACCTCAAAATTCAACTTGACTTTGCTCTCAAAGGGAGACAGATCCCTTGGTCCTGCCCTGCAACTCCACTCACACACACATGAACACATATACACACATGTGTACACACACACACACACACACACACACGCACACAAACATGCACATGCACGCACTGGAAAAGCACTTCCTTCAAAGTCAAAGCCCTAAGAGACATCCCAGAATAGCTGGCCTGGAATAGTAAAAAGAGCTTTCGACTCTGCACTGGAAGACCTGGATTCAACCTCTGCTGCACAGTAGCTGGTGATCTTGAGAAGCCACTGAACTAACCTGAGTCTCACTTTCCACACTGTGACAAGGGACTGTAATCATCCTGCCTCCCAATCCCAGAGTATTGGTCCAAGGACCAGAAGAAAGAGTGGCTATAGAGATGCCATCTGAATATGCCTTATTACTGCCTATGCTGACAAGTAAAACATGCCAACTCAAACTCGAGAAGGGTATCAACCTGCTGCCGAAAGCTTCTTCTGTGCCAGTCTTCTGGAATTGGGCCTCTAAGAGTGGACTGTTCCAAGTTGCTGGCCACTGGAAACAGATGTAACTCTTTGAGCCCTATATGTTATGGCAGAAGCAAAAAAAACACAACTTGCTTTTTCATTTTTTTAAAACAGTAATTCCCAAAGCTGTCTTATATAAATGGATCTGAAACACAGATCACAGAGAGAGGGGCTGAGCAGAGACATGGAACCCAACCAAGCAGCCCTGCCTGAATCATGGGCAAAAAATGTCAAAACCTTGGCCGGGTGCCTCCTGAGCTCCTTGAACCTAAAACTCGGGCAGAAAACCTCATTCATTCAGAATCCATTAATTCTGATCATTTAGACACGGCCTCAGCTGACCTTGCCACCGTTCTATCTGTGGAAAGCGGCCTGGCTTAGGGGAGAGGCCTCGTGGTGCAGGGGCAAGCATGCTGACTGGGGCCAGGAGGCCGGTTCCCTCTTCACCCCACCACTTTGCAGCCCTGGACAAGGCACCTTTCTTCCTCAGCCTCTGTTTCCATGTCTGTAAGATGACAGGGTTGCATTAAGACTGTCTCTCTCTTGTCCGATTCTAAGATTCTATGATTAGTCACTTCCTTTGGGAAGTCCTTCCAATCCTCAAAGAATGTCTGCTGAACAGAACTGGGATCTGTGAAATTAAAGCATGTTTAATCAACCAAAAAGAACAAACTGTTTCAGAGCACTTTGGAAGCACTCATGTCTATGCCCCCAAGGAAGTAAAGTGCATTTTGGTTTTCACCCAGGTTGACTCACGTGAATTTTCATTCGTTTACAGGTGGTTTAGGGTATTTAAGTATTCCGCATACCTGAAAATAATAAATAATGCTATCATTATAGACAAGCATTTGGGTCATCCACTATAGGTCAGACTCGGTGCTCAGGGCTTTATGTATATTAACTCCTTCAAAGGCCCCAGGAATGATGTGATGTAGGTTTACCATCTCCACTTTCATATGGAAAAGCTGCAGCTCAGAGAGCTTAAGTAGCTTGCCCAAGGTGACAGTGAGTGCTGGGGCTGGGAGTCAAACTCCACTCACTGTGGTGGCATCTGAAGAGAACTCATCATCTTGTAAACAAACTCCAGCATGAGGATGTGATTTGTCTTTCCTTGTACTGAACATTAACTTAAACATACTTTATTGAGCTATATTTGATATACAATAAACTGTACATGTTTAAATTGCACAACCTGATGAGTTTTGATATCAGTATACAACTGTGAAAACACCACTACAATCAAAATAGTAACCATATTCACATCATCCCCCAAATTTCCCCATCCCCCTTGATAATCCCTCCCACCCCTTCACCCTCTCCAGGCAACCCCTGACCTGCTTCCTATCACAATAGATTACTCTGCAATTTGTGAAATTTAACATAAAAGGAATCATACAGTATACATGCTTTTGAGTCTGGCTTTTTCCACTCAGTATAATTATTTTGAGATTGATCCATGTTGTTGGGCTAATCAAGAATTTATTCCTTTTTCACTGCTGATTAACATTCCATTTTATGGATATACCACAATGTGTTTATCCATTCACCTGTTGATGGACATTTGGGTGACTTACAATTTTTGGCTATTACAAATAGAGGTGCCTCAAACATTCTTGTACAGGTCTTTGTATCTCAATACGCTTTCACTTCCCTGGGGTAAATACCTAGGAGTGGAATGGCTGGGTCACAAGGTAGGTATGTATTTATGGTTTTAAGAAGCTGCCAAGCTGTTCTCTGAAGTAGTAGTCTCCTTTTACATTTCTGTTGCTCCATATCCTCACCAACACGTGTATGGTCAGTCTTTTTAATTTTAGACATTCGAGTGGGTTTGAAGTGGTATCTTGTGGCGGTTTTAATTTTCATTTCTCTAATGACTAATGATACTGAGCATTCTTTCATGTGCCTCTTTTTTGACAAAAGAAACTCTTCAGCTATAACATAAAAATTTGGTAAAATTAACATTACTGGTTTCTGTTTATTAAGGTACAACCCTACTATGTGACAGATATGATGCTAAGAGGTTTACATGCACTGTATCATCTCACCCTCATAACAACCTAACGAGATGGTATTAAGATCCGGGTTTCCAGATGGGGAAACTGAGGCTTAACAAGGTCAGGTAATTTGCCTCAAGTCACAAATTAATTGGTGGCAGGCTCAGGGTTTCTCTCCAGGTCTCTGCTCCAAATCCTGTAGGGTATGCCTGCTACTAACACTGCTTTTGCGCAAAGCTTGCGTCTTCTATCTCAGGTACAGTTAGGATTTTGGTACATAACCAGACAATGGCAAAAAAAAAAGAAAAAAAAAGACAGACACTACAGGCAACTGTAACATCAACGCTTTCTTGCCACTCACACAGTCATTCCTTGTTTGCTAGAAACCTAGGACAGTTTAGCCAAGATATACTGTGGCTGAGGTCCTGATCAATATCTCAATACTGTATAACATTAAGGGCAAAACAGATATCTGGAAAGTAGTTAACTGAGAGTCTCAAATCTAAGGGCTGGCATAAGAATGTCAATGTTTAGCACATTTATGTTGTGCTGAAGAAATGGCTTAAAAGAACTTTACTTTTGCTCTTTAAAGGCAGGTGTGTTTCATGCGTTGACTCTTACGTAAGCACTGAAAACATGTCTAGAGTTTCCTTTAGCCCAGAGACTAAGTCCTGGCACCAAGGGCAAGGCAGTGTAGTGCAAGGGAAACCTCAGCAGCTTTGAGCAGGTCAGCCAGCCTCTTTGGACTTCAGCGTCTTCCTCTGGGCTGTTTGTTGATGGCTCAAAGGGGACTGGTCCCTCTTATCCTTTTTTGTGCCCAGATGCCGTTGTTTGGACTTAAAGATTTACAGGAAATACCAACCACAAGAGTGGTTGGTAAACATGACCACAGTGGTAGTAAACATTACCACATAGCAAAGAGAGCTGTACCTGAGTAGAAGAAGTTTCAACTTCGCATTCTGCTTCTAAAAGCTTGGCTTTGAACCATGGTGTTTATGCCCCATGTCCAAAGAATTACATTGTCCTTTGAAGAACACTATGTATGTCTCCTATAGTCCTGGATAATGCTCATGACATCCCTGCTCATACTTGCAATATGACATCATCTATGTAAAGTGTCCTTGCTTCATCAGAATAGAATCCAAGCTCCTTGTGGCCTTCTTTCTTCCTGAGGTCGCCTCATCCCACTCCATATCCCCCAGGTATGTGCTTTTCTGGAACCTCCACACCTTTTCTCATGCTCTCTCCTCTGGAAGAATCACTCCACATTTCCCTACTCAGAGATTGCCAAAACCCTCAGAGCCCAGTAATAAGAAGTTCTCTCCTCTTGAAAGCCTTTCTTACTGACCTCCAGGCAGATCTTGTCACTCTTTAATGGCACTCTTCCTGGCTGGGGTGCAGGCTTCAAGGAAGGCCCTTTTCCTACAGTATACTTTAAACGGTGTATGTATCAGTAGTGGGATTGTCTGTCTCCTCGCACTAGACTAGTACTGCCTAATAGAAAGCAAACATAAATATGACAAACAAGGATGCATAATAAGTAACATAAATTATATATTATATATGATACAAATACAATTTAAAATTCTATTCTAGCCGCATTTCAAGGGTCCAACAGTTGCATCTGACCAATGGCTACCCTATTGGAGGACAGAGATGCAGGACATTTCCATCATTACAGAAACCTCTACTGAAAAGCACCTACCTAGAATCTCTCTGTGGGGATTTCTTATCAACTTGCTTCTTTAGGGTATAATGGATTTCCCTAAACAAGCAAAAACACTGAAACTACAGTATGCAGGACATGAAAACAACAAGAATACTGATACTAATGGTTGCAAGATGCCACTTGTATCTGTTGAGTCATAGCCAATCATGTGGCTTACAAGCTGGCTCTAAACGCCAATTCTGGCTCTTATGAATCCCACCAATCTATTCTCCCTCATATGGCTCCACCACCCAACACAACATCCTCTGCTCTAGCCCTACTGAAACATGATTTCTCATTTTCCTGTGGATGTGCATATGCTATTCCCTGCAACTGGAATGTCCTCTCTGGTCACCCTGGTGAACTCTGATGACCCTTCAGTACAGTTAGTTCATGCTTCACCTCTTCTGTGAGACCCTGCCTGACTGCCCCCATGCAGAGGTGGCTCTTGTATGTCCCCTGTACATTTACACCCCACTCCAATTACTCCATTACGTGGCTGTGTCTTCCAACAGGTTGTCATCTCTTTGAAGGCAGGGATTGGCTTTCCTCTGACTTTGCCCAGCACTTTTACAGTGCCTGGAAATTGGACACTCTTAACAGACATTAGTTGAATGACTGAACTCCCACATTCCCAAAGAGGCATACAGCCTTGTGTTTAGCAATGGTGGCATCACTTGAATAAATGTATGGCCTCTCCAGGTGCCACCTCTGAAGGAAGTCAAACTCATTGGATTGTTTATATTCCAGGTCACATCTAGACTAGGCTTAGCTCATACTTGTTTGAAGCATAGGATTGACAGAAGCCCACGAGGGCAGCTGAGCCATTTCCCTGCCTCCAGGACAAACTCGCATCTAAAGTGGTGAAGGAGATGAAAAGCCTACCTGGCTTTTCAAAAACACATGGAAGGATCAAAAACCACTCCCAGCAAGTCATGGCAATGTTGAATCAAGAACTGAGGGCACCTCCCTCTACCCGCTGAGTCAGTGGCCTTTGTCTGCTTTGTGACTCACCTCACTGCTTATAAACCACCAGAGCACTTGGGAACAGGGCAGTCGAGCTGTTCACACCCACAGGTAAGAGGTCAGCTCCCTTCCTCCATGTTCCCAATGGCACCCTTAGCACCCACGGCACGGGGATGGATGTGTTCCCTCCTGACTCATCAGAAGGTAACTGGGTGGCTACCTTGCTCTGTCTAGTAAGTCAGGGATGGATAGTGGATGAGATGGTTAAATTAGATTGGCAAAAAGGAAACTCACATTCTGGACTTGACAGTGTGATATGTACTTTGTATGGGCTCAAATCCCACTATGAGGCCAGTTACCAGCCATGGGTCACGTTGCTTGACATTTCCTAGTTTCATTTCCTCAGCTTTAATGAAGATAACACCCATAACCTGGTTGGTTGTAAGGAGGTAAAGAGATTAGGTCTGCTACACAGTAGGGGTGCAAAGCATGTCAGACATCATCCACATCTCCACTCCTTGGCCTGACGTCCCATGAACTGGCTTCGTGGGTTGGCACAAACTCCTTCCCTTCTCTGGGCCTTCAGTTTCCCCAGCTACCTAGGTGAGCCAAATTATTCCTTAGTTCCTTCAAGATACAAGGTGGGTGCGGGGAGGGAGTTTGAGTATGAGACTTCCTATGTGATATTTTATGTGTATGTGCATGTGTGTGTGAGTGAGAGAGAGAATGAATGAATGAGAAACCATTTATTTTAAAGTTCCCTTAATGGAATAAGACAGATTTAAATATTTTGAATCCAACCCACTGTGTTCTCTTTGTTCCATATATGTATTTTAAAAGCTTATCTTTGTCTTTTAGCTCCTTCAAGGATGCAAATCCTTCCCAATCTATGGTAAAGGTTTTCTCCCTCCTGATCATTTGAAATACATTTTTTTAACATGTTAAATCCTTACTCTTTGTATTTAAATACTTTGATGTTTTCCATAAAATAGGTTGGGAAGGGTTAGAACAAAAACGCATTTCATTTATCTGAACTACTAAGATGTCAGAAAGAGAGGCAGCTTGCAGCCTCCCAAGAGGGAAACACTCAGCCCCTGCAGGACTCTCCAAGCTTCCTGCTTGGACCATATCACTAAGACAGGAACCATAATCAGAACCCTACAGATTCAGAAATCCACAAAGTTAGCACTTCCCAAAGAGCTTCTGAAGAAACCCTACTCTTGTGAGAGTGCTAAAAATGGTTTTGCTTTAGAAAAAAGAAAACTCATATTAGAAGTTTGGGAACTCTTATGTGCTATTTATGCCTCTCTTGGAGATTCGCATAAGCATAGTGAAGACTCTGAGACTTTCTGCAGCATGAAAATACATTAACCTCTCTAATTTGGCATTTATCAAACTTATTTGGACACAAACCAGTTTTTTTTTGGGGGGTGGGGGATGGTTATTTGCTCCTATGGTGAAAAGGAAAAAAGAAAAAACTATTACCCCTCCACATGCTCACACATCCACACAATACGGAAAAAATATTTGAAACCTAGTCCCTGGAGCTGGGATGGGACAGAGGTAGGAGCAGTCACTCCAGAGTCAGATAAACCCAGGTTCAATGCTAATTCCACCAGCAGTGTAGCCTCAGGGATGATACTTCAACTTCCAGAAGTTTCCAAAGCTTTCCAAACCTTCCAAAGCTTTCACTTAGCTTTGCTGTAAGTGAAAACCAGGCTTCTAGAGTGCTTGTGTGTGCATTAGATGAGTCGAGGAGTGCACAAAGGTATCTGGTAGGGAGTATTTTTTAAATGTGTAAACTATTTTTTAAACGTGACTCTCCCTACTCTCCCTTTGCTTTTCTCTTTGCAAAATCACAAGTAGAGGCATTCGAAAGCACACTGGTCAATTTTTGCAATGCTTATAAAGCTTTAAATCAAATTATTTCACATAAGAGGCTATCTTGGAATATCATTCCATTACCTTGTCTATATGTTTTCATAAATAAAGTCACCCCCCCTCAAAAAAAAGGTAGGGCCACTTTCATCCATATGTATGTGAAGGAGAACCTAGTATTTCATACAGCTATCTGAAATTTAATATCAAGGAATTTACCTGTGTCAAATATTACTTTATTTAACAGAATGTGATATCGCTTGATATAGTCATAAAGTGCATTCCTATCAAAATACAGCTGTTATTAACATTACTAACAACTGCTTTACCCCAGTGATTTTTATTGAAACTATAACGATGGGCACTTTTGAAATAAGTGTTCCTAGCTAATTTGCAGAGGGCTATCTCCCAGAGAGAGTTCATATTATAATTCTAACGGGGTTTTCACACAAGGTAGAATGAGGAGTTTAAAATGCTTGAAAGAGAGTCATCTCGAGGTCACCAATAATTAAATAGGAGCTAAAGGAACGGAACAAGGAAAATGTGTAATCTTCCCTGGCTCTGAAATTAAAAAAAAAAAAAAACAGTTATCAGCAAGACAGTGCTTCTGCAGGGAGGCTGATCTCGATCTACAGTAGGATTCCTTTCAAACCAGGATGTCTATTTCAAAATGCCCATTAAAAGTCTATGATGGACTTTAATTATGAGAGGCAGCAGATAAGAGTCCAGTTCATTCCCTCCTGTTGTCGGGGTGGTTTAGAGCTGCCAATCATCACCCCCTTCAATGAGGCCCAAGGTGCAGATACCCCTTTCAAGAGGCTGGCTAGACTGTGAGGGAAGGGCTCTTAACGCACACCCCACACGTGGCGCCTGTGAAGTGCAATGAAGGGACCTCCTGCTAGGGCTGCAACAATCTTCCCATTCCCCCAGGATGCAATAACCAAGGGAACCACATCCCTGCTTCTCAGTGCTCAACCTTCTGAGGCTCATCTTCTCAACTCTGTTCACCTCCACAGTGTTTGTGGGTGATTTGATCTGGTACTCCTTAAGCTAATGGTGACAGGGGCCTGTTAGCTTAAGGAGTACCATATTAAATCACCCACATGGTTCTTACACACACACACACACACACACACACACACACACAGAGTAAAGGACAGAGCAGCAGCAGTCCAGCTCAGTAGAAGCAGCACCAGCTCTACAGTAAGAAAGACCAGAGTTTGAATCCTGATTCCTTCACTTCCTGCTGTGTGGTCTTGGGCAATTTACTTACCATCTCTTTTTGTAACATGGAGACTAGATACCTGTCATCTATAATACCTGTCACCTATGTTTAATATGGGGCCCCTAATTCATAATAGGATACCTAAGAATGTCATTCCCCAAAAAAAGCAGAGGCCCTGCAGTCAATGTTTGTCTGCCTCCATGAGTGCCTAAAAAACAACTCCCTCCACCCCAAGAGAGAAACTCGCTGGAGAGGCCAGCTGAGAAAGAAAAATGTTAAATAATTCAGAAGCACTAACATCAAGTCTGAGGTAGGTATAAAAATAGTTACAAAACACCACACTCCTCTTGTTTTCCTTACAGCAACCTTGGCTCCCTGGTAGAACAGAGGGAGGGAGGGTCTGACCCAAGGCTGGTTCTGGGCCTGGGGCAGGGACTGTGGCCCAGGAGCCTCTCTGGGCTTCTATTTTGGCTCTTCTAATCACTCCTCTTTGTACAAAGGTAAGGCAGGCATTTGCTTGTCACCTCTACATTTTAAAACAGCCTTCTGATAGGCCGACTTATTTTTAAACTGAAAGTATGCTCAGCTGGGCCATTTGAATCAGAGGGAATTCTTTGCATCCTGTCTTCTAAAGTAGACCAACTGGTGAGCCTTCCAAGGATGCCGGACCCAATCCCAAAGCTTAAGTTAAAAGGAGAAGGCTGGGAGGCTGTCCTAAACCCAATCCCCCAAGGAGTCCCATGCCATTGGCCTGTGTCATCCAGAAAGACTATGCTGTCCCTAAAAGCACAGATACTGGGAAGAGAACAGGAAGATTCCAACTGGAGAGGTAACATTGACTAAGCACCTACCATGTGCCAGGCACCCTGCCAGATCCTTTACCTATATTATCTCCTGAAGCCCTCACAATATATCCCAAATCAGTTGCAACCCCCACCCCCGCCATTGTACAGATGAAGAAACCGAGGCCCA
Organism: Homo sapiens; assembly: GCF_000001405.40. NCBI lineage: Eukaryota > Metazoa > Chordata > Mammalia > Primates > Hominidae > Homo > Homo sapiens. The sequence continues at coordinate 79,423,334 of NC_000011.10, forward strand.
GGGAAGTGAAGACACTTCCTACGGCAAAGTTCCACTAAAGAGTCAGGGCTAAAACTGAGTTGGTCTGACTCGTAGCCTGTGCTTTCTCCCCCATACCATCCACAAGAGCAGAGCATGTGGTTTGAAAGGGTCTTCATGAAATATTCAACTGCATTTGTAGCTCCTGTCTCGTTCAAGCCAGCTCTGAATGCTTACAAGTGCATTTTTTTTTTTTTTTTTTTTTTTGCAAGGAAACTGCATGGGTACAAATTTCCAATTCATACTTAACAAGGTGGGGAAACGGGTCATTCTTGGCCTGCTCCAGAACAAGGGGCGAGTCTATGCACTCCTGGAGCAGCAGGCGCAGGGAGGGTTAAATGTGAGGCCAGAACCAAATCTCCTGTTTCCAGGAGCTGAGGATTTAGAAGAGTCTCTTTGGTTGATTTTTACAGGAGAGAAGAAGGAGTGACCAGCAAGTGAGAGGAGGCCTGCAAGGGTAGAGGAAGGAGGATGAATAATAATAATCACAATACTTCTAGTCCTTTTGGAAAATATGTTCTCATCCTTCAAGTCGACGTCAAATGCTTCCCACTTTTTGAAGCTTCCCTGCCTCCCCCACTAACCTGGGTGTGAAGGTTCTTTCTCAGATGTGTCTGTCTACTTTGTGCCAGGCTCCCTGGTAGAAGCTTGATTAATGCTATTTCATTTCATTCTTACAGCAGGTATTGTTGTCATACATTAAAAAAGATGGAACTAATACCAAGAGTTTAGTTTGTCTGCCAAAAGTCATACAAGCTAGTCCAGTGGCTTCCAACCAGGGACGGACAATCTTGGCAATTCTTTGCTCAGTGAACTTTTGGCAATGTCTGTCAACATTTTTGGTTGTCACAATTGGCGGGGAAGGCACTGGAATCTAGTAGATAGAGGCCAGGGATGCTGCCCAACATCCGTGATTCACAGAACACCCCCTACAACAAAGAATTATCTGGTCATTTGTGGCAAAGTTGGCCAGGTGCAGTAGCTCACACCTACAATGCCAGCACTTTGGGAAGGCTGAGATAGGAGGATCACTTAAACTCATGAGTTCGAGACCAGCCTGGACAACATGGCAAAACCTAGTCTCTACAAAACAAAACAAAACAAAAATTAGCCAGGTATGATGGCTGGATGCCTGTAGTCCTAGCTCTTATACTTGGGGAACTGAGGTGGGAGAATCATTTAAGCTCAGGAGAATCAATTATGCCCAGGAGGTCAAGGCTGCAGTGAGCCCTAATCACATCACTGCACTCCAGCCTGGGCAATAGAACCAGACCCTGTCTCCAAAAAAAAAAAATACAAAAAGGCTGGCACAGAGGCTCACGCCTGTAATCCCAACACTTTGGGAGGCCGAGGCGGGCGGATCATGAGGTCAGGATATCGAGACCACCCTGGTTAACACGGTGAAATCCCATCTCTACTAAAAATACAAAAAATTAGCCAGGCGTGGTGGCGGACGCCTATTGTCCCAGTTACTCAGGAGGCTAAGGCAGGAGAATGGCATAAACCTGGGAGGCAGAGCTTGCAGTGAGCCGAGATCACACCACTGCACTCCAGCCTGGGAGACAGAATGAGACTCCATTTCACACACACAAAAAAAAGTCAGGGGTGCCGAAGTTGAGAAAGCCTGGTCTAGTTGTGGCTCAGCCCAGATTTAAACTTAGGTCAGTCTGACTCTTCAGCTGATAATGTCTTAATAGTACCTTTAACTGGATCCTAAGTGCCTTGAGATCTGAGTGGCGTACCCTCCTGCTTTTCTGTCTTGAATCACATCTACTCCAGAGCCCAGCTCACTCCGCAGGCCCTTACTGATTGGATTAATCAGTATACTTAACAACGGTGCTAAGGATCAAGGTGAGGAGTGTACCAAAGGGACCCAGCCTTTCTGTAGCTGAACTTTTCAGGAGGACATTGAGTCCAATTTCTCACCCCCTGCAGGAAGCTTCTTAATAGACTTGACAGCACTGCTTGCCCTCCTCCAATGACAGGGAGCTCACTCCCTCCACAAGCTGTCTAATCTCTTCTGGGATGTTCTGGCTGATGCTGAACTAAAGCCAGCTCTCCCCACATCCCTAGCACATCTCAGTGTCTGGAGCCTTTGGGGAAAGACTCTTGGTTAGCTACTAAGAGACTAGCCCTAAACTCCTGGCCATGTTCTCCTGAGTCCTAGAAAAGTGAAGTAGAAGAACACGGACTTGGAGCCAGACTGATCCAAATTCAAATCCTGGCAACACTACTCATATAGTCAGTGATGGAGCATAACAAGACTGTTGGCAGTGTTGCTGTGCTCAGCACACAGTAGGTGCCTCTTAGCACACAGTAGGGGCACAAATGGCCTATCTATCTGAGGTGGCAGGACCTGCTCACGTGGCCTTGGCTCCCATCCCTCTGGTATAAGCTCTGTGACATCTCTTTGGTCTCTGCCTGCCTGCCTGCCTCTGGGGTCCACTTCTGAACAAGTGAATTTAATTCCATGATTATTGAGGGGAAAGAACAGTGAGACATGTGATGACAACAGATCAAGAAATAACAACCATAAGAGTGAACAAGGCAACATTTTGACTTGAAAAGTTCTAGGAATGTGCTGTAAATTATAGGTGTGTGCCCACACACCTGTGCACAAACATGTGCCAAAATGTGGGGGTCTTTCAGAAACCTACTTTGAGGCCTTGAGACCATCACCCACACTCTGGTCTAGAATGAATTTCCCCACACTATTTCCCACCTTCAGGAGTAGGCTATGAAAGGAGTATCTCCTTCCAAAATTAATTCTTGAAACAAGGCTTTGTTCATCAGTGCAGGCAGATGTGAGAAGAGGATACATATCTTCTATTAAAAATGTTAGCTAACAAGTTCAGATGACATCAAAAGATGGTGTGTATCTTGTTCCTCCCACCAGGTATAAGATATTCAAGTTCCCCATCCCCTCCATGGCTCATGAACTTACAACCAGCACCTCCTGGAGAGGAACATTTGCTTTACGGACAGGTGGATGTCTGTAGGGGACCCTGGCTCCCTGACTCACTGGTAGAGTGACCTCAGGCAAGATGTCTAACCTCATTGAGTCCCTGTTGCCCCTCTGGAAAATGGGAACTAACAAGACCTTACTCAGCTCCATGTGAATAAATGCGATAATATAGGCCAAATGCCTCACACAATTCAACAAAGAGGATCCTGTGATCATCCAGATGAGAGAAGATCGGAGTGAACCCAGGTGGTAGCAGTGGAGAGCATGAAGAGTGGTCCGCTGTGAGGTTATGGCTGGAAAGCAGAGCCAATATGATTTCCTGACGGCTGAGCTATAAGGTATGAAAACAAAAACAGGAGTCAAAGATGACTCCAAAATTTGAGGCCTGTGAACCAGAAGGACGGAGTTACCATTAGCTGAGCTAGGAAGGATTGCCAGTAAAGCAGGTCTTTCAGGGAAGATGAGTTTCGGATGTGTTAGGTGTGAGACACATATGAGATTATTCAAATAAAAATAGCAAGGAGGCAGTTGGATATATGAATCTAGAATTTGATAGACACAGTATTGGTACCTTTCATTCCCCTTTTCTTCTCTCCTTTAAAACTGCAGATACCTTCACAGATCCAGGAAGCAAGATATGGCCTAGATCAATCTTAATGACCTAGTGACCATCTACCCCTGTGTGATGCAGTTCAGCACACATGAACCAGGAGGTGAAGTGGCAGAGGGGGCTGTCTGCTCAGGGCTTCTCCAGTGCCACCATGGTACCCTGGTGACACAAAATGGGAATGATGAAACTCCCTACACAACACAAGAATGATGAAAACTTCCCTGGTCAAACTACTACCAGACTAGAGGGACCCTGGTCTTGGTTCCATGCTTCCACAGGCCCATCACGGATCAGCACATTGTCAGAAGCTTTAAAAAGCTGCATTATCTTTGACCTAGAAATTTCAAGTAAAGAAATTGGACTGAAGAAAATAAACAGACAACTACATGAAAATGTTGATCTCAGCATTATTTATGGTGGTGAGAAATGGAATACAACAATAGAAAATTAGTTAAATAAATAATGGTATATCCTTATGAGGGAATACTACATAGCTATTAAACATCATGTTGGAGGAAAAATTAATGGAACGGGGAAACGATCGTGATAGATTAAGGTTGCAAAACAATGTGTGTAATGTGCTCCAAATTATGGTGGGAGAGGGTAGTGGTGAGAATTAGGATTTTACATAGAAACAATACTGGAAAGAAAATCAAAAGGTTAGGAGAAACTACCTCTCCATGGCAAGATTATGGGTTCTTTTTCTTGTTCTCTGTGTTATCTTAGGTTTCCTAAATTTTCTGTTGTTTATATGCATTATTGTCATAATCAGAAGAAAACCACATTAAACAAAAACATAATAAAGGTTATAAAATTTTCAAAGTAATACTTATCCTAGTAATAAAAATCACTGCCTATTCCACAAGGTGCCATGAGGCTTAATGTGCTTGAAGATATAAAAGAAGCCTGGAGAGTATAACATAATACGTGGAACTGGAATCTTTCCACGGCATGATGATAATGGCCACTATTTACTCTGTCTACTTCACACTACAATTGCCTCCACTGAGGCTACAACAATACTGACAAACGGTTGCACAAAACTGACAGATTCCATTCACTCAATGACAGTCTGCATCTGATGCTCCTGGACCTAAGAAGACAGAAGGGAGAAAGCAGAAGCAGGAAGGAAGACCAAGGTCTTAGAGCTCTGCTAAGCCAAGTGTGGCCTTAGACTGGCGGCATCAACATCTCCTGGAAGCTTGTCAGAAATGCAGGAGCTGAGGCCCATGCTCCCACCCACTGAATCAGAACTTGCATTTCAATAAGTTCTCAGATGGTACCTATGCACATTAAATGTTAAAAGCCCTCTCCAAAATACAACACATTTCCCCAGTTTGAGGTGGGTTTGAGAAGATCTCAAGAAAAAATCAGACCGCTGAGTAGAAGTACTTCTCAACCAAAAATTTATTGTCTAAGAGATGTAAAATCACCAAATCATGCATAAGTGAAGAGCCTCCAGGCCTTTGGGTCATGCTAAGTCTCTGTCACTAACCCTGGAAAGCTATTATCATCTGATAAGCATTTTATAGGATGTGGACAGAAATCAAGCATTCTCTCTTCCACTTGAAGAATGCTGAGGCCTTGCCAGCTTGGTGGAGGGTTGTGCATGAATGGTTAATGGGGCACAGCCCAGAAGTGAACAGAAAAGAAACAAAAGTAGGTCAAAGGACTATCATGACATCTCCAGGCAAGGGCCAGGCATTTCCCAGCACTCAGAAGGCAGCTGTGTTGGAATCAGAAGAGGACAGGCTGAGTAAGAAGGCCACTTTTCTGACCCAAATGCCCCAGTTTGCCAAAAACGAGGGCAGGGGTGGGAAAGAAACCTTGATTACCATATCTGCAGTCCCATGGCTCAAACAAATTAGGTCACTCACCTCGTACATAAATTACTCAATATAAGATCCCTTTATGCTGCTTTGAAAATGGAGGAGACTAACATTCAGTAAGGCTGTATTCTATGCAGCATTTCTCAAGCCTGCTGTACCTTAGAATCACCTGGGCAGCTTTACAGAGTTCTGATGACTAGTTCCCACCTGGAACAGTTGTAGAGCAATCTGTGGTGGGGGCATGGTGCTAGTCTTTGGTAAAAAGCACCTAGGTGATTCTAATGCACCGCCAGGGTCAAGTAACTCTAAATCTAGTGCCTGACAGCAGCTCAGAGAAACAGGTGTAATATCATTCTCATTTTTAACATGATCAAGCTGGTGCAAGGTGGCAAAGAAACAGAGCTGGAATTTGAGCCAGGATCTGCTGTCTCAATCTAGAGCCCTTTGGTTTTTCTATGTCTACAGGCAACTTTATTTTCAGGGGACAAGAAAGCTAGGGGTCCTCTCAGAGTCTGACCTGAAATAACCTGCAATAGACTCCTATAGAACCTCCCTCTATTCACATCCTTCCCCCTCCCGCCTCCTCCCCAATAAACACCTGCACTCGCCACCGGACTGTGCTGACAGGGTCCAGAAGCAGGAGCCAGCGGACCAGCAGCTGAGAGGTGGGGAGATAGTGGGGAAAAGAGCAATGCCAGGAGCTACCATTCACATAGACAGTGATTATCAGGCACTACCCAAGCTACTTCGTGAATCCCACAACAACCCTTGGAGGTAGACACTTCTATTTTCTATTTTCTAACTGAAAAAAAAAAATGATGGAAGCATAGACAATCCAAGGAACTTGCTTGAATGCATACAGCTAGTAGGTAGCAAAGCAGAGAATTCAACCCAAAACCTGTTGGCATTTTTTCACTGTCTTATATGGCCTTAGTCTTATATGGACTTAACTGCAATATATGGGAGAACCATCAGTAGCAGAGAAAAATGAAGCAGTGACTTAGTGGTACCTCAATAAATTACTTCTAAAGCTTTGGAAATAATGGTGCTGATTCAAGGATGGCAAGGACTCACAACACTGTCACAAAGATTACTGCATGATAATCCTACCAACAACCCTGCCAAAGACTTATTATTATCCCAATGTTATGGAAAAGAAAACTATGGCACACAGACATTAAGTAATTTGACCAAGGTCCCACAGATAGAAAGTGTGAGAACTGGGAGTTGTAGCTGATGACAAATTTAGTGCCTCTTTCAAGCCACCAAGAGGTGAAATTTGGGAGGAGACCTTGTTTCAAGGTGGCAAAAAGTGAGCTGAACCACTAGTGAGCAGTTTACATTCTTCCTGGAATGTGGCTTGGCTGCTGTCACTTAGCAGCGTTGGGCTACTTTTTTAGTTAGGCATGTTTGTTTCAATCATTCAACCTGCGAAAAAAAAAAAAAGAAAAAAGAAAAAAAAAAGGAATGTCTGCTTTATTTATTCCTTGAGAGGAACAAGTAGCAAGGCTGGGAAATGTTGAGGGGTTAATGGCACCACAATGAACTGCAGCCCAGGGAAACCAATAAGCAAAATACAATGGCCCAGATGGGAACAGAACTTCCAAACCTGTACCAGAGAGAGCATAAGACTCAGAGTCAGCCAGACATCTGTCCAGGTCCTGAGCCTGCCATTCACAAGCCCTTATGGCAGGGGTCATGTTGAGTAACCACCTGATGCCTACTCTCCCTCTTCTGGAGAGTGATGATCCTACAATCTCAAGAGAGTGGCACAAGCACAAAAGGAGTGTACATTCTAAAGGGTGCTGCACCCCAGGCATGGAAGACATTTGCATTTTTATTTACCCATATGTGCCAGATGTCCCACTGAAGTGAGCACAATCCACACAGCCATGAGATATGGGGTAGATTCTATTGCTTCCCTCTTTATAGATGAGGACATTGAGGAACAGAAGGGTCGCCCAAGGTCCCATGGCAAGGAGGTGATGATGGTTCAGGGTCTGAATCTAGTTCTTTCCATCTTTGAAGTTGATGTCTTCTGCAATACCCCATGCTGCTCAGTCAGAATCACCTACTACATGTAGAAATGTACTTAAATGGCCATAAAGAGAATTCAGTTTTAACATTAGAAAGAACATCTAGGCCTTGAAGGCAGACAAACTCTAGAATAGATAAGCCAGAAGTTCCAAACGTGCTAGAAAAAACAGATTAGGAGCAGCTAGGAGTCTCTGAGGCATTCTATAGCAGAAAGAGCACAGGGACGCACCGTTGCCAATTTTCTTAGGTTAGTTCAATTAATAAATTAAATAAATAAATAAAACACAAAACTTAATAAAGAAAAAAGTCGAAACAATCTTCCCCAAACCATCAAAAATTCTATTAATTCATAAGCTACTACTCAGTACTTTATTTCTCTAGTCCTGCTTCAACAAATATCTACTTTTAAAAATACTTTTGGGGTTTAGCAGTATAGTGTTTAGTATTTTTTAAACATAATTTTTATCATGGCATTTTCCCTTGTCACAAAACACATTTTCAAAACAATACGTAATCTTTGAATAATATTCCGCTGCTAGGCTTGGCCACATTTTACTTATTCCACCCAATTGTTTACCTTTTTCCTCTCTTTTATAAATAACACTGCAATGAACATTTTTATTCTTAAATTTTCTCTGCCCATCTCTGATTATTTTCTTTGGCTAGATTCCTAGAATCAGAATACTGGACTAAACGGAATAAGTGTTCCGAAGTCTACTGACAGTTACTGCCAAATTGCTTACCTAAAAGGGTATATTAATTTGCATTTCAACCAGCAGCAAAGGAGAGTACCTGTCTCCCAGCACCCTCTCCAGGATCCAACACTGCCTTAAAAATAATCTCAGCTAGTAAGACAAGTGAAAAATAGCAGCATGAATCAGCATAGAGCATTCAAATAGTCTGCCTGTAGTCATACATCATTTAAATAGTCATCTACCTGTAGTCATACATTCAGTACGTGGCATACCCAGGAAATGAACCCAGTCCTCTAGCTCCAGAAGCTGGGTCCCTAACCATTAGCCCAAAGAACTTAACCACAACTTGAATTACTCAGTAGTTGCCATGTGTCAGCTATTGTTTTAGGAAATTTTACATTGGAGTTCACAATGGCAAGGATCCTTGCATTTTTTTTTAATCCCAACCTTAATCGAATGTCTTACAATGATAGAAATGTTCTATAACTGCACTGTCGAGTATGGCAGCCACTAACCACATGTGGCTGTTGAGCACTTGAAATCTGGCTAGTGCAACCAAGGAAATAAATGATTAGTTTTGTTTCATTTTAATTAAATTTAGTTTAAAATGTGACTAGTGACTACTATATTGCATAGAATAGCTCTAGATTATCTAGTGCATTGCTCAATAAATATTTATGAAGTAAAAAACTTACATGGTCTTCTAATTCCACCTACTTCTACCACATTTCTTTCAAGGCAAGAGCTGCCTTCTTCCTCCCTCATCTCTGTGTGTCCATTTGTTTTCTCCAATGCAACGTGAATGCTATTTATCTGTCATGTGGGATGATGTGAGGGTCAGCTAATTAATGTTTGCAAAGAGCTGCATTGCTGACTGGTTCTCAGAATAATTGCACATTAATAAAACGTTTAAATGATCAGTTCTCATCCTGAGGTCAAAGCAGAGCTGGGTTTATTTAGTAAAAAGCTGGTTTCTCTGACTCACCCTGAACTGGATCCTTTCACTGTGGACCTCATCAATACAAGCCCTTCACATTTAAAAGTTTTTTACCGAACAGAAGATACTGAAATTTACCTTCACAATAGTTTTGATGTCACAGTTTGATGAGTAAATTAATAATACAAACAAGGTTGGGGAGGGTGGATATTTAACCAACTTGAACAAATTGCTTTTAAGCTCTTAAGCACTTTAATTGCTTGCATGATAATGATGCAAATTTTTACATGTCTCGATCCACTTTCAAAGTAGGCCCAGAAAAAGGACCTCTAAAGGGAAACACTTTGCTAAATTATCAGTTTGAATTACATGGCATATTCTCGAAAGTTACAAAGTTGCCATTCTAGGAGAAACAAGGATTTAGGAGCCAGAGAGGCCTACCATCAAATGCTAGTTCTAGTGGTGTGACCCTGGGCTCAGCCTTACTGAGCTTCAGTTTCTCTGACACACAGAAAGCATTGAGTATGTGTTCGTTTTGTTCTTGCCTCATTTTCCATCTCCTATAGGATCACAGGATGAGAGGACTGATGCTGCCCCTCTGCACTTTATTTCCACTGTTTGTGGAAATAAAGATTATTCCCCAAATCTAAAATGAAAGAATGGGCACATCCCTTTATAGTGTCATTCTACAAATATAAGCAACTCCTCTTGACATCCAGGGGTCATGATTATGACTTTCTGAAATAAAGTCAGAGCAGTAGATAGCTTGAAATCTTGCTACTCCATGTGTGGACAATGGACCAGGAGCATGGCAGCACCTGGGAGCTGGCGAAAAATGCAGATTCTTGGGCCCCTCCCCAGACCAAATGAAGTAGAATCTGCATCTTAACAAGATCCCAGAACTAGGGGTGTGCACATTAGAGTTTGAGATTGCACTAACTTAACAAGACATGGAAACCACTCTCTTCTCCCAAACCAATTTTATAGTGAGGAAAACTGGCATCAGGAATTGGCAAGGTTTACCCCAGGCCATAAATGTACTAACTGCAACCCTTTTGTTTGACTTTCAAAGGGTGCAAGACCAGCCTTTCAGAAATCAACACTCATCCCACAGCGAGAAAAATCGACTTTCAAAGAAAAACATTCTTAAAACCTAATGTTCTTAAGGATTTTAATGATTAACCAATTGCCTCTGATACCCTTTTGCACTATTGGGTGAGGCTACAGTGATGCCATTGTGTAAAGCCAGTGCAGAACACACAGGGAAAGGGAACCGGGGTGCTGACCACTGCTCTGGAGATCCCATATGGCCTGTTTCCTTTCTGTTTTCCAAATGAAAGAAAAGCTCTGATTTGATGTTCAGAACATGACAAAGAACAGAAACACCCCTTCACCTTCCCTAGTGAAACTAGAGTGGCATAAGTATCAAAGCAGCATCTAAACCGTTGTCTGAAGTCAGAGTCAGCAACCAACAGAGCGGGCTCCCTCTGTGGTGACCACACCGTGAAACAATCCTGAGGTGACCTCTCTACCTGATCTAAAGGAACTCCTCATGTCTCCTGCTGAGCATGGGGGCACCTTGGAAATGGGAGGACTGGACTTCCCCCACTGGTTCCACTGAATTCTTTGTCAGATGACTAGCTATCTAACTACAGGGAACACATCTTTTCTGGTCACAGAAATCCCACACTTGAGAAGGGGTAACGGCAAAAGCACCCTCTGATTGATTGAACCATGCAAAGAGGGGACAAGATGCCTAACAATTTCCACTTTCAAAATAGCATGTAGGCATGTTGATTGATTGATTGATTGGGCCCTGGAACTGTGAAGGGAGACTCCGTGGGGTTGATTTTTCCTAGTAAAATGCCATACAGCAGGTGGAGATAAGCTTGCTGTGGGGTAGAGTCTCAACTGTTTGCTTTGTAAGATCTCCCAGGCCAGTTTAAGGCCTCTGAACCAAAGGGAAGGAGAAAGGTGGGAGGGGGAAATCCACAGCCTCAGCAAATGCTGAAGACACACACTCTTCTCGGAGGAACTATTTGTCATTCACCATGGAGCCAGCCCCACCTACAACGCTGAGGAACATATTTACATATTTCAACTCCATTGCTGGCTGAAGCACTCCAGAAAGTGATGATTCCAAGAGCCAGGGAAGAAAAATGTTCTTGGAAAAAGAATTTGTGTATCAGTTCAGCAGAACAGCTCAAAATTATGCAAATTCCCTGCTTGAAGTTTGACTGTCACCCCTGCCTTCTTCTACCACCTGGGCTTCCAAGCCTGTAAGGGACTGCAAAATAAATAGCCATATTCTGGTTAAAAAGATGAAAGAGACATCATGGTTTACCTAACTGCTTTTCATGTGTGACAGAAGCTTTAGTATGGTATCTGCCTTTAACCCTGAAATGCTACTTTCTAGGAATTCATCTTAAGGAAATACTAAAACTACACAGTATGTACAAGGATGGTTACTACAGTCTTGTTATGATAATAAAAAAAAATAAACACAAAGTCAAAAAATTAGGTACTCATTAAATTATATCTGTCATACTATAACATTGGGGGTCTATGTAGCATTACAAATGTCACCGTAGGAGGAAAAGAGAGCATGAAAAGTTTTGCATGCTTTATCATTAGATGAAAATAAGCATTCAAAACACTATACTAGGATCTCATCATTTTTTCTACATTCATAAAGTCACAAGGTACAACCCAAAATGTGGTGGAACATTTTGGCTTTGCTTTTCTCTGTAATGCCTGAATTTGCTACAGTGAGCACATATTACTTTGGTCATTAGAATAAAGACTGTAAAAGAAAAAAAAAGTAATAAATATATAACCCCGGAAGCAATAGGCACATATATCTACATGGCTTCATTAGACATTTTCCATACAGAGAACATTCAGGGATCCATGTTTGCTTGGCTCCCTGAGAACTGGGGCATATTACTTTCAAAGTGGCCCCCACAGCCCATCTGCCAGTGCAAAGCAAAGATGGAGTGATTCAGCTTTCAGTTACAATAAAAGCCAAGCTGATAGACCATGTAAGAAGGCAGGTAGAAATCGGCCCCTTAGATCTAGAATTGACATTGATTTACCCTGCTAGGCTCTTGGAATCAAATCTGCAAGGAGGTGATTTAAATCCTATTCTTCTTTTGTTTAACTTTTTAGATTAATGGATGTGGGAGAAGTTACTGGGACAGGAACTACAAAAGGTTTGGGCTGGGGCTGTGTAGCTGTTTGTTAGACCAGGACAGGGGCTGAGAACCCCGGGCGGAGACTTGCACCACTGGTGCTTATCAAGTCTCATTTTCCTTCAACCTCTAGCACAATTAGAGTGTGAGCTGGCATCTTAAATTGAGTCTTTTGCTTGTGTTGCCCAACAATCTTTAATTCCTAATCACCTTCTTTTCCCTTATTTGTAACTTTTGATTTGGAAATATCGGGTTATGTAACATGTCAATCTGCATGAGGATGCAACTCTGTCAGAAAAAGGGACTCAATGAAGCACAAATTCTAACAAAACTGGAAATGACTTTCCTAAGAAAAGAAAAGAAATTTTCATTTCACGCATTTGAAGCTGGTTTTAAATAGGCTGGATGCAAGGTTGGTGGTTCTTTCGGGGCTGTTGATTTCTCTGCCCAATCTCCACCCAACAAATGCAGGATGCTTCCTGGAAGGGGATAAGGAGGTAGAAAGGAACAAGCATCTGTGAAGGGACCACAGTATGCCAGAGGCCTTATCGATGTTAAAACTGACAGTGTTCAATAATATGAAAGATTTAAAAAGATGAGGAAATGTTCTAGGTTAAAAGAGTTTAAAGAGACATGAAAAGCTGAATGAACTCATAAGCCAGGATTTTCTATTGCTATAACGGACGTTATTGGGACAATTGGAAAAATCTGAATAAAGTTTATAGACTGGATCATAAAAAAAAACCCTGACAGTGTTGCAAACTAAGTAATATTGTGCCATTTTACAGGGGAGAGGACTGAAGCTCCAAAGACAATTTGCCTAAGGCCACAGAGCCATGATTCCAACCCAATAGTTAAGAGATTAAAGTCACATCCTATCACCTTACTCCCACAAAACCACAAAAGATTGAGGAGACTATACCAAATAGAATCAGATTCTATTGGAAGAGAGTCCGTGGGAACCCATTACTCTAACACCTAGCCTTCTACCTCATATTCCAGGTCACTCCACTCACTATAGAACTATCCTTTGATGGTTCTTGTTCAGACCAAGCACTAGTTCTGCCCGTTGGCATCCGCACTGGTCAAGGCCGGTCTATTAGGGTGGCTGATCCGCTTACCGCACCACTCTACCTCCACCCCCAAACAGAGGCCTTGATGAAAACAAGATGAGAGCAGAGGAAGAACCCAAGAACTCTTTCTAGAAAACCAAAGCTCTCCGTCCCTGATCCCTTCCCCCACCACAGAAGATGGCAATTCCACAAGCCTTCCGCACCCTGCCCTCCCCTCAGTTCAAGACACATGCTGGAAATAAAAGCTTCCCCGAATTAGCCCCCTAAAAGCACACAAACATCTATGCCCTAAGTCCTGGCTGAATATCTTGAGGACTTTCAGTTCCCCAAACATTTCCAAGGACCTACGGCACACAGGTGCCGCTAAAGGAGACACCCGTTCACTCCAGGCAATCAGCTCCAACAGGTCCAGTTCCACTAAGTGGAAGGGCTTCCCGTCAACACCCTCACCGGAGAAAACGGATTCCTCCTCAGCATTCCCTTATAACACCTGGAAAGGGGAAACCTGTTTTTTGTGCTATGTGTGACTTCGCTGCAAATCTCTCTGCTCCCCAACACATGCACACACACACACACAGGCGCGCAGAAAACTAGTTCCCACTGTCACCACCAGTGAAAACACCCCTCGTAACTTTGACGAGAAGGGCTCCCCCGCTGAAAGCCCAACTGCAGAGCGCCCGGAGCGCGCTGTGAGTCCGCAGGAACGCGGCCGGGCCGGGGACGGGAGAAAGGCGCGGCCGGGACCCTGCACTGTGCCGCGCGGCGCTTGCGGCTGGAACTTGGCCTGGAACGCGGTCTTCTCGGCTCCAGTTTCCCGCCCAGGCCCCGCCCACCCGGCCGCCCCGCTGGTTCGCACCGCTGCTCCGGCCACCGAGGAGCCCAAAGTTGGCGGCGTCCCGCGGACTCCGGCGGAGAGCGCGAGGGAGTCGCGGCCGACTCCTGTACCACGAAGACAACTGGAGGCCGGCGGGGGAGGCGGGCCACGAGGGGCTGGGGCGAGGGAGCTGGGATGCGCGGGCCCGGCTCGCCGGGAAACAGGTTGCCGCGGAGTCCCGTCCCCTCCCCCTCTGCGGTCCCCGCCGCGACCTGATTCCCGCCCTGCCCGGGGAGCTAACCCAGCCGCCTCCGGGGCGCCCTCCTTCTTCCTGGATTCCCACGGCTGGACCAGAGCCCCTCTGGCAGCCGGGTTAAAGGCTCCTTCAGCAAGGTCAAGGCGCGGCCGGCTGGCACCTGGGGATTTTTTTCCAGCCGAGCACTGGCTTTTCAATCGCATTGTTAAGGATCATGGCAGCGGCAGGAAATCCGAAGGGCCCCACAGGTCTGCGGGAGGGAGGATTTATTTTACAGCAAGGAACAGATTCAGACAGATCGGGGATTTCAGTGGGAGGGGACGAGAGGTTTCAGGACGCTGGAATGTGGCAAAAACAAAACACTCCCCACCCATGCACATCACCATCTCCTGACTGCGGGCTGGGGGGAAGGGAGTTCAGGGCCAATGTGTCCCAGACTTCAGCGTTCCCCACGGCTGTGTCAGGGCTGGGGTGGCTTATCCCCCTACAGACGAAAATCAAGATTTAAAAGCATACTCTTACTGTGGTTTCTCTATCAAAGCCCATCAACGTGATACACAGGCTGCGGCGCTGGAGGGAAGCGGCGAAACGGGGAGAATAAACGCAACAGAAGCAAACTGCTGTCTGCAGAGGCGAGAGGCGAAGGAACGGAAGCCATACCCGACCCCAGCCCCATCCCGTCCCCATCAGCGCCGGGCTAGCGCAGGAAACCAGGAATAGGTGTAGGTAAGGGTGGCAGCCCGGCAGAGCCAGCGTTCTACTCCCTCTAACCCCTCGCCAGCGTGGGCCTGGATGGCTGGGCTGCCTGGGCATCTCCAAGGGGGACCAGGCACCGCGGGCAGGTTTCTAAACACGTGAAGGGCACAGGGCTTGAAAGACAAGGAGGGGCGCCCAGGAAGGGCGGAAAAGAGGGGCTTTGGGGCTCCCCAGGACACCAAGTCAGTTTCTGAAAACGGCGTTCCCTGGAAGGCCTTCCAACACCTCCGAGGGAAGACTTGGAGCTCTGAAGACCCAATGAAACCTCAGTTCTGACTGACTCCTCCTCTGCGATCAATTCCGGATGCCCCCACTTAGTCCCTGCCTCGGTAACCGGTTCTTTGGGGACAGCAGCATCAGCACCCGACGCCCATCGCACAAGTGGGCGCCGTGGTGCGAGGCGTATCCTAGCTACCCAGGCCGGGGTGGGGGCGCCCCGGTACTTACACTCCCCAAGCAGGCAAACTTTCAGGCTTGTCTTTCGAGAACCGGGAGCTCGCATCACAGTTCCGGGTAATCACCGAGGCAGCTTATGTAATTGCCCGCGATGCCGCTCAGCAGATCTCTCTCCTTACTCGGCCTCAGAGCTCAGTACATGGGCACCCTCTTCCCCCCACCCCCCACCCCGGCGATTGGAATCCCGAGCTTGCCCCACCACCGCCTTCTACAAAGCAGCGGGGTGATCTCGTGTGCTACAAACACCAAGCCAGTATGCAGGTTCAGGCAAAACTCTGGCTGCCTCCCTGCGCCCCTTTCACTGCGTCGATGGTTTACAGATAACTGCATTTCTATAAACCCTCTCTCCACGGTTAGGGGGTGGGAGGGAGTTAGAGATCGGGTGGGGGCTTGGCGCGGTACTGTTGAGGGCTCTGCACCCAACTGAGCAGTAATACACTCATCCACATGGACGCGGGTGCATAAATCGCCTTAACATTTTGCCCTGAAAGCGGAGCCAATTTCCAAAGTTAAGGACCACGCAGCTGAATTTCCAGTACTTTCCAACCTCGCCTAGGCGGGGGCAGGCAGAGAAGGGGCGGGCAGCGGGCAGCTAACTCGCCCGACCCCCCCGCCAAGAAGGACTCACTAGGTGAACCCCCCGCCCTTCACCCAAGTAGTTGGTTGTGTATTCCTCGGTTGCGTGTGTGTGTCCACACACACACACACACACACACACACACGCCGCCCCACTACCTTCCAGTCTGCTCCTCCAATGTAACGACCGCATTTAAAAATGGCAATTAAAATGACTGAGGAGCTCGGTGATCACATTTCAACCCAGAGCACATTTCCCGAAGCTGGGGGTGAGAGTAGTCATACAGTCACACTCACACCCGGGAGCCCTCCAAGCGTCCATCTGGCGGCTGCAGCCTCAGTTGGCTCCTAGACGAACATCAATACCGCGGCCGGGCGCCCGGTGAGGAGAGGCGGGCGCCCCGCGGGTTGCAGAGGGCGAGGAGCTGGGGTCGCATCTCCAGGATCTGAGCTCCAACCACCGCCCGTGCGGGGCTGCTGCAGCCGGCACTTGCCCCGCAGGGCAGGCTGCAGCCGCTGAAGCCCGGCGCCGCCTCGCGGGCTCCTCCAGCGCCCGACGGGGGCCTGGGGCGAGCTAGTCTGCAGAGGGGCTGCAGGCGACCGGGCCGGGGCGGGGAACGGGATCCGGGAGAGGCAGACGAACCTGGGGCGCGCCGCCTCCCTCCCACCCGCTTCCCACCTCCCTGCCCTCCCCCAACCCTTGCTCCCAGGCTCCAGTCCGCGGCGGGCTCCGGGGGCTGCGGCGGCTCCAGGCTCCAGAACAGCTTGCCTCTTCGGCCACCCGCGCCCTAGCCTCCCTCCTCCTGGGCCAGGGGAGCAAGCAAACATCTCCCGGAGCCCTCGGCAGCCGCGTGAGCTACCCGAACCCTGCCCGGGCCAGCAGTGCAGAGGGCGATGGAGCTGGCGAGGCGTCGCCGCGGTCCCCAAGGCGCTTTTCCGTAGAGCGGATCACGCCGCCTTACCGTGGCTGCAGGCTGCTACCGCCGGGGAAGCGGCGAGGACGGCGGCAGGGAGGCAAGGCGCCGCGCCGGTGGCTCCTCTCTCTCTCGGCGGCGCGGCTCCTCTGCTCCGCGAGCCGTAGCGGGGCGCCCAGGAAGGAGCAGGTCCGGGCTCTGCGCTCAGCTCCAGCGAGACCAACAATAGCTCCCGCGGGGAGCGGAGCCCCAGCGAGCCTCCAGCCGCGCGCGCACGACCGGCTCCCGCTCCCGGCCGCTCCCGGCCGGCGTCCCTGCCAGCACTGCTGCCCCACATGAAACAGCTGCAATCCCGAGGCTTCTGGGGGGTTGGGGCGGGTGTGTGCGCGCGCGTGTGTGAGTGTGTGTGTGTGTGTGTGTGTTTAATAGCTTCCCTTCTCTTCTTCCCCTCCCTGCCTGCTCGCCTGCCTGCCTCCGTCCCCCACCCTCGCTCTCTTACACACAGAAAGAGAGGGCGAGCGAGAGAGAGACACACACACACACGCACACGCACACGCAGGTTACATGAATGGGAGGCGGTAGCCAATCCTACGAGGCCGGCGAGCCGCGCGGCGCACTGGCGCTGGGAGCAGGGCCGCACTCCGGCGCGGGGGGGCGCCACGCAGGTGATGGGCGCCTCTCCGGGGGCCACGCGCGGCCGCTCCCTCACCCCAGTCTCGGTTCCTCTGTCTCCTTCCCCCTTCCTCTCCGCCGCCTTCTCCATCTTCTCTCCTTTTACCTCCTTTGCTTTCTCGAGTTCTCCGAGCTCTCTCAGTTCGGTATCTTTCTGGTCTCTTTCTTCTTTTACCCTCCTTGCTTGCTTTCTCTTCCCCTTTCTGAAACTTTCTCTTTTCCTTTCTGGACTTTCTTGTACTTCCTCTCCTCTTGCCTTTTGTTCTTTCCTCCTCCTTTGGCTTTCTCTCCAGGCTCCCCGTAGCACGGTCTCGTCCCCTCTCCCTCCTCTTCGCCTTTCCCTGGGTCTCTCTGGCGCCCAGGGCCTCCCTTCTGCCTGCTCGCTGGATGTTACTCCACACCCCCCACCCCAACACTTTTCTAGGGACGGTCTCTTTCAAGTTGCTACTGCAGCACAATCAGAGTAATTAAGAGCTGAGATCTTGAGTTCCTTCTTCAGGCATGCAAGATGCCCAAAGAAAGGCCCTCCTTCCTCGGACAACTTCCCCAAAACCATGGTAACAGCTACTGAGTCGTGATAACAATCACTTAAAAAATAGCAGTGATTGCGGTCCAAGAGATTTCTGTCCCTCGAATGTTTGGATCGTGATGGCAAGCACATTTCCAAGAGAAGGGCATTTTTATGTGATGAGAGCGGTAGTTTGACTGAGTGGCAACTTGGAAGGGCTTTGGGGAAGAGACTGGAGGAATTCCCACTCCAGCCCTGCTGCCTGCTGGCTAAAGGACTTAGTGCGAGCCATTTCCCCTTACCCGGCTTCAGTTTTCTCATCTATAAAATGGATGATACCGACTTCACCAGTTTTGGTGAGGATTAAAAGAGAGAACAATGGAAAGAAAGCACTGGGTGTATATGAGATGCTTAATTTATGTTAGTTTCCTTCTTTAAGACAACTTCCTTCATGATCTTCTGCTACAGTGTGTCTCTCTGATCTAAAGTAGTCAATGAAGGAGGAAATGTGACAATGCTAATTTCACATAAATGTGAAAGGAGGGGTAGGCTATTTTGAAAACTCTTCTGTGTGGTGAGGAGACTGTCTAGCCAGTTGCCATATGCTGATTATAAAGGCATCACAGATTATAAACGTGGGGTGCTGGAATGCCCCTTCAACATCTCATAACTAGGGCATCTCAGAAAGGCAGGGATGGGTTGGGGTGGGTGGGAAGTTTCCACACAATCTGTCCAATCTATTTTTAAAATCTTTATGATAAGTGTACAGTGACCAGTGACAAAGCCTCTGAGATTAACTAAAATGTCAAGTCTCTGCCTTTGAATAGCATTTATCAACTTTGTGTCCTCACTGCAGACATCAAATGCTGGGCATCAGCTGTGATTGGCAGTTAGATTTAGTCCTTCAACAAATATTTCTTGACCACCTACTTTGTGGCAGGTGCTGTGATAGGTCTCGGCATTCAGTGGTGAGACAAACAGGCCCTGTTTTCTGAGCTTACAGTTCAGTAGGCATGTTTCATGAATGTACACTGAGAAAATGAGACACATGTACCTGAAGGAGTAACATTGGTTTGGTGGACAAATTCTTTCATTACAGAAGATCCAAGACAGGGAGTATAAGAAAGGGATCTTTGAGAGTGATAATTTTGCAAATCACTTTCAGTCTATGCATTTCATTTGACCAGTGAGAAAAATGAGACCCAGATGCTAAAAGTAGTGGGTGAAAGTATGTTGAGAAACAAAAAATATATATAGGTTCAAAGTATCTGCCCACATGATACTGATTAATTTCAAAGGGGAAAATAGTAACTTTTCAATAGAAAACCTGAAAGACTCCACCTTGAGTGATTAAAATCAGTATTAGCAGGAATGTGACAAATAGACATCAAGTGGCCCCTGATATAGTGCACTGGGAAGGACATATCACTTCTGTGATATTCCTGGTAGACATGAATAACCTGAATCTAATCATGAGGGATGCCCAATGGAATTGTTGGGAGTAAGGGAAGACTTCCCATAGGAGATGACAGGTTCTCACTCTGTCATCCAGGCTGGAGTGCAGTGGTGCCATCTTGGTTCACTGAAGCCTCAACCTCCTGAGCTCAGGTGATCCTCCCACCTCAGCCTCTTGAGTAGCTGGGACCACAGGCATGTGCCACCACACCACGCCAAACTAATTTTATTTGTTTGTTTGTTTGTTTTACAGATGAGGTCTCACTATGTTGCCCAGGCTGGTCTCAAATACCATCAATCCTCTGCCCTAGGCTTCCCAGAGTGCTGGGATTATAGGTGTGAGCTACCATACCTGGCCTTGAGCTGAGTTTTGAAGGCAAGGAATTAGCTAGACCGTGAAAGGAGGGGAGATGCTTTTTAGGTACAGGCAATAGTATGATGACATGGACAAAAGCATGAGACACTCATAGCAGAGTTGGACATATTGGGGGAGGGTCTTGGAGGAGTCTAGATGAGTCCCTAGCATCTAGGATTGGATTTTGACAGGGCCTGAAGGAGGCTAAGGATCCAAACATCCTGAAAGTTCAGGTACTGGGGCAGAAGGAGGGTAGACAGTTAATAAAGGCTTTTAAGAAGAGGAAGGATGTGATCTTGAGTGTGTTTTCAAAAGATGATTTGGCAGCAGTGTAGAGAAATGGATTAACTGGGGTGACTTAGGAAGAGTAGAGGCAGGAAAAAGTAGGTCATTTAGGGAAACTAAGGCAGTTGCAATGAAGCCAGAAAAGGGAGGAGAGATTTGAGAGAGATTGAGGATGATTTTGATTTCTGATTGGATGGGGGTAGCAAGGAGAAGCCCAAAGTGACACTCAGTTTTCAAGCTTGGGTATCTCAATAGAAGGTGGTACTACTCATTGCGATGTCAAGAGTATTCAGGAGGAAGTAGAATTCAGGGAGCATTTTAGAGGGGGGAAAAAAGGTCAGTTGCTACCATGTTATAATCTAACTCTATAGCTAACCGGAGATTCTCCTATATGGCTGCTCTGTGCCATAGGAAACACTAGTTGTAAAATTCAGCCTAAGACCTCCAAACAGCCAGCTCTACGTATTGCCCAGAAAAACAGGAGATTGGATATAATGACAGTACATTATTTGTAATAATGGGAAAAAAATTGAAGCAGCCTAAATGGTCAAATAAAATAAGTAAACTGGAGGACAGCCTTTGTTGGAATATTATGCAGCTACTCGAAAGTGTTTTTGCAGTTTTTCGTGCCATAAAAAAGTTAGTATTGTCATATATAATATTTTAAAAGAGAATTCAAAATTGTTAGCTACATAAAAACCCTCTTGCAGAAAAGTCTGAAGAAAAAAATGCCAAATATTAACCGTGTTTTCTTCTGGGTGATGGGGTTATGAGTAATATATATTTTCTTCTTTATACTTTTTCTGGCATTTTATAATCTTCCTACTATAAACATTCATTATTCCATTATAAAAACTTTTTAAAGCTGCCATTAAAAAAACACAAAGACATGGCTATGATCATTCCCCCTCCCCTGACTTTATCCCTTTTCAATCCACCGTTCCCACTCCCCCTGAAGAGTAACTGCGTTTTGAGTTTTATCTCTGAGAGTGAAATAAGGAGGCATTTAACAAATCAGGGGAAATTAGTAGCTGGGCTAGAGAGGGGGAGAGGGCATTCTTATGGAGGCAGATACATTATGAGAGCTGTTGAAACTGTATATATTAAAGATGTTTGCATTGCCCTTATTGATTCTGTGATATGTTACAAGCAAAAGAAAACATATAGTGGGGTCAAGAAAATGTGAGTCTTTAAAGGGCAAGTTTTAATTAGCAAATGTATTTATTTGCAAAAAAAAAATCCTTCCCTTCAGAGTCCAGCTGTTACTATAAAATTGTTTCAGGGAGTAAGTACTTCAAAGCAAGAAGACACTGAGGAGCAAGAGGCAATGCCTCATGCCTGTTGTCTGACACCACATCAAATATGCAAGTTGGTTACTTAGGATTTGGACACCTACTGATAAATGCCATCAAACTTCCATAATTAGAGGGTGAGAAAAGTGCCTGCCAGAGGATAGTCTCAGTCTTTGGAAAAGTTGCTGTAAATAGTTCCCTGGTGAGGTTACATCTGCATCTCTGATTTTCGTCTCACAGAAATATTTACCCTGTGGGTAATTTCCCCAACCTAATAATAATAACACCTTACACAGCATAGCCCTTTCACCTTTTCAAAGGGCCTCCGCATCTGTTGATTGACTCAATCCTTGTACCCACGCCTGCTGGAATCCTACTTCCAGTGTGCACCAAGAGGAAGAGGGACCCAGAGAGGTTCAAACAAAGAGGCAGAGCAGGGGCTAGAACTAAAAGAAGGAATAAGAGACATTCTTGAAGAGCCTTCTGTGTGGCCCTGGAGCTTCCACGGTGTGTTATCACATAGAATTGTGATAACTAGAGGGGGAGAGTGAACACACTGAGGCTTGTGAGGTTCTGGCTCAGCCGAATCAGAATCAGAATCCAGCTCTCCAGAACTCCCAAGCCACTTGCCTTTCCCAGCATAGCCCCATTTTTAAAAGCCAAGAGGTGAGGCTGGTGGTGATTTTCTGTCTGACTGACTCCATTTAATCTGTGAGCTGTCTTTCTGTGAGGTTTGTCTAACCTGTGAGTTGTCTTTCTGTCTTATAGGTATTAGAAGCTAGTGTTTGGGGATTTGGTGATTAACAATGACTTTTGAATTATCTCATAGAAAATAAGGGGAAAGCCTCTGCTTGGGTTCACCATACATATTCCCTAAAAGGGAAATGATTGGAGCTTGTCCTCCATTTCACCCCTCATCCTGAAATGTTTAGCAAAGTACTGGCACTTACAGGTTCTTAGTAAATATTCCTTCACTGAGTGAAGAAATGAATGCTAATAACAACAATAGCTAGCATGCATTGAGCATTTTGCCAGGGGATGAGCAAAAGGCATTATCTTATTTAAATTGTAATGCTATACTTTGTGGTAGATATAATTATTATCCCTAATCCATGGGTCAGAAAACTGAGAAGTTAAGCAAATTATACAGTCACATAACTAATAAATGGCAAGGCCAAAGTCCACCTTGGATTGTTCTCAGCTACCACACTTTATTGGATGGATGGATGGATGGATGGACAGATACAATTAATAATACCAGCAGTGCACCGGGCATGGTGCCTCAGGTCTGTAATCCCAGCACTTTGGGAGGCTGAGGTGGGTGGATCACCTGAGGTCAGGAGTTCGAGACCAGCCTGACCAACATGGAGAAACACCATCTCTACTAAAAATACAAAATTAGCCAGGTGTGGTGGCCCACGCCTATAATCCCAGCTACTCGGGAGGCTGAGGCAGGAGAATCTCTTGAACCTGGGAGGCAGAGGTTGTGGTGAGCCAAGACTGTGCCATTGCACTCCAGCCTGGGCAACAAGAGCGAAACTCCATCTCAAATAATAATAATAATAATACTAGCAGTGAAGTGAGCTCTGCATGAACGGCAATACATTTTATGGTATGGCTAATCTTGTCCATTACTCTATATGGTTGCACCCTGTTTATTTCCTTCATGGTATATTTTAGAAGCTGCAGTTACTTGTTTCTGCATTCATTTTACTTTTTAAATCTGCCCAACTGCAATCAATATGAGTTTCATAAGTGGAGTGACCAGGAGTATCTTGTTCACTGTTGTGATCCCCAGCACCTAGCACAGTGCTTGCCACAAAGTAAGTGTTCAATAAATATTTCTAAAATGAATGAATGAATGTGGGCTCCCCTCCTTCCTAAGCAGTGGAATGCCTGTGAACATATATATACCTATGCACTGTTGATAGGGGGTATTTTACACAAACTTACTCCATCTCCATGCCAACGGTATACTTTCTGCCTTTGAAGGCATATGATTTGGGCAGTGGGGCTCAAATTCAGATGAGCCTGTAATGGTTCTGATGTCAGATTGTACTCCTCCACTGACATTTGCTCCCAGATAGCAGGGAAAACACTGATCAGAAAATAGCAGCATCTGTTGTGGTCAAAGGTAACGAGCTGGCAAAACTCCGTGGTGGAAGCATCCCCCTGATTAGGTCAGCCTCCACTCTCACAACAGAGAGGAAGTGTATCAGCTGACATTGCTTGCATAATGTTTCTTTCTGAGGGCTGGTCTCCTCAAAAAGAGCTCTCCTAAAGCATTCTCCTGCATGCTTAATGCCATGTGATGCTCTCCAAAAGGGATGCGCCAATTTTTTGTCCTATCTCTTCCCATCATTTGCCTAACAGACTTCCTTGCCACTCATGTGGATTTGCTTTTTTCATGCATCAGGTGACAGGTGCTAGTCCTCTGCAAAAGTAAATTACATCCATTTCTTAGTCTTACAATTCTGCAGCCTTCATTAGATCTGCATATTTGTCCAGACGACCATGGGTGAGGTAATCAAGAATGAAACAGACAGAATAAACAAAAGAGCCTCCACTAAATGACCAAAGTCTCTGTAGGGTGATTCTAATGATGGTCATGTAAATGACGTGTCAGACACTGACCTAAAGCCTTACACATATTCATACATTTAATCCTTACAACAACCCTAGAAAATCAATTCTTTACTACTCCCAAACCAGACTGCAATTCAGTACTTCAAGGCCTTATCAATCTGTAGGACAATTAGGACTTATACACTGTTCTGTTTTGCACATTATATTTTTCATGTATAATATATCTTAAAAATAGTTCTATCCATCTAAATATAAATAGGTGTATATATGTGTATAATACCTTGGAAATTGGTGTATTACTTTTCATACTTGCATATGTTTTAAAAGACATTTGACTTTTTCATCGATTCATAATAATTGTACATATTTATGGAGAACATGTGATATTTTGAAACATGCATGCAATATGTGATGATCAAATCAGGGTATTTAGGATAATTCATCACGTCATTTATCATTTATTTGTGTTGAGAACATTTCAGATCTTCTAGCTATTTTGAAATATAAACTCAATGGGCTGAGTGCAGTGGCTCACACCTATAATCCCAGCACTTTGGGAGGCTGAGGAGGGTGGATCACTTGAGGCCAAGAGTTCAAGACCAGCCTGGCCAACATGGCAAAACCCCATCTCTACTAAAAATAAAAAAATTAGCTAGGCGTGGTGGTGGGTGCCTGTAGTCCCAGCTACTCAGGAGGCTGAGGCAGGAGAATTGCTCGAGGGAGGCAGAGAATGCAGTGAGCTGAGATCATGCCTCTGCACTCCAGTCTGGGCAACTGAGTGAGACTCTGTCTCAAAAAACAGAAAAGAAAAGAAATCTACACGAAATTATGGTTTACTGTAGCCACCCTACTGTGCTATGAAGCACTGGAATTTATTACTTCTATCTAACCGTATGTTTGTATCCATTAACCAGCCTCTCTTCACCCCAACCTCCAATGCTTCCCAGACTCTAGTAACTATTGTTCTACTTTCTGCCTCCATGAGATCATTTTTTTGGCTCCTACATATGAATGAGAACATGAGACATTTGTTTTTCTGGGCCTGGTTTATTTTACTTAACATAATGATCTCCAGTTCCATCCACATTGCTGCTAAATGACAGGATTTCATTCTTTTTTATGACTGAATAGTATTCCATTGTGTATATATACCACATTTTCTTTACCTGTTCATCTGTGGATGGAGAGATAAGTTGATTTCATGTTTTGGCTATTGTGAATAGTGCTGCAATACACATGGGGGTGCAGGCATTCCTTTGATATGCTGATTTCTTTTTCTTTGGAGAAATACCCAGTAGTGGGATTGCTGGATCATATGGTAATTCTATTTTTAGTTTTGTTGTTGAGAAACCTCCATACTGTTGTCAAAGCAAACTAAATATGGTCTGAGAAGGACTCCATACTTCCATACTTGAGTCCTCATGGACGAACGTAACCTAACTTAACAGGTAGACAAGATTGAAAGCCTAACTTAGGAGTAAGCGCCTATAGCAATAGCTGAGTCTTGGCAAATCCCAGCAGCCACACTTCAACCACTCATACACAGCTGAATGTTCAAACTGTGTTCAAATAAGACAAACTCCAAACTGTAACCATCCAGCTGTTTCTGTACCTCACTTCTGATTTCTGTAGGTCACTTCCCTTTTTTTGGTCTATAAATTTGTTCTGACCACGAGGCACCTATGGAGTCTCTCTGAATCTGCTGTGATTCTGGGGCCTGCCCGATTTGCAAATCATTCATTGCTCAATTAAACTCCTTTAAATTTAAAGTTTGTCTTTTAACACTGTTTTTCATAATGGCTGTACTAAGTTGCAAACTATTTTATTATATAGACATAGCCTATGAATTTAATCACAGAGATCACAGTGATTATGATATATTTACTTAAATAAATCTCAAGCAAGTAAACAAGGTAAGACACATAGTAGCTGCTCACAAAAGTTAAATTATATTATCACTATCAAGTCTGTCGACTATTAAAGTAACCCAGAGGAAACTGAAGTTTCAAATTAGTTTCACAAGATACACATTTTAATTGATGTATTGAGGTAACTGACAAACCACTGGGAGAGGGCTATAGTATGTCTTTAAAAATGTTCACACTGAATGTAAAAAAGGAAAATATGAAAAGAAAACATAGGTGACAATGTATATGATTTTGGATGTGAAGAAGGAAGACCTTTTAAAATGTAAGATGATAAAGAAGATATTGTAAAGAAAAATGTCAGTGTATAAAAAAATAAAATGTTTGTATATTTTAAAATCCAAGATAAAAATCAACAAAGAACAAAATTCTGGGGGAAGTATTTGAAACATACATGAAAATGTGCTACTGTTCTTAATATATAATAAGGTCTTATGAATTTATAAGAAAAAAGTGCACAAAGAAAACCCTGTCTCTACTAAAAATAGAAAAATTAGCCAGGCATGGTGGCAGGCGCCTGTAATCCCAGCTACTGAGGAGGCTGAGGCAAGAGAATCGCCGGTGGGAGGTGATGGTTGCAGTGAGCCAAGATCGCACCACTGCACTCCAGCCTGGGTGATGGAGTGAGACTGTGTCTTAAAAAAAAAAAAAAAAAAAAAAAAAAAAGCACAAAGGACATAAAAAGCTAATTTACCATAAACATATACAGCTAGGCATGTAACATATATTTAAATCATTAATAACTCCAAGAAAACAAGAAACAAAAACATTGAGTTTTTCTGTTTTGTTTTTGCTTATCAAATGAGAAAATGTAAGAGAAGAATAACATGTACAGAAAACAGTTAACTTTACCTATACCGCCAATGGGTATATATTGGTACAACCTTTCCAAAAAATAATATGGCAATATATACTCAAAACCTTTTATTGTGTGGAGCTTTTGACCTAGGTATCTATGTCTACATTTAATGAAATTAATTCACGGAAAATAATGATGGGTGGACCCCCAAAATTATATAAAGGGGTTTCATCAGTGTTAGTAGCAATAGAGGCCAATTGGGAACAATTTAAATGTCAAGAAACTACTAAATGATCAAATGTATTATGGTACACAATTGTATGATGAAGTATTATACAGTCATTATAGATCATGTTATAGAAGAATTTTTAATGAATCTGGAAAGGAGTCATAATATTTTTGTGACCTTTCTTTAATGTATTATGAAAAATTTCCCCCAAAATAAAAAAATCCATAAATTGATTATAGCAATTATTTAGCTTTAATTATTGTCAATTCATGTCCAATCTTGTTTTATCTACACCCTTCCCTACCCCCCTTATTTTGAAGGACTTTCCCTGATTGTTTCATAAATTTCTCTTTTTTTCGTTTGTTTGCATCAGGATCCAAACAAACTCCATGTGTTACAACTGGTTGATTTATCTCTTAAGTCTCTGTCTATAGGTTTTCAGCCATCTATTCTTTTCCCTGCTTATACATTACTTTTTTTTTTTCTGAGAATGCTTCCGTCTAGTTTTTTTTTATTTATTTTTTATTTTTAAATTTATTATTATTATACTTTAAGTTTTAGGGTACATGTGCACAATGTGCAGGTTAGTTACATATGTATACATGTGTCATGCTGGTGCGCTGCACCCATTGTACATTACTTTTAAAGAGATTGGGTTGTTTGTCCTGCAGAGTTTCCTGCAATCCAGGTTATTGATTGCAGCCTTCTGGTGTGGTTTAACATGTTCTTCTATGTCTTATATTTCCTGTAAACTTGTAATTTATTCTAGAGGCTCAATCCAATTCAGAGTTAATTTTTTTTGCAAGACTGCTTTATAGATGGTACTGTGTACTTTCACAAGTCTTTGTATTGTTAGCAGCCTTTGATGCTCATTTCCTACATTCATCATCTCACTAGAGTTTGCAAACTGATGATATTCTATCATTGCTTCCTTACTTTTAACAGGAATACTTCAATAAAAAGAAACTTCCTCTCATCAACTATTTGGTTACCCAAAAGGACAGGATAAATATTTGATTTTTTCATTTTATTTGCCAGATTTCCAAAGAATGAGTTGGTTCCTTAGAATCTTCCAGAGGCGGTCCCGCCCACCCATTAATGCATCCTGCATACAACAGCCAGATTAATCCTCCTAAACATGACCTTCATCATCCTCTCTACTCAAAAACCTTCACTGGCTTTCTAACGGCCTGTGGAATAATCCAAAATACTTGTGGGACGTTAAAGGTGTGGTATAAGGTGTGCTCCTCCTCCTCCAATCCTATTTCTCACTGTCTCTTTACAGCAGTGTTTCTCACCTCAGCTGGACATTTTGGTCCTGACAATTATGGACATTTTGGACCTGACGATTTATTGTCGGCCACTCTCAGGCATGTGGTAGAACTTTCGGCAGCATCCCTGGCCTCTACTCACTACATGCCAGTAGCACCCCCTTACCCGAATTATGACAAACAAAAATGTCTTCTAACATTGCCAAATGTCCCCTCTGGGGGGCAAAATCACCCCAGCTGAGAGCCACCAGTCTATAGGAAGGTCAACTCTGTTCTCCCACCCCCAAAATAATAATAAAAACAGACATTCATTCATTCAAAAAAAAAAAAAAAAAAAAAAGAATCTTCCAGAGGCAGACAATGTGTGTGTGTGTTTCTATTTTATAAATCAGTAATGAGCTCATGTATTTAAATATGTTTAATATATTTTCATTTATATATTGATGTCCAAATTGTCCCATCTTTGGTCTGTGGCAAACATCTTCATATTGATTCTCAAGTGTTTGATAGCCTTCTTTCTTTCTTTCTGGAATAAAAGATGTTCTAGGCTAATCTTATATCTTTCCTAAGCCAGACGTGAAATTGTCCAGGACCTCCTCCTTTCTTTTTAAATGGGAAATGTTTTTTAGAAACCACAGTCTTGTTACTAGGAGTTGCTCATCGCCACTGGGTTGGTATTGTTTCTAGCCTTTTTCTATTGGAATGGCTAGGATATATATAATTTTTTGAAAAGAAAATTTGCTATGAGTTTATACCAAACTTATAACTCAGTTTTTACTTAACCTATCAGTCTTCTATCTATTGCTCCTTTCTTCCATCACAAATAATAAATGATGCTGTAGAAAAATATGTAATTTGGGGAAATAGTCATAATATATATTTCAGTGGAAAATAATCTTATATATATACCAAATGTATAATACCAGTAGTTATTTCTTAATAAGATTAAAATGAATTTTTAGTTTCTTTTTTTTTTTTGCTTTTTAGTATTTAAACATTTCCATAAGGAATTCATTCTATTTTTGCTATAAGAAAAGTTTTGCTAAAAAAAACAAAAATAAGCCAGATGGTATAAATTATAATATAGTAAACTGTCTGCCAATCTTATACGTGGGTAGAATAATGATAATCCATTACATCTGTGGAGTGCTTTACAATTTACAAAGCATTTTACATCTATTATCTTTCATGATCATCACAACAGCATTGTGAGGAAGATCGAATAGAAATACTGTTTTATAGATAAGAAAATTGAGGTTTGAAAGGATCACATATGATGGAATCAGGGCTAGAACTCATAGCTCCTGATTTGGTCAGTGTTCTCTCCCTTGCCTCTCTATCTCTAGATGATTCTTACTATGTTTTCTCTCATTTTTCAGGAAGACAAGAAGACCCAGTAATGTTCTGCCTGCTACTTCCATTGCTATCCTTAGAGCCCTCTTTCTTCAACATAAGACTTGGAGGCCCAAAATGCCAGTACTTCTTTTTCAACTTTATTTTTGTCAAAGTTATTCATAAACATAATTTTAAAAGCTAAATATCACACAAGGATTTAATGCAAAACAGAGTCCACTGACCTACAATTCACCATCCAACTACACCTAATATTCCCTCTCCCCCGAGGCAACCATTTTAACTATTTGAGCTGTTTCTTCTAAATTTTATTTCCATATTTCTAAATATTCTGCTTCTACTATATTCTTGATTCTTTAATTGTTAGAAACTATCAGTATACTTCCTACTATTGAAGATGATCATTTAACTTTTTCCTCTTTATAGACACTTCCCTTTTCCCTATATCTTCAATGCACTTACATTAGAATTTTTATTAATGTTAGTATTGTCATTATTATGTGTGAAAAATTACTCTCAACTAAGCCATGTAGTGTACTATTATGTACTATATTGTTTTAATTTTTGTTTTCCCTTGAGTTAATAATTGCCTCTTTTCCTTTCATATTTGCTTAGTGTTTTAGGTACCTATTGCTATTTCATCCCCAAACTATCAAATTATAAATCTTCTCTCAGTACATTGCAGTATATCAATCTATCTCCTCCCCTCCCCTCCCTTACCATCCCCTCTCCTCCCTTCCCCTTCCCTTTCTCATAGAAATTTTATTTCCTTTTGTCTAAACTGTTCCCAATATAGGCTCCTTACTTTCTAGTCCTGCTGCATAGTTCTTGTTTTAAGATCCCTTGCCACCGTATTCCTAGGGATTTTATTGGATCTCTCTCTTGTATTTGTACCTTTTGTTTCCAGGATCCTGTATCTTCCTCTTTGTTTTTTTCCTCTTTATGCTGAGAACAAGTGTATAGAAGGTAAAGTTTTTGAGACCTGCTTTGGCTGGTTATAGAATTCTAGATTGAAAGTACATTCTTTATTATTTTAATGACCCTGATGGTTTTATTGTCTCTTGCTTTCAGCGTTGCTTATTAAAACTGACGGAATTTTGTCTCTTTCTCCTCTTTGGGTGGACTTTTTATTTTTCCTGCTCTCTGCAAATTTTTAGGATGGTCTCCTTTTCCCAGAGTTCAAAATTATATGAGGATCGGTGTGGGTCTTCCTTCATCCAATGTGCTGAACTGTGGCTGAGTTCTTCTACTCTAGAAACTCTGAGAAATTTGTTTATTTCATTGATAATTTCTTTGTTCTCTAGTTCCAAAGTCATCTTATTCACATATTGAATAAGATATTGAACCTCTCAGACTGTTTCTAATTTTTTAATCTTCTCTTTCCTATTTTCTACATTTTTGTCTCTTTGTTTTACTTTTGGGAGATTTTCTCAGCTTTGCCTACCAATCCTTCTGTAGACATTTTTATTTCTGCTGTCATATTTTTAACTTTCAGAAGCTTGTTTTAGTTTTTTGTTTTGTTTTTGAAATGAGGTCTTGCTCTGTTGCCCAGGCTGGAGTGCAGTGCTGTGGTCACAGTTCACTGTAGCCTCTACCTTCCCAGCTCAAGTGATTCCCCCGCTCCTCAGTTTCCTGAGTAGCTGAGACTATCACCATTGGGAGATAGTCTCACCATTTCTATACAGATTTCATTTACTTCTCCTGTTCCTTTTTTTAAGCACAGTATATCTACCTTTAGCTGAGCTGTTTTCCAGAAGTCCAGACTTTCTCAGGCTCACTTACTATAGTCAGTAAATCTCCAGTCCTCTCCTTGGGGGTTGACAGTGCAGGCACTCAGGAAAACAAAACGGAGAAGGGAACCTTAAGACAAACAACCAATTTTCCTTTTTTCCAACCCCACCCAGGCCCCTACTTTCAGAAATGCCTGAGGCTTCCCATTTCTGAGGTTTCCTAGTGCTCTGCAATGAAAATCAGATCCCTTCTGGATGTTTTCCACTGATAGCTTAGGTTTCACTTTCTCAGGTCTGCCTGTCAATTATTTCTTGTCCATCTGCTTTATAGTTCCAAAATGCTATTGTCTTCTCATTGGTTCTTTTTTCCTTTGTAGTTTTCTGCTTTCTTATCATTTCTCTGTCATTTTAGTAGGTGTTAGGGAAAGAACAGAGGTAGAAGTGTGTTTCTTCCTCTGTGTGTAACTGAAGTTCAAACTCTTCTTCCAGGCCAGTATTTTAAGAGGTATTCAACCCATACAAGGGTCTTGAGCTCTTTCTCTGAGAAGCACTGTGGCTCCACTGTTTACAGGATTATAGATGAATCCGGGAGGCAGAGTGGCATCATCTTTAAAACATAGATAATAACATCTGCCTAACTGGTTATTGTAAGGGTAACCGGGATGATGTTTGATCTGTAGTTTCAGATTCTAATAATTTGAAGAATGTCAATAAATAGCAGCTATGCTGTTTTTAATATTATAATTACTGGCAGACTGTGTTGGGGTGGACAGCTCATTGAGTTACTAAGGGAAGTGGTAAGGCAACAGTAGGGAACTAGAAAATCCTCTTCTACAAATGCTTTGATAAGAAGTCCTGGATTGCAGAAAGTAATAATTGATGATAGTAGCTAATATTTACTAAGCGCTTATTGTACCTCAATTACTGTGCTTCACAGGTTATCTCAATTAAGCATCACAACAACACTATAAATAAAAACCATTATTATCTTCATTTTAGAAATGAGCAAATTGAGGTGTGGTAATGTTAAATCACTTGGTCAATATCACACAACAAAGATGTGGCAGGTCTTAGATTAGAACCCACAGTTTGCTTTAGAGCTGTTACTCCTAATACCGAGGCCAGAGCTTCTCAAACCTTACCGTCATCACAAATCACCAGGGGATCTTGTTATACAGCGCAGCTCTGGCTCAGTAGCTCTGGTGTGGGGCTGCAATTCTGCATTTCTAACAAG
Organism: Homo sapiens; assembly: GCF_000001405.40. Taxonomy (NCBI): domain Eukaryota; kingdom Metazoa; phylum Chordata; class Mammalia; order Primates; family Hominidae; genus Homo; species Homo sapiens. The sequence goes on from NC_000011.10 coordinate 79,456,155, forward strand.
CTCCCAGGTGATGCTGATGCTGCTGGTCCCAGGACCACACTTCGAGTAGTGCCTAGACTGTACTCTCTATGCTGGCCACATCATATGGAACCTAATTTGTCCCAGGTACAAATGGGACCACAAGAACAGTGATGGTACCCATCACACTGTCGTTCTGCCCTATGTGCATAATATGCGTAAACAGAACCTCAGAAATCATTTCTCCTACTGCACACTCTCCCCAGGAGCCCAGGCATGTCTCACACACTTAGCCTTCTCTGCTGCTTTGACTGCAAGATACTCACTACTTTCCACCACCTTTGAAGTCAAAGGTAGACCCTCACTGTTACCTGCTTCTATGGCCTTCTCTGAGCACACCATGCCTGGAGTTTTAACTCTGGGTATTCTGAAATATGCAAGAGCCTTAAGGTGTGGAAAGACATCGAGTTCCTTCCCTCCAGCCCTCAGCAGGGTTGTGCTGTGTTCACTGCAAAAAAAACAAGAAGCCCCTCTTCCGCTCAGGGCTGCCTGGGCCCCAGGCAGCATTACTTGTGCTCTCGATCTCACAGGTTCCCTTGTGAACACAGCGCTGTCAGCTGCTGCCTGTAGCCTTACTGTCCTGGGAAAATATGCTGTCTTCCTGCCTCCCTTTTTCTCTCACTAGCTGAAAAAATGCTGTCATTCTGCCTCCCTTTTTCTCTCACTAGCCTCTGCTTCAGCTCTCTTAGAATTCACCACCCTGAAAGCAAGTTAACTCAGGCCAACTTCCAACTTGGGTGGGAGGGGTGAATCTCAGCTTAGGCTCAACTAGAACCATACTCTGGGTATGACACAAGGCATAGTAAAGGAGACATTGGAGAGGCACTTCAAAGATTCAGAGTTCATAATGAGGCAAGGGAAACTACTGGAATAAAGCTGAGTCTGAGGTGGGAGACTCACTTCTGCCCCAACTTAGCTGTGTGACCTTGGGCGTTTTAGCAACCCTCTCTGATTATTCCAAAACTATAAGGAGAAAGAGGCTCTAGATGACCTTCAATGTGTACCTTCCCATTCCATGTGATGTTCTGTTATCTTCTAATAGCACCTAGTGGTTTAGATAAGTCTATAAGAAATTATTCCTACTTACCAAACATCTGTTCTACTAAATAGAAATTAGAGCAGTGCTCAATAGAGAGTTAAAATGTAAAGCCAGGTCGGGCACAGTGACTCATACCTGTAATTCCAGCACTTTGGGAGCCCAAGGCAGCAGATCACCTGAGTTCAGGAGTTCAAGACCAGCCTGGCCAACATGGTGAAATCCCATCTCTACAAAAATACAAAAATTAGCCAGGCATGATAGCTGGTGACTGTAATCCCAGCTACTCGGGAGGCGGAGGTGGGAGAATTGCTTGAACCCAGGAGATGGAGGTTGTAGTGAGCCCAGATCATACCATTGCACTCCAACCTGGGGTACAGAGCGAGACTCTGTCTCACAAATAATAATAATAATAATAATAATAATAATAATAATAATAATAATAATTAGCCAGGCATGGTGGCACACACCTGTAATCCCAGCTACTTGGGAGGCTAAGGCACAAGAATCACTTGAACTCAGGAAGTGGAGGCTGCAGTGAGCTGAGATCATGCCTCTGTACTCCAGCCTGGGCAACAGAGGAAGACTCTGTCTCAAAATAATAATAGGCAAATAGCTTAGGCTCCCCCATCACTCGCTCTGTAATCTTACTTAAATGTCACCCTTCCTTTCAACTCTTTAGTTTTCTCACTGTAAAGTGAAGGGGTTATACCAGCTGAATTCATAATAATAAAGGCTTCAAACTGGAGGCTCTTGGGCTTCATTCAGTCTACACACATGCTTTGCTTAATCAATAGAGTATTTTAAAATTTTTCAATCAGTTACTAACATTTAAAAATTAGGAGATTTTACATAAAAATCTGGTTTTCTGACTTTTCTTGAAAGATCAGAAAATCTAGGCAACATGGGTCAACCATTACTGCAAAGCCACTATTGGCTGAGCTGCACTGCGGCAATCTTTTTTAAAAGGGGGATGTGCCCTCTGCACTGTCACAGCTCCTACTGGTTCCACATTATTCATTTATATTACTCAAGTCCTATAAGTATTTGAGTTTGTGATCCCTGGACAGCTATCATACTGACGAGCTGTGTAATATCAGGGGAGTACTTATCCTTTTTAAGACTCAGTATCCAAATTATAGAATGGGAATAATAAAATTTTCACATCATTGCATGGGCTGTATTAATGAGACAGAGCAGGGATCAGCAGCCTTTTCCGTAAAAAAAGAGAAAGTAAATATTTTAGGCTTTGCAGGCCATATAAGATCTGTGTTACATATTCTTCTTCTATCTATTATTTCTCTTCTCTCCTTTTTTTAAACAATCTTCTAAAAATGCAAACATTCTTAGCTCTCAAGCTGTACAAAAACAGGCTGCAGGTGGATTTGGCCTATGGGTCATAGTTTGCTAACCCCCTGAAATAAAGTATTTGGAGCACATACAATAATGCCTGGCATGCAGTGAGTATCAATAAATGTTAATTCTCATTATTTCAGTATCAGATCTCTCATTCTCTTACTCTCAGACATGAATGGACTCCGCAGTACCCATCAGAACTCTCCACTGCCATTTCAATTCTCTTCTGACAACACAGAGGGGGAACAGCATTTTGTCTGTTGAGACATGTTCTTCTAAATAGAAAGCGCTGCATGGTACATAAAGAGCTCCAAAGCAGCACGACAAATACAGTGCAACTGTGTCATCACCATGAAACCAAAACCATTGTTTAAGCCATTTGCTAAACCACATCCCCATTCCAGTTATTCTGTCTGAAACGTTACTGAACAATCACAACTGGATGGAGAGCTGGACGTCCTGAAAAATCTGATTATAGGTCCTCTGTTCTCACAGCTTTCCTCCTTTGTTTTGGTCCTTTAACTCTCCTCCTCCCTAAACACCTTGTGCTGTATAATTTATTATTTAACTTGAATGCCAGGGATGCAGCTTGAGATGAAAGGCACTTGACAAAATAAAATTGCATTGTGTTGTAGGACTCTCATACATGCAGCTTGGCATAATTAAAATAAGAGAGGCATGATATTGTTTGTTCATTCAAAGAATGTGTTGACTGAATCTAAAGAAATGTCAGTTATTTTCTATGGTATCCAAGGAACCCAAGGAGAACATGCATGCATTTAAATAAAAGAGCCAAGGAGCACATCAAGAGATTGTCCAAAAGATACACATACTTTTTTCCCTCTTACTGGTAATTCACCAAGAAATGGAACAAAATCATATGTGGGGCATAAGCCAAGTTCCTAGAGTGCCATTGACCCAAGTTTCCTTGATCTGGGCCCTGTGCGTCATGGTTATGAGGATTCACCATAATTGCAGTAATTTAGCAAATATTATATGAGCACCTACTGTGTGCCAAACCCTGTGCTAAGTGCTAGAAATGAAGGGATGAGTAAATTGAGGGTCTCATGTTAAGCACATAATTCCAATCTAAATATAAAGTATTAATTAGTGGTATGATAGCAAGAGCCAACGCTTATTAAGCATATACTCATGCCCAGCATTGTTTTAAGTGCTTTTTAGTTGATGAATTTATTTAGTCCTCTCAACAATCTTAAGGGTTATATGCTATTATAAATTTCCATTTTGCAGATGGGGAAGTGGAGGCCAGAGGCTAATTTAATTATTTAAGGGCACACAGCTAGTAAGTAGAAGAGCTTTGATTCAAATCCAAGGAGCCTGACTTCAGGGCCAAATCCCTTAGAAGGCACTAAACAGCCTCTTAATAAAAGGGCTTGAATCATGTTCTGGGAACACAGTGCAGCAAAGACCCTAATTCTGCTTTGGGGGTCAGGGAACACATGGGACAACATGTTTGTCTCCAAGATTCCTTTCACAGGGAAGCCAAGCCAGACATTCTAGGCAAAGAAAGAGCATATGTCCAGAAAATGGTATTTGTAACAGCCTCAGAAAAAGAGAATATTTAATTTTGACTGTTATACTTGCCTTTAAAGAAAATAACATTCAGCATTGCCAGTAGCTGCTTATTCAATATTAGTCTTCCCTGCAGTTCCACAAACTTCAGGAGGGCAGATGCCTGTCTTATTGACTACTGTGTGTCTAATGCCTAGCACATGCTTAATAAATAAATTTTGAGACACATGAACAAATCTAGTCAAGGTAGAACAGTAGGATAACGATGAATCTAACATTATCTGCCATGGACAAGGGTTAATGCTCAGCTTTATTTGATACCCATATTAGCATTTTAAAATTCTAATTTCACACTGCTCTTTACTAGACATGACCATGGTATTCCTAAAAGGCTTTAAAAGCATAATATTGTAAAAACTCCCATTACTATATGTATCAATAACATTTTGTATATGTATCTGTAGTAATTATCCTACGCACAGAATTCTAAGCAGAATGCTATACTTAACCCATGGTAGCCATTAATTAGATAAAATGAAATGACGTTCCGTTGCTTGCAGCACATTTTAAAGTGAAACCCCACGTGTGACAATAAATGAATTTTCTTTTTATCTCCTGTAGAAGAAAACCAATGGCTAATGTAGAAACCTCCCAAACATGCTTTCCTAGTGAAGCTAGCAGAGCTATCTAAAGAAAAGAACTATTTTGACTTTGCTAGTTAGATCAATAAATATGTCTAAGGCTGGGGTAAAAGGGGAAAAAATGGAATCTATTTGCCAGAAGGTAGAGCTGGAGGAAGTTTGGCGATTTGATTATTTCCTCTTAAGATGTCTTTGGAAGTATCAAATTGAGAACAGCATCTATTTAGAAGGCTTGTCACAGATTTTGTTAAGTGCAGGGGCGGGGCTTAGTAAATTTTTCCTAACAATAAATATTTTTATTAGAAAATTATTGCAGTAGAATGATTCAGATGTTTAAGACAGGTATTTGAATTTTCCCTAAAATAATTTCCCAAGACTGGGCCACGGAGAATTGTTTACCTACAACCAAGCAAAATAATGCATGATTATAATTCCTAACTCTCTAGAGTAAGCCAGAGTACTGAAATCCAAGAGTAGTGTTCATTTTTGCCTCCAGTGGGCACTGTGCTCATAAATGAAGGCAGCCAGTTCTGGCACCTACTCTGTGTTGGGCTTCTTCTGGCAACAGTTGAACTTTCAAGTTGTTAGATGCATTCATGAACGAAGAAAAGAGGAGAGTTTTGTGTTAACCTGACCTGAGTTCCACTTCTGTCTGTACTACTCAGTAGCTGTATGTCTGGGCAAATCATGAGGCTGGCATGGAACAGTATTCCCTCCCCTCTCTGATTACATTTCCAAATCTGAGCGTGGAAAAGAAATGAAGAAACAGCCATTGAGAGATAAAACAAGTAATAACTTGCCTAATCCTGAATTGGAGAGATTTACAGTTGGAAACAACATATTACCTGGCCCTGCCCTGAGTTCTGAGACAATATGTAACATAACAATCATCATATGTATATGTATATGTGTGTGTGTGTATATATATATATTTGTGGTGTATTTACAACATACCAATGACTGTGCTAAGGAATGAGGATCCATGTAGAGCAAATGTAGACATGGTCCCTTTGGAGTGGTTCACAGTTAGCAGATTCTTCCATATGCATATCTCAGCAATGTGAAATAGGAGTTGTTGGTGACCCAATATTACAGATGACAAAACAGAAGCCAAGAGCCAGAAAATCTGAATGTAACACAAGGAATTGGAATCAAGAGTGACTCTCAGAAAGTCTGGCTCTAAAGCTAGCTCTCTGCACTGCACTTGTGGACTCTCCGCTTTATATCAACAACAGCATAGATATCTGTTTAATGTTGGACAGGTGGCAAAGTGCTTTTTGCTGACTCAATTTCATTTAACTCTGTGATGTAGATATTTTTACTATTATCTCCACAATTCATTGATAAAATTGAGACCCAGAGGGATGTGGTGGCTGGTCCAAGATCACTCAATTAGCTAGATTCAGAGAGCAGGGACTAGATTCCAGTGTTTCTGATGCCAAACTGTCCGCCATACGTGGACTCCCAGTTTAAATATTTCTAAATTCAGAATCATTGAGCCTTATTTTCATGGTCGAGGATTATTTCCATGATCTATGTAAATTATAATTAAATCCATGCTAATAGGCCATTTTGTGGCAAAACCTCAATAAGCAGTGAGCCGAGGCCTGCAGGCTTGCAAAATTATTTATGGTGAACTCCGAGGGCTGCTATTACTCAATCTATATGTGCTGCAACAAAGTGTTTACTCCTCTATGAAAGCTGGCTACTCAACTACATTTTTCTTCATTCCCCTTCAGCAAAATTGGGGAACCCAGCCTCTAGCATATGGAAGCATTTCTATGCTGCTAGATTTTCTGATGAGGGTGGGATAGGGATGGTGGAAGTATGAATTGAAACGATGTGTTGGAAGAAATATATATTTCTGAGTGAGGTTGATTGGACTAGATTCCATGTGGCAAAAGTTGTCTCCAGAAAAGACGTTTTTTCTTCCACTTTACCCCCACTTCACCATTTGTTAAAATCAGTGATTTCTGAATCTGCTTGACACTTGTGAGAACACAAAATCCAGAAGATCCAGGCTTTTTTTTTTTTTTTTTTTTTTTTTTTTTTCCTGTAATGCTGGCGCTTTCTGGTGGGCTCAGGTTTCTGCAAATTGCTCCCAAATGGTCACAGACAAGGAGCTGAGGACTTCCTTCAGGTGTTCGTGACCACACTAAAGATTTTTTAAAGTAAATTAAATTACTAAATGTGTAAACACTGTGTGAATAGATGGCACCTTTAAACTTAGTATGCCTAACATGTTAACTTTATGAGTAAACCTATACATAATACATTATTCTATTCTCAGACGAACAAAGGGCTTCTCCAGCTGCCAAGGGCGTGGAAACAATGTGACATATATCTTTAGTGTTCTAAGAAATACCCATTTTTTTCCTCCTTCAAATGATACTTTTCCCTTTATTTAGACTCAAATTTGTTTATGGCGCTGGTCTACTGCATCAGGTAAAGATCTGTCAACCACATAGGAGCTTTCTCTACCTCATTTGCTATTTAGAAATGCACAGAAACATAAAAAAACTAGATGCTTTTGCATGACTTGGAAGGACTCATGGATAATTTGAAACCAGAGTATTTGATGTGTGCCAAGGACCCTAGCCCCTGCTTTGTCGTTTTAACAATGCCTTAAGTGTACATGCGTTTGCAGCTCTCTTCTCAAGGATCTCTCACAGACATCCTCTCATTTGTTCCTCCCAGCATCCCTGGATGTCTGCCTTCAGGGATTTTTATTATCCCTGTTTTCAAATGGCAAAACTCAGGATCCGAGAGAACATGTAACTTCTTGTAGGTTACACAGAGTGAACGGGTGGAGTTCAGGTCTCGGCTCTTCACAGCCTCCCCACCCACTTGCTGCAGGCATATGGGTATCAAGGGTGCTCTTCCCAGGATTGGAGTGAGGAGCACTGGGAGTCCGGGGACAGAGACTTCCTGGGCACCCTGGCTCCTGCATTAATAGAGTAAGGGGGCTGACCTGGGTACCATCCCTATGGCTTCCTTCTTTGACACTCTGAAGGTCTTGTACTTTCAAAGATCTAAACCTTGAGGCAGTGACTCAAAAGGTCTTGGATTTGGGTTTTTAAATTTATGTACTGCCTCTCACAGGTGTCACATAATTCAAATTCATAAATACTTAAGGGTAATAATACTATTTCTTAAAGTGCTCAAAAGGGGGTGGAGGGATTGAAGTTTTACTTGGGTCTGACATCACCATTGAGATATTCACATTTATATGTTTCTCCCCAATAACTGAACTCCCAATGGCAAAGCTGATGGATTTGGTGCCATTGTACTCCCTTCCTGCTACCATCTCCACACCCTCCTTTTTCTGTCTCAGGAACTAGCACAGTGCCTGGTGCCTAGCTAGCTACTCAATAAAGAGATGCAGTTTAGCTTTGCCATTATTTTATTCTTATTTAATTCTACCTAATATATAAAGCCACAGAGATTTTTAAACATAAGTTTAAAGAAGTGATAATAAATGCCTCCCAAAATAAAGTAACTCTTTATAGCAACTTACTGAATCAGTATTATCACATGTGCAAGCTATACTCAGATAATATGCAGGTCAATTAAAAACAGGGCTACCTTCTAAGAAGGTTTGAAGAGTTTCCAATGTGAAAGGCACTGAATACTGTGTATGAAGGCATGCCTGATTTTCTGGGACACTTCTTTTTTTCCTGTAATTTTACTTTTTTCAATTATTTTATTAAATGTACAACTGGATATAATTCTACCTTTAAACCATTGTTAGATTTTCATATAAGTTCATCAATTTGAAGCAAACAAATCCTTTTTCAGGCCAAAATCAGGTCTCTTGATTTTTATCTTGGAGAAATTAAGTCCCTGTAGTTTGGTGGCACATGAGAACCCTCTTGGGTGGACTGGCAAACACGATCCTCTGCTTTTTTAACCTAGGACTCACAAGACACTCTCAAATCAATTAGTTTTCAAAGCACCCATGCATTGAGAGTACGCTGTATGTGAGGCATTGTACTGTTCGGAGTAACCACGAAGGCTGACTCTGATTGTCTCCATTTTATAGGAAAGGAAACTAAGGCTCAAAGCCACATGGCTAGGAGCTGGCAGAGCAAAGTGTTAGACTCTGGTCCGTAGAGCTCCAAAGCCCATATTCTTTCTACCACCTCCCTCTAATCTACTGGTCTGGGACTCTGATCTCTTCCTCTATGCAGAATTCACTGTTGACAGAGCTCCGAGCTAAAAACCATTGCCTCAAAATGACAGAGGAAAATCGAGTTGTCAGATGTGACCCAGAGCAAAGCTCTAATTCAGAATCATTTAATTTCATATCTGCCACCTGAGACCACAGCCACATTTCTCCTTTCTCACTGAAGGAGAACACACAGACATATTTTCTCAGACTTACTTTTTAGGACCTGCTTCTGTGGAGGCCCTGCTGCCATGGGACTTCCCAGTCACTAACATTTAGAATTACACTTGCTACATGATGGTTGAAACCCCCATGCCTACTTACTTAAAAAAAATTCCTGTTCTGGATTTTTAGCAGATCCCAGCTTGCTACTCTGTCCTGTGGCTGTATCTCCAGACCCACTGGGCACCATGGAAAGCCAATGCTCAGTTTCTTCTAATGACGCAAGAGGTAGAAAGAGCCTCTTGAAGCCCTAGTTACCTGACAAAATTCACAGAATTTTGTCCCTTGCCACAGATCACACCCTATTTTAATATTACAAACAAACAAACTCAAAAATGCTGAAAGTGAGTTTCTGATCTCTGAATAAGGAGGTACTTCTAAGGATGATAAGTGGAAGAAAACGTAATGAAAGATACTAATAGATTGACTATGTAAGGCTTAAATTTCTGTGTACCAAAACATTCATTAAAAAATAAAAGGCAAATAACACTGAGAAAATATTTTTTAATAGAGTGGCAAAGACCTAGTATCTTTCATAAAGATTGATCTTTTATGAAATGATGAAAAAATTAGTAGGAAAATGGACAAAGGGCATAAACAGAAAATTCATAAAAGAGTAAAGACAAACAGCTAATAAACATGAAAGAGTTTTATCTCACTAATAATCAAAGAAATGAAAATTAAAACAATATTAAAGAACTAGTTTTCGTATATCAATATGTCAAAGGTGAAAAAGAAAAATAATTCCTAATGTTTGTAATGTGAGAAATGTTTTTTCAGTTTGATATACACAAATTCACCTCTCATTACTGTTCAACTTTGCATTTCTTTGACTATAAAAAGTTTTTAAAATATTGATGTTCCTTGACTTATTGATTCCAATTCTAGTAATCTATGCTAAGGAAATAATCAAAGACAGAAACATTAATTATATATGTTTATCACAGCATTATTTACATTAACAAAAGTTGGAATGGTAGAGAACTGAAATGTCCAGGAAAAAGAATTGGTTCACTAAATAATGGTACATGTATTACTATGCATGCATAAAAATTGTTGTAAAAAATAGTTGTAATGACATTAGAAAACATGACATATGTATACATACATAGGCACACACACGTATATACAATATAATCTTAGCTGCTTAAAATGTCTCCTATAAACATACCCACAAAAGGGAAGGAAGTTCATAAGTGTGCAACAGTGATTATTTCTTGGTGGAGGAAATATGGTATTGTGGGTGTTTTATTTTCTTCTTTCCATTTAACTTCAATGTTTTCTATAATGAACGTGCATTGCCTTAATAATCAGAAAAGAATTCCAACAAATGTTATTAATAAATAAGAAAAAAAATATCTGGGCAGCTTGTGTTGAAGGCCCACCAAGAAAGTCTAAACACAGACTCCTTCCCTGAACAACTCTGCACACAGAGTCCATCACATAGTTTAGCTGCTGAGTCAGAGTCTGGGGATATGAACCTCCTAGAATTAAGCCTGAATGCAGAGCTAAAGTTAAGCTAAGCCAATCAGAGCGTGCCTGGTTATTGCCAGCATACCATGAAAGTAGTAAACTGTAAAATGCATTTTGAATACTTGCTTAAAAGTCAGGTATGATGCACATGAGACATTTGCTACCACAAAAGTGAAATGTTAGTTACTATTTGGATGAGTAGAAACATGCTGTTCTAAAAAAGCACCTTTACTTTATATAACAATTCTTTTAAAAATATGAAAATATTTTTCTTAAATATAATGTCTGTATATCATGGAAAATTTAGAAAATATGGAAAAGTAGAGATAAGAAAATGATAGTTCTACCAGGTAAAGATAACCACAATTCAAATTTTATAGTATTTCTACCCTTAGAATGGTATTTTTATTTATTTGTTTTTGGTCCTATTTCCTCCTCATAATTGAGATCATAACATATTTTGCTTCTAAAGAAATAACTTTTTTTTTTTTTTGAAACAGTCTCACTCTGCTGCTCAGACTGAAGTGCAGTGGCATGATCTCGGCTCACAGCAACCTCTGCCTCCCAGGTTCAAGTGATTCTCTTGCCCCAGCCTCCTGAGTGGCTGGTATTACAGGCATACACCACCATGCCTGGCTAATTTTTGTATTTTTAGTAGAGACGCGGTCTCACCATGATGGCCAGGCTGGTCTCGAACTCCTGGCTTCAAGTGATCCATCCACCTCAGCCTACCAAAGTGCTGGGATTACAGGTGTGAGCCACCACACCCAGCTAAGAAATAACCTAAACTGTTGTTCCTTAATGTTTTTGCATTGGAGGAAAAATCAACATAATATAAGGGATTTGTAATTCACTGAGTGAGTGAGTGAGTGAGTGAGTGGGGTTGGGGGAAGCACACAATACTGTCTCCTTGCACATGAAGGAAGAAGCGACTCCTACTAGAGGTTCACAGAGAAATCCACAGGACAGAATTGATGAGCAAATACTATTGCAAGTGCATTTGAAAATAATGTACCAGGCAGAGGTATTTTTATCACCTAACTTTGATAAGTATATTTTAAAATATTTTAGAACATCTTATACTCTCTTTTTGGAAACTTTGGCTTAATCTGTATGCACACGAACTCATATCCTTGGGCTTTGAAATGAGGCATAGAATCTAACCATTAGTTTGAGGCTCTGAAGGCATCTTATTGGATCTATTTCAACACTAATAGAAATGAGAACGAGGCCAATCATGGCCTGTATTTTTAAAGGATTTGTGGTTCTCATTTGTATTATCAAACACTTTGTGAGACTTCTTTGGGCCTGAAATTGCCATACTTCACAGTCACAGCCAGCTGTGTCCTGTCAGCCAGAGACAGTTCACCCCCAAATCTCGCTGCTCTCTGGCAAGGAGATTCTGTTGCTGAAATGAGCAGTAACATTTGGGGATAGTATTTGCAAAACAATTTAAAGCCTTGAGAAATTTGTAATACTTGAGTAAAATCTAGATAATATTTTCAGTTATCTCCACCCATCACTTTAGAAAACAATGAGTGAATGAGTAAATGAAAGAAGACAGGCACTGAGAAACTTCCTTGTGGAGAAAACAGAGCCCAAGTCTCAAGGAAGTTATGTTAAAAACGGCGTTAGGTTTTGTTTATACTTTGATCTGTATTTTCTAAATCAGGAATTTCAAATAATGTCAGCATAACAACTGGCACCATTTATCTAGTGCCTCAAGCACTGTGTGAAAGCTCTTTTGTAGCTATTACAACAAGTAACTCTTCAATAGTTCTTGGTCATTATTCCCCTGTTTCACAGATGATGAAACTGATGCATAGTGGAAAAGATAAAAGTGGAATGCCAGTGTTTGTTTGTTTGTTTGTTTGTTTTTCTGGGTTTTTTGCTGTGACTATCTTTTTAATGTAGTCCTTGATTGGATCTACTCTGCAGTTACAAAGGGATCATTTTGGTCTTTGATAATAATTAGTTGGAATTTATTATTTACTTTTGTGACCGTTCCTGTAAGTCTCAGCAGTAGGACACTGTTAAAATCTGTTGTGTTCCTCAGGACCAGAAACAAAATACCACATGTTCTCAGTTACCACAAGCTGGAGCTAAACATTGAGTCCGCATGGTCACAAAGAAGGGAACAACAGACACTGGGTCCTACTTGAGGGTGGAGGGAGGGAGGGAGGAGGGAGAGGATCGAAAAACTACTTATCGGGCACTATGCTTATTACCTGGGTGGTGAAAGCCCCACGACACACAATTTACCTATGGAACAAACCTGCGCATGTACCACTAAACCGAAAATAAAAGTTAAAAAAAAAAATGAGTACTTAACAGAAAGTAGTTTTCTTTACCCCCTTTTGTAACATCAACAGCTAGCATGTATCTGTGGTGGAGGCCCTGTGTTCACTATTTGGCATGTACTACTGTGTATTATATTCTCACCACAACTCTACTGATGGAAGAAAGACCAATCAACCAACACATTAACCAAAAACTTATTTTTCAAATGAGGAATCGGAAGCATAGGAAGGCTAAGTGACCTGCCTACAACATACACCTAGTAAGCGACAAACAAAGTTTGCCTCCCTCTCAGTCTAGGCCCCATCTTTATCCACTGAGCTGTGATCTCCACTAGTCAATAAGAATCCCTCATCATAAAATCACAGAATTTAGAGGAATAAGGTCTTAAGAAGCTCCTTATAAGAAAGTACATGGAGGCCAGGCACAGTGGCTCACGCCTGTAATCCCGGCACTTTGGGAGGCTGAAGTGGGTGGATCACTTGGGGTCAGGAGTTCGAGACCATCCTGGCCAACATGGTGAAACCCCGTCTCTACTAAAAATACAAAAATTAGCCAGGTGTGGTGGCAGGCTTCTGTAATCTCAGCTACTCTGGAGGCTGAGGCAGGGAAACTGCTTGAATCCAGGAAGGGGAGGTTGCAGTGAGCCGAGATCGTGCCACTGCACTCCAGCCTGGGCGACAGAGCAAGACCCAGTGAAAAGAAAGTACATGGACAAAGGGATGCAAAGCCCAGAGAAGCCAAAGATTTGCCTTGGGTTACACAGTGAAGGAATGGCAGTGAAGACTGTAGGCTTCCAATTCAGTGTCTTAAAAGTAATCACATTATCAATTGGTAAAGATTTATAGTCACAGGTGAGTTTTGTTGGTAGCTTCTTGACCGTCAATTTTTCATCTTCTAAGAGCTCTGTGTAGATTGCTCAGCATCTTACTCTTACTAATTCCTTCATGTCAAAGACCCCCAGCAAGGGTGCAGTGTCAAGTGCTTTCCAAAGGGACAGAGGCCCTGGCTGTTCTACACTCTCCTTTCATATCCTTGTCCAAGGCCCAGGGATAGACAGAACCACAGGTCCATTTAGTAGCACCAAACACCCCACTTCTACTAATGACAGGCATCTCTTGAACCACTGAGCCAAGGTGGGGCTTCCATTTTCTCCCATTTCTCCTCCCCTGCAGCATGCTTTTATGAATTCCCAGCTCCTGCAGGGATCACCCCACCTGTGACAGGGGCTCAGTACTTAGAATCCCTGGGTTGGAGCACAAGAAAAGGAAAACCAGAAATAGGTCTAGACTTCAGAGTGCTCTGTTTAGCACAGTCCTGAGCATTGCTGTTAATAATGAAGGTCTAACATCCACATTTGCAACTTTGCATGGCTCCAGAAGTCCCTTCACACCCACCCCAGGCATTTCCCCAAGTGACAGAGAACAGCAATGAACCACAGCTTGGGCTTTCTGTTCGGCCCCTTGGCTGGGCTTCAGGAAGTCTGTCTCCTTTAGTGCTTGCTAGAATTGGCTAGAGAACAGTCCTTGACTCGAATAACTGAAAAATATACTTAACACCACATTGATTTTCCATATAATTTTATAAGCACAAACATTCTCTTTCATTTCCTGACAAACAACTATATTCCCCAAAGTGTCCAATAAAAATCAGTAATTTACACATCACTGTTTTTGTCGGTGGCTGTTGTTTGGAGTTAGTCACCAAGACCAACGTCTTTCTCCTGATGCCTTTATCCCTCTGCACCCCCTTCCCCAAACAAATCCCAAAGTTGAACTCGGGAATAAGGGTGGATAGCTATGTAGACCTTCCTGGTGCTGTGTTCAAAGCCCTTTTTGAAAAAAAAATACATAATTTTTAAGCAATTCTTCATGGAAAAAGGAAACCAAGGGTGGAGAAGAAACATGCTACACTAAACACAGCACTGTCTCCACAATTCTGAGATAGTGCATAGGCTGCACAGGTCCCCTCCCCTCCAGCTCATCCCCAGCTGTGAGCAGGGACAAATCCTTCTGGTGCAAGTGGAAAGCTGGGATGATTGATTCAATGGCTGACAAACGTCTCAGGCCAAAAAGGCACCCCAACGTCCAGTGGCAAGTGTCACTCTAAGGTTGCATCATAAGACAAGCAATGACAAGGGTGAAAATTGAAAATGGTAAGTTGTCATTCCTAGGAATCTTCATGTTGCTCCTTCTCCCCCTAGCAGCAGGAACACAGCATAGTGTGTTCATTTTTATGTGTCATTCCTAACTTCCAGGACAGCCTTTCCTCCCAACCAACCTCTCCTCTCTTTGAAACAGCGACCTATGCTGAATGTGGCAGCAAAGAAACAAAGAGGAAGGTGTGGATGCTCACCCAGAAGTCTTGTCTCCTCGCAGTCCCTTAGAAGCTCAATCCTCAGGAGACAGTGCACTGGGGGTTGCCAAGGGGACCTGAAATACCGGTTTGCCACAATCCTGACCAAATCGGCTCCCAGGGCTGAGAAGGGAGAAGGTGTCAGTCCATTCAAAACCCATCGTGGCTGATTTTGAAGTGGAAAAAGAAAAAAAGAAGCAAAGAAAAGCATTGCTCAGCAATGGGCAGGAAGAAGAGTTAAGAGGCTGAGCTCTTCGGCAAGAAATGCCATAGCTCTTTCAACTTGGACAGAGCCAGGACCACAGGCTGGTTGTGTCAGAAACTGTGTGTTCTTGCTTAGTGCTTAGGTTTTGTTGTTTTTCCTCCCTCTTTCCCTGAGCCCTGGCACTGGGGAGCATGGAATGGCTCAACCTGTTGTAATCAAACATGTGGGTTGCTGCTTGTTGCAAAGATATTGCAGCAGCCTCTTCATTAAAGGAGGCTGTTCTTAGATGCTAAGAATTAATTTCCTTGTCTGTGGTTGCCTGCTTGTGCTCTGGCCTTGTTGTGGAGTGGGGCGCTGGGTGGGAATATAGAGAGTAGGACAAAGGGAACACTGGGTAGAGTAGGACTCCCTGTGCCTGGAGGCTCCCTGGAGGAATGACCCATAATTCTCACTTGCTGGAGCCAGTGGGCTCCTGACAACCACCTCCATGTCTGGTTCTTAGGAGATGTGGCAGATACTACAGGGAACTCCAGCACATGCAGTCTATGCACAGTTGGGCCCTAATCTTTAATCCCACCCCAGACCTCTAGCACCAACTTGAATACTGTCTCCTGGAATCTCAGTCGGCCCTCTGAATCCTGTGCTTAGCGGGTGGTGTCATCTGGGAAAATAGAGAGGGCTTTCATTCACCCATTTGTTGGCTCATTCACTCAGCTATTCCTTCATTGCTGCATGTGTGCATTCATCAGTCCATTCATGTGTTTATTCATTCATTCCTCCTTGCATGAGTGTATTTACCTATTAATTTATCCATTCACTCTCATGTGTACATTTGCCCACTTAATATTACTCATTCATATATGTATTTATTGATTCATTAATTTACACATTCATTTACATTATTATTCATTGACATATTCATTCATTTGCCTATTACTACACCCATGCAATCCATGCACTTGATTAACGTGCATGCACTCATTTTTGCCTATGTGAGAAAAACTTATTTACTTTTTCTTACAAGTGCTTGTTCCTCCATCCATCCATCCATCCATTTATCCCCATATCCAGTCAACCACTTCTAACTTCGTTTATTCATAGATATGTTGTCTGTTAGCTTATATGTTCATTTATTTATGCACTCATTTATTTAACTCTTCATCGGTTCATGTTCCACACACATCCTAAGTGCCTACGACGTGCTTGGCACTGTGGGGGAAAGAAAATAAAGAATCAGGCACCCCTCCTGTCCTGAACAAGTCAAAGACAGAAGACCTGTCTGTCCTCAAGGAATCTAATGAAAGAACATGATGGATGCCCTAAGAGAGGGGCAGAGGAATGTCAGGTGGGAGATTGTAGGGAGAGCTGAGGTCCCAGGCTGCAGCTGGGAACATTGGAAAGAACACTGGGCTTGGCTTCAGTCTCACTGACATGGCCTCAAAGCTCGCTCTGCCACTTGGCGCTGGTTAATTAACCTTTCTGAATCTCAGTCTCCTCCAATGATGTAGGCCACACTGGGGGGTTGGGAAGACTAAGTTAGGTCACCGACATGAGATTAACAAAGGCGGCGTGGGGCTCTGTAATGTTCAGTTTTTTCCTCCTCCTCCTCTACATTTATTTTCTAAACTTTGTCAGCAAGTCTGCCTTTACTTACTCTGGGGGTAGAGCAGGGAAGAAGGGGTGAAGCCCAGGGGTGAATCTTCCTCGGCTCACAGGGAGCTAGTTGGAGGGGCTGAGGAAGCAGAAGTTAATCTCTGAGAGGTTTCCAGACCCTCCGCAGGGCCCCCTGAGAAAGGCTGAGGGAAGCTGTCAGTCTTTCAAATGTAAAACCTGCCAAGTGAATTGGTCAAAGGAATCTATTAACATAGGATTTGCACAAACCCTCGTCATTGGGTGAAAGTGGATGAAGGATTTTATCAAGAACAGAAGGAGATCAGGGCCCAGGTGCCACTTTGGGGATGGGATGAAAGGAGGGGGTCTGACTGGTGGGAGTGTACACCTCTCTGAAGTCCTGTGGTTCCAGGGGGAAAGGGAAGGGAGCCTCCATTTCTTGAGCCACCCACTCTATTGTCCAGACCTTGTGTGGATGCTGGGTGTACATTATCTCACTTGTTTCTTACAGTGGCCACATGAGCCCGGTATTATTATAAATGAGGAAACTAAAAGGTTCAGCAGTTTGCTCAAGGTCACATAATTAATAAGAAGCAGAAGCAGAATTTAAATGCAGGCCTGTCTGATTCCAAAATCTCTGCTTTGATCCACGATAACACGCTTCCTCATGAAGGTTGTCCACACTCTGTAGTCTTTTCTAAAAGCTTATGTAAATAGGCTATGAACGGTCATTGTCCAAAGATTTTTTTACTGTCTTTACTAACTGAATCCTAAAATGTAAACAAAAGTAGGCCAGATCTTCAAGGGAACAAATGAGAATTTTTATTTTAGAGTCATATACAATATATGTGTACAGTATATATTGTTTTCATTTTATTTTAAAATATTTTTAGCAGTTGGGACATAAAAATATGACATGAAACACAAACAGCTTCATGGTTTCCCATTATGCTTCAAGGCAGGGGGCCTGGGGCTGTGGCTGTCTTGGCAGGACTGGCTTCATAGCCCAGGCTTGCAGTGAGAAATTAAGAATGTGACAGGTTCAGAGCTGCTATTCCAGATATGTGAGTACAAGTGTGGTGGGGATATGGGGCAATGAGAGTCCTAGGCCCAAATCACAGAAGGCCAGTGTTACAGGCTGAACTGTGACCCCTCCAAATTCATGTGTTGAATCCCTAACCTCCAGTATCTCAGAATGTGATTGTATTTGGAAATAGAGCCTTGAAAGGGGCAATTAAGGTAAAATGAGGCCCTCAGAATGGGCTCTAATCCAATCTTACTGGTGGCCTTATAAGAGGAGATTAGGACACACAGTGGGACACCAGGGGTGGGCGTGCGCAGAGGCAGGACCATGCAAAGAGGCAGCAAGAGGTCAGTCATCTTCTAGCCAAGGAGAGAAGCCTCAGCCAAAACCAACCTAGCTTGTACCTTGATCTTGGACTGCTGGCCTCCAGAAGTGAGAAAATACATTTCTGTTGTTTGAGCCACTCAGTCTATGGCATTTTGTTATGGCAGCCCTAGCAAACTAATCCAGCCAGGGAGCATCTGTGGTGGCCAGAGGAACTTGGGGGGATTAGAAACAGTGGCTTTTCATACTCAACAGGGAGGCACTTCAGTATTTTAACAATGACTACAACCATTTGGGGGCATACTGCTGCATTGGCTCTGAGCAAGTGTGGCCTAAATAAAGGGGAAGGGCTGTAGATGGGGTGACCCTGTTCAGAAGAGACATTCCCAAGTAAGTGGAGAGGCAGTGTGGCAGTGTGAGAGAGACAGGTGGAGGAGATGTGAGCATAAACTACCCCAGAAGATCCCCTGGGACCCAGAATCAGGTGGAAGGAAGTATGGAGACTTCTAAGACACAATCTAATGAAGACAGGGAGAATGGGAGAGAAGATAATAGCAGCATTTGAGCAGGTGACAGTAGACTGTAGAAAGCCCAGTTCTGAGTCAGTGGTGGGGAAAGCCAATAATCATCCTAATTTCTACTGCCAAGCCTGCAAATGGCTCAGGAATTAGCAGCTTCAGGTTTATCTGGAACTGAGGGGAGGAGAGGAGTCAGATCTCTAGAACCCTCCCTTGCTTCACATTTCTGGGAGATTGGTCCTTCCCCACCTGGGGAAAGCTGGAGATTTATTGTCTGGAGAGGGTAAGTATATTAGTCTGTTCTTACACTGATAATAAAGACATACCTGAGACTGGGTTATTTATTTATTTATTTATTTTGAGATGGAGTCTCACTCAGTCGCCCAGGCTGGGGTGAAGTGGTGCGATCTTGGCTCATTGCAACCTCTGCCTCCCGGGTTCACAACATTCTCCTGCCTCAGCCTCCCGAGTAGCTGGGACTACAGGTGCCCACCACTATGCCTGGCTAATTTTTTTGTATTTTTAGTAGAGATGGGGTTTCACCATGTTAGCCAGGATGGTCTTGATCTCCTGACCTCGTGATCTGCCAGTCTTGGCCTCCCAAAGTGCTGGGATTACAGGTGTGAGCCACTGCGCCCAGCGAGACTGCGTAATTTGTAAAGGAAAGAGGTTTAATTGACTCACAGTTCAGTATGGCTGGGGAGGCCCCACAATCATGGCATAAAGCAAATGAGGAGGAAAGTCACATCTTACATGGTGGCATGCAAAAAGAACTTGTGCAGAAGAACTCCCATTTATAAAACCATCAGATCTTGTGAAACTAATTCACAACTATGAGAACAGTATGGGGGAAACCACCCCCATGATTCAATTATAACCACCTGGCTCCACCCTTAACACATGGGGATTATTATAATTCAAGGTCAGGTTTGGGTGGGGACACAGCCAAACCATATCAGTGAGCAATAGAATTTCTCTGGGCTGAAGGACACCAGGTACAGTTGAGGCAAGTCACCTGATATAATTAGGATCTGTGTCCCCACCCAAATCTTATGTTGAATTGTAATCCCCAGTATTAGAGGTGGAGCCTGGTGGGAGGTGATTGGATCAAGGGGGTGGAGTTCTTATGAATGGTTTAGCACTGTCCCCTCTGTGCTGTTCTCATGATAGTGGGTGAGTAAGTTATCATGAGATATGGTTGTTTAAAAGTGTGTAGCTCCTGCTCTGGCCAGATAAGACAAGCCTGCTTTCCCTTTATATTCTGCCTTAATTGTAAGTTTCCTGAGGCCTCCCCAGAAGCGTAGCAGATGCCAGCATTATGCGTCCTGTACAGTCTGAAGAACCATGAACCAATTAACCCTCTTTTCTTTATAAATTACCCAGTCTCAGGTATTTATTTCTAGTAGTGCAAGAATGGACTAATACAGCACCCCACTGAACAAAGGATGTGTGTATATATCTGCATGTAGAAAGCCAAGACCATCCCACTGCCAGCTCCCAGCCACAGGCTGTATGAGGTTTCTACTGCTGTTGTAACGTCCACAAGCTTAGTGACTTCTCTTTATTATCTTACAGTTCTGGAGGTTACAAGTCCAAAATCAGTTTTAATGACTAAAGTCAAGGTGTTGGTAGAGCTGTCTCTTCTGGAGGCCCTGAGGAAAACCTGTTTCCTTGCCTTTTCCTGCTTCTGGAGGATGCCCACATTCCTTGGCTCATGACCCTTCATCATTTCAATCTCTGCTTCTGTAATCACATCTTTCACTTGGAGCCTCTTTCTTCCTTCTTTTTTTTTTTTTTGAGACAGAGTCTTGCTATGTCGCCCAGGCTGGAGCACAGTGGCACAATCTCGGCTCACTGCAAGCTCCACCTCTCAGGTTCACGCCATTCTCCTGCCTCAGCCTCCTGAGTAGCTGGGACTACAGGTGCCCGCTACCACGCCCGGCTAATTTTTTTTTTTTTTTGTATTTTTAGTAGAGATGGGGTTTCACCGTGTTAGCCAGGATGGTCTCGATCTCCTGATCTCATGATCCGCCTGCCTCGGCCTCCCAAAGTGCTGGGATTACAGGCGTGAGCCACCCTGCCCGGCCACTCTTTCTTCCTTCTTGTAAAAGCCTTTGTGATTACAGTGGATGATCCAGCCCACTGGATAATCCAGAATAATATCCCCATCTCAAGAGCCTTAACTTAATGACATCTGCAAAGCCCCCTTTGACCTGTTAAGTAACATATTCACAGGTTCTAAGGATTAGGACATGGACCTTTTTGGGGACCATTATTCTTCCTACCACACAGGGTATTGGAAGGATCTTCTCTGAAAGTCTAGTTTATCTGACTCATTCCAAGAAGACCCAAAGGGACTGACATTGGGTGTTCCCAGCACTGGCTTGGTTGGCTCTTCTGCAGTGACATTCACTGTGATAAGCCCCACCTACAAGCTCAACCAGCTTCTCATCCCCAGTTCTTAAATATGGGCAGATATCTGAAGAGAGCCACTAGCATGGAAGACAGAGACCAAAACAGAGAAAGGAGACTTGGGGAAGATGGAATCCATGTAGGGAGTAGGACAGTGAAAAGAAAAACTTTCAGGGAAATTATACCCATTAGAAGGATTGGAAGATGAGGTTGAGATCTCTTATTAAACCAAAATACAAAACAAAACCAAGGAAGTGAAAAGTATGAGAAAAAAGATAAGTAAGTGAGAAGACTGATGTAGGAGATTCTATATCTAAATAATAGGAGTTCCGGAAAGGAAAACAGAAAATGAGTAAAGAAATCATTAATAAAATAATTCAAAAATGTTTCCAGAATTGAATGGTATGAGTTCCGAGATGTAAGGGCCCACTGAGTGCCTAGAATAGTGGATAAAAATACACCCACCCAAGACACATCATTGTGAGATTTCACAACTCTGGGGACAAAGAAAAGAGTTTAGAAGTTTCCAGAGAGGAGTAAGCTCAGACAAGAGCTGAGGAATCTGAAAGTCTTCCAGTTGCTCAGTGGTAACACTAGAAACTGAGACAGAGGAGTAATACTTTAAAAATTCTGAAGAAATGACTTCCAACTCAGAATTCTATGAGTGAGGTGGGATAAAAACATTTTGAGATATTCAAGGCTTCAAAAATTTTTACCTCTCATATACCTTGTTTCAGAAAGCTTTTGGAGAATGTCTTCCCCCGCAAACAAGGAAGTAAACCATGAAAAAGCAAATGATGTGAAACTGGTAATATGGAATTGACTGATTGATTGATTGATTGATTTTGAGACAGTCTCACTCTGTTGCCCAGGCTGGAGTGCAGTAGTACGATCTCGGTTCACTGCAACCTCTATCTCCCGGGCTCAAGAAATCCTCCCACCTCAGTAGCTGGGACCACAGACATGTGCCACTGCACCTGGCTAATTTTTTTTTTTGTATTTTTGGTAGAGATGGGGTTTCACCATGTTGCCCAGGGCTGGTCTCAAACTCCTGAGCTCAAGCGATCTGCCCACCTCAGTCTCCCAAAGTGCTGGGATTATAGGCGAGAGCCACTGTGCCCGCCCAATATGGGATTTAATACAGGAGAGAGGAGAAGCCAAGGCCAGGTAGGCAGGTATGCTTTAGGCATGGAGGGCGTCAGTCCAGATGGAGATGGTCAGAAGGTTCCAGAGGGAGTCTGGACCCTGCTGTCAGCTCTCCAGGCCAGGGGGCTAAAGGAGACTTCTCTCCACCAGTAGAAGAGTCTACAGCTGCTTTTGTTGCCAAAGATATAGATTGCCTAGATTCTAGACAATCTTGTTTTTATTGATCTGACTCAGTATCCCCTTCAGCATTCTAGATCCCTGAATTCCCTAGCTAGGGAGTAGCTAGAGGCTGCTTCATGAGCTCTCAGCCATGTGTGGACAGCTCACTGGGGACTGTGATATTGCTGCTTGGGGCTGAGGTTTCCACAGGCTCATTCACCTACTTGCCTATCTCTTATCCTGAGGTAGCGCCTCTTTGGCCAACACACACTGGACTGGGAGCTCTCCATTCCTCAGGATTCTCCTCCACAGACAGTCTTCCCCCAGTGCTACTCTGCAGTGCTCAGGCCTCTTCCTTCATTCCACTAACCCAGGGTGAGCGGGTGAGTGGGGACAGTGTAGCCCACGAGGTTTCATGCCAGAATCTCTTGGCGTAGAACATCACTGCCTTTTGATGTTGAGATCCTCTTTCTGCTGGCTCCAAAACCAGAAACCAAGACCTGAAGATAAGGCTAAGTGGGGGAAATAAAGAGATTCAGCCTGTTGTTGCCTGGCTATCCATTTACCCTTTGCCTTCCTCCACAACAAAACAAAACAAAAAAACCCCTTGAACACTCAAGAGCAAGAGTGACATTTATCATAGTAGTCATGAATCTACTCTAATTTGAAGAGTAAATCGTTAGCAACATCAAGCAGATGGTGTTATAAGCTAGTATAAGTAAAAATTACACACACGTCACTACTGATGGTGACATACCAATGTAAATGGCAGACAATCACAGGTTTTTGGAGGAGGCCAAACATCTCTCTTTCTTTAATCCTTTCTTCCATGGTCTTTCCAGAAAGACACCCATCACTTGGAGAGAGGGTGGGGATTGTAGAGTGATATTCAAAACTGCTAGTGGAAGTCAGTTTCAAGGAACATTCATTGCCCATCTATTATGCACCAGACATTGAACTGCTTTAAAATACTCCATGTGATTAAGTCACGGAAATGGGGACACGTGAAATTATTATCATCAATTATAGCAATGGATATATGTGCATTATGGGAGACTCCCTCAGTCATCCTCTTTTTTGCATCTATAAAGTGGGGGTGACATTTTCCATCCCAGCCAACTCTATGAGGTAGAAGAGCCTCTAACTCTGAATGAACTCTAAAGTTTAGTCTCACAAGTGTTGCTGCTGAAATTACTCTTTCTGGAACAGAAGTTTACAGGTTTTAAAACATCTCAAATTCATTATGTGTTTTCATCCTCTCAGCATTCCAAGGAAGTAGGCTGGAATTAGAACTTTTCTAGCAGTTTTTGGCAATACCATCAGAAAGGGGAAAGTACAATGTCGTCCTAATGTCATTAGCACTTTGAATCACCCAGGCAGGCATGTGTTGAGGCTTTCCAGTGTGAATGTTCTCATTGAAACAGTGTTCTGTATTTTGATACTAAAACACGAGCAGGCCTGGTCTGCTCTGTTTGGCAGAGTACGAGCTCCCTACAAATGACTGTGCCTTTCTCAGTTCAGGTTTAGCACCTGGGAAAGAAGAAGAACTCTGGAAGTGTTCATTGACTGACTGACTGAGTGAATGGATGGGTGGATGGATGGATGGATGAATGAATAAATGGGGGAAGGCACAGGAAATTAGACTAATGGGTAGAAGAAAACTGAGATCACAAAGATCTGGGACTAAGATCCTTAAAATGTGATGAATATAAGATAAGAAGTTCCCAACATAAAAACTAAAACTGTAAACTGAGAAAAGAATAGATTAAAATATATATGAAATTTAAAAATGTGAACATATGTTGTATTTAATTAAGATCAACAATAAGCAAATGAGAAGCTTGTGTCTATGTTGACGTTTCAATTCTCACCATGATTTTTGATTAGGTTATATTTATTTATGATTTTTGGCACATTAAAGGGCTTTTTTAAAAAAAAAAAAGAGAAGAAATCCTGAGAATCAGCTTTGAAAGTAAAACAATAAACACAAACACAATTTTCCACTTTACTAAATTTAAATGATATCCTTCTTAATCAACTAAAGAGAAATCAACTGTTATTAATTAAATGCTCAATCATGGAATGACAACTAGCATGATCAACAGAGACTCATCTCCTACACCACTGGTAGCTAACAAGCCTTTTTATGTGATTGACATTAGCAACCATACAGCAAACAAAAGGAATGTCCAGTAAGGCCTGGAGGCTAAAAGTGATTGTGCTCTGGATTGTTGGTAGACGATTAACTAAAGATACACACACACACACACACACACACACCCCAGGTAAAGCCTTTTATAAACTATATATTTTTTATCTATTAAATAGCAACACATATAATTCAACTTTATGGGCAGTAAGAAGTCACTCGTTTAACATAGTCATTGGCCTGGCAATAACTATGTGCCAGGCAGTAGGTGTGGTGTATGTAATGACTATGTGCCAGGCAATAGGTGTGGTGTACGTATTGACTAGGTGCCAGGCAATATTTATATGTAATAACTATGTGCTAGACAATACGTATATGTAATAATTATGTGCCAGGGAACAACTATGTGCCAGGCAATACATATATGTAATAACTATGGGCCAGGCAATATGTATATGTAACAACTATGTGCCAGGCAATATACATATGTAATAACTATGAGCCAGCAATACATATATGTAATAACTATGTGCCAGGCAACAACTGTATGTCAGGTAGTATGCATATGAAATAACTGTGTGCCAGGCAATATGCTTGATGCTGGGGATACAAAAGCAGACAAACTCTAAACTGAAAGTGCTCACAGTCAAGAAGTGAAAACAGACCTGGAAATCAAAGGAAAACAACTTGGTTTGATGTAAAAACAAGAAGAACAAAAAGTGGGGCAGCCCAGAGGAGGAAGGGAGAAATTGACTTTCTTAGATATAAATTCTTGTTTTTTAAAAAAACTCCTTTGAACCTGGTGCTCCATGGGTCATGTCTACTTCACACTGTAGCCAGAGAGCTCTTTCCCAAATGAGAATTTGTGATCATGTTGCTCTTCTCCTTAAAAAGCTCCAGTGCTAATGTCCATCTCTTTGACTAGACTCTCAGTTTCAGGAAGGCAGAGACTGGGTTTGTTTTGCTTGCTGCTTAACACTTCACATTAATCATGAGTTCCATGCAAAGTAGGTACTTAAGTTTATTTGTTGAATGAGTGAACTGGAGACACCAAAACATGATCATAAAGTTTCAAGAAGTTTTCTTCCTTCTCTTTCTACGTCAGTGTGTTCTGGTGGTTAGGGTTTGTAGGAGCTTCCCATGCAGAACAGTGTAGGGTTAAGAGCATGAACTTTGGACCCCATGAGATACAATTCCAAATCTTGACTTCCCCTTTTCCTGTCTGTATGACCTTGAACAAATGATTGAAACTCTCTTAACTTTAGTTTCCCCATCTACAAAACACGAGTAATAACAATAATGATATCTGCATGACAGGATAGCTATGAGGATTATACATTTACAGGAGATGCCTGGCAGACTCCCCTAGGTGTATTAAGTGTTCAGCAAACGTGGACATTATTTTTGAAATTCTCCCCTAAGCAAAAAATCAAATTCCCAAGCTTTTACCATTGCTCAAAACGCTGGGGGTTTTCCTTTGGGACAAGCTTCCAGGGTGCTCATTTCTGAGTCTCAGAAGAGCCTCCAGAGCGGGCAGAATCTGGAGGAACTCAAGGAGAATTCAGTGTCTCCCACTTGGCCACTCAGTATGTTCATCAGATTCGTCCCCAAAAGACTCAGGATTATTTCCAAATTTCAATTGAAAAAGCTAAAGACTTTTCCCCATTGAGAAGTCCAGAACCAATGTTGTTTTGTGGACAACCTGGGGGTGGAGGACAGAAGGGAGTACTTTCAAGAAGGAAGCTCTCCTGATCACTGGTTAAAAGGGGCTGCCTCTTTAACTTAACCTTGTGTCCACCTTAGAAAAGCTAATTTTGTTTGTTTTGTCTGTTTGTTCTTATAGTACATTTCTGCAGGGGAAAAAAATAATGGCAACAAAGGGTGCTGGAAGGTTGGATAAGTGGAAAAGACTCAATCTTTTTGGTATTTGACATCTGATATTTGCATATTTCGTTTTAGGAGTCAGATTTAGATAAGTGGATATATACAAATCACCAAGGGACAGCACAAGGAATACCCACACTTACCCCAGTTTAAAACAGGGTCTCTGTCGAGGTCTCTAATGAGATTTCAATAGTCTGATTTTATAATTTTGAAGCAGTCTTGTAATTAGACATTGTCTGTATGTGGGTGGCATGCTGGAAAGGAAGTGAGAAGGGAGCTGGGAGGCCCAGATTCTAGTTCTTTGTCTGCCTTCCTGTGGTGCTGTCTTTGGGTACATGAGTTCCTCTTTCTATACGTTAGTTGAATCATATTTGTAAATAATGACATCCTTGGTATCTTTTTCACTATGAAGGATCTACTTTTCACTGTTTTCCCCACAGGACCCAATTTTTTGTAAGACTTCGTCTACTGAACAAATAAGAATGGGAAGCCTATTAATAATGGGCTTGTGCAAGCTATACTAGAGGCAGGCAAAGTATCTAGGAGGCAAATTATCAAATTAGCCACTGGAGAGCAATTCTGTCCCAACAGCAGGGATATTCCTGATAATAATTTGAATTGTATTAACTACAATCATTTATTGGAAGCTTACTGTGTGCTAGACACTCTATATACATTATCTAACTTAACCCTTACCACAAAGAAGGAGGAAGGTGCCATTATTTCTGCATTTTACAGATCAGGAAACTGAGAACAGGGGAGGTGCAGTAGCTTGTCTAAGGTCACATAGCTAGTAAAGGTCCGACGAGCTACTCAATTCAGGTCTGTGTGATTCCACAGCTCAAACCCTTAATCACTAGAGTCAACTGCCTCTCAATTCCAATAGAATAATGTCATCTGTTTAGGGCTTACATTAAAAAATCAGGAAATATGTATAAAATTGCATAGAGCATCGTTGCCCTCAAGACTTCCCTAAAGCTATATAGCGTGGCAAGACGTTTACATTAAAAAATTGAGACCAAATAGAGAAAAAGCATCATCAGGCCTGCTCTGGGGCACATCTCGTTGGCAGAAAGATAGGCAGAATTGCTGCCCTATTTCAAATCTTTATATTACGTATCATTTTTCTTTTTCACTTTCTCCATTTTTTCCTCCTCCTTTCCTTTATTGAATGATTTTAGTTAAAATTACTTATATTAGTTTTGCATTGCTGCCATAACAAATTATCACCAATTTAATGGCTTCAAACAATAGCAATTTATTATCTTACAGTTTTGGAGGTCAAAAGTCTAAAAGAGGTCTCATTGGGCTAAAACAAGGTGTTGGCAGGGCTGTTCCAGGGGAGAGTCCATTTCCTTGTGTTTACCACCTTGTAGGAGTTGCCTATATTCTGTAGCTCTGGGTCCCCTCCACCTTCAAGGGCAGCAAGTCGCCTGCTCAGACCTCTGTTTCCACTTCACATCTCCACTGACTCTCCTCTTTCACTTATTACACCTTTTGTGATTAAGTCAGGCCCACCTGGATAAACCCGGATAAAATGTCCCATCTCCATAGCCTCGATTGAATCACACTTGCAAAGTTGCTTTTGCCATAAAAGGCAACATATTCACAGGTATGGGTATTAGGACATAGACATCTTTGGGGGCCCTTTTCTGCCTACCACACTGCTTAAGTTAAATGCATGCATACTGAGAGGCCATGGTATTAAAAATATGTTCCATGTAAAAGCTCCCAAGTGCTTCTACCCTTGTGTTCCCGGAGGGCAGAATCCCAGGACATTTAGTCATTGGATCCCTAGTACCCAACACAGTGTTTACAGTAGGTGCTCAGTAAATGTTTGTTGCATAAAGAAATAAATGAGGCCGGGTGCTGTGGCTCACGCCTGTAATCCTAGCATTTTGGGAGGCTGAGGTGGGCAGATTACCTGAGGTCAGGAGTTCGAGACCAGCCTGGCCAATGTGGTGAAACCCTGTCTCTATGAAAAATACAAAAATTAGCCGGGTGCGGTGGCGAATGCCTGTAGTCCCAGGTACTTGGGAGGCTGAGGCAGGAGAACCTCTTGAACCTGGGAGGCAGAGGTTGCAGTGAGCCGAGATCGGCCACCGCACTCCAGCCTGGGCAACACAGCGAGACTCTGTCTCAAAAAATAAAATAATAATAAAAAAAGAATGAATGAACTAACACCTTTTTTCTCTTTTTTTATTTGATATGGACTTTCTTTTCTTTCAAGAAATTTCAAAACTACAGTGAATAATATAACAAGTGCCTGTTGATGCACCATCCAACACTGACTATTTTTAACACTGTGGTTTATATACACCTTCTTTCTTTAGAAAATGAAATACTTCTTGTGAGATTAT
This sequence comes from Homo sapiens, assembly GCF_000001405.40. NCBI lineage: Eukaryota > Metazoa > Chordata > Mammalia > Primates > Hominidae > Homo > Homo sapiens. Next base: position 79,485,047 of record NC_000011.10, read on the forward strand.
GTTAAAATTTTGCTGAATGAGCCATTTTTGACTCTGCTCTGCTCAGTTTTGGGTTGTTTTGTAACAGAGGTTAACAAAGGACTCTTCATGTCTTTGTTTCTGCTAAAACATTTTGAGAAAGGGTGTCCAATACTCCCAGTTATCAAGTAAGGTATAAGACCAATAGGGCTGATTGGTCAGACATACTGTTCACAGACCCCTGCCTTTAAAAGAATTGCAGTGGTCTAGGAAAATTTGGAGGGGATTCTTGAGGGAGCCATCAGTGAGCTTTGGGCTCCAGCTTTGCCCCCAGAGATAGGTGATGTCCTTCCCTCATTGTGCCTAGGGACAAGGCTTCCATGAGCCCACTCAGAGAACTCCATATGTCTCTGCGGTGCTTGGGCACACTTTACTCTGATGTTCAACTCACATCTGAGAAATCTAAAGGGCAAGAGATTGTGGCTGGCTACTGAGCAGACAGGAGCAAAGAGACAGTGCTGGACCAAGGGGCCACCTGCCTTCTCAGAATTTCTCAGCACCAGGTATATGGGCTACCTGAGAAAGAGAGCAGGGTGGTCCCACGTACTGACAATGAGGGGCACCACGAGGAGCTAGGGACAAGCAGAAGGAAGCAAAAGATGACACCTAGGGACTGAGAAAAGAGTCCTAAATGATCAGCCAGGGGAGGGGTCTTTGTCTGGCTTAAGAGAATCGTGGGTGACCCTTCCTAGCACTGAGGGCTCAGAAGCAGCCAAGAATGTGCCCTCTGAGAGGCTGGCCAGCCGGGATGTGCCTTCAGAGCCTGCAAGAGTACCAGTCAGGCAAGAACTGTGCTGCCCCTCCCTCTCCTCCCTTCAGCTGCAACCAGAACACCACCTTTCAAATGCAGAGGGCCACCAGGGAGCAGGCTCAAGCCAGGGGATGGAGAAGCTTTCACTTTAAATGGATTTGGACACTGTAACAATTACATGGGGCGCTTTATGCTGATTACTGAACTGAGCCTTTTTTGGTGGGGAAAGTGACTGGAGGACTTTTTGCTACCCGATGGAACTTGCCTTACATTTTATCCGAGGGGACAGGGTAGACCTAGCCATACAGAGCACACTGAATAGAGCTGTTTTTGGATCACACCCCAGACATCCTGCTCGGACAATGTAATGATGATGATTGTGCATTTTGAGTCTCAGAACGGAGTCTTCCTTATCCCCAAGTTCTTACAGGTATCCAAACTTCCTCCCCCGTGTGTTCCCTCAGCATCCCCAGAAGTAATCTGGATTTTCTTGGTTTTCTTCCTTATAGTGTCTGCAGCTTAAGAACAGTTCCCCTCCAGTCTTTGGTCTTTGATCTCACTGCCTTTGCTTTCACTTTGTCTAAAGGGCCATCAAAGGTGTGAGCATCTGCAAGCTAACTGGGAGGGGCTTAGTCATGTAGGGAAATGACATCTCCTGGCTGGATACTGGTGACTTTGGGAATGCGCTCGTCATTCATGAGCTTTCAAAACAGCAGTGTCTGGGAACTTGCCTGAAAGCTGTCCTCGTGGCCTTTTCAAATAAGCTGAAGATGAAAGGGCCTAAATACTTGAAGGAAAATAAAAGTGGGCTCACTCTCTTCTCCAGGGGCAAAGTCTCTCTCTCTCTGAGGCACAGTGGATGTGCCTTTGGTTGGAGAAGTCAGGGAATCTCAGTGAGTGAGGAACAAGAGGAAACTATTTGAGGTGCTGAGTCAGATTATTGAAATTAACAAGGCCTGAAGAGGTTATGACTAGATCAAGGTCACACGGCTGGTAAGAGCCACAGCCAGTACTGAAATCCAGGTCTGCCTGGTGGCAAAGTCTGCAGCCTTGCCACTACAACCTGTTCCCTTCTGTCACAGGACTTGGAGGGAACTTCCAAAATAATCACCCCAATCCTTTCTTTAAGTGAGCGAGGAAACAGAGCTCAGGAAGGATAAGTGCTTTTCCCAAGGCTGTACACAAAGTCATTGGCAAGGTCTAGAAACTAGGTCTGCCTGTTCTCAGGGTGGTGCTACCCTTACTCCTGCGTGCCAGGATGAAGCCACATCTCTCCTCAGAGGAGGTGGGAGGAACAAGTGAATTTTAATGCTATGTGCTCCCCTACTCTATCCTCTCACATAATGTCAGTTTGGATTGTCTTATAGCTATAGACACCTACATGGGCACCCTGACTATAATCTCATCCTCCACTGTGTAGTCAGATTGCTTTCTTTTTTTCCCTCCCTCCTTCTTTCTTTTCCTTCCTTTCTTTATATTTGCATTGGGTTTTATATTAAATAATCACTCCAATATAGGAGGCAGGATAGGATAGTGAAAAGAATGTGGATTTTGCAGTCAATGATAATACATAATAATAGTAACAGCCAACACATACCATATGGCAGGCACTGTTCTAAGAGTTTTATATACTGCGATAGACTGAATTGTGTCCCTGCAAAATTTATATGTTGAAGCCCTAATCCCTAATGTGATGACACTTGGAGATGGGTCCCCTGGGAGATAATTAGGGTTAGATGAGGTCATGAGGGTAGGCATTGATGATGAAATTAGTGGCTTTATAAGAAGAAGAAGAAAGAAAGAGGGCTTCCCCTCCACCATGTGAGGCACAGTAAGAAGGTGGCCTTCTGCAAGCCAGGAAGAGGAACCTCACCAGTAATTGAATCTGCAAGCACCTTGATCTTGATCTTCCAGCTTTCAGAACTGTGAGATATAAACGTCTATTGTTTAAGCCACCCAGTCTATGGTATTTTGTTATGGTAGTCCAGGCTGACTGCTGACTAATACACATATAGAAACTCATTTAGTCTTCTAACAACAGTATAAGGCAGGCACAGGTATTGTCTCCCTTCAGCAGGTGAAGAAACTGAGGCTTAGAGAAGTGCTGTGCTAGGTACTTAGATGGCCACTAGGAATATGAAGATTAATGCTTTGGGTTCCAGGAAATAATCCAGTCCAGTGAGTTCAATTCAGCTTGGCCTTTAGGGCTGTACCCTGGTGCCCCAAAACAGGACTATATCCATTGGCAGAACATGTTTTGCTTGCTTAACAATTGGCCTCAATCATGTAAAGCCATGCTTTAATGCCACTTTGGGAAACTCTACTTCTAGAAGTTTCCTCAATCATCAAGAAACATCTTTCCTGAGAAGGGACAGAAAGAGGCCTGACTTCCATTCTTTTGTGATCTTTGGCAAGTTACTTGACCTTTCTGAGTTTCAGTTTTCTCATTTGTGCAATGGGTATAATAACGACGATTTCATAAAATTAATGTGAGGATTTGATAAAATTGAGATGTGAAAAATGCCAGCTATGCCACAAATACCTTAAAGAGATTCTGGCAGCCACCAAGGACCAGCCCTCTCCCCATGGAACCATGACTTAGCCAAGTGGGGGAGAGCAATCTAACCCTTGCTCCAAAATCTCTAGGTAAGCTACATTTCACAACTTCCCGGAGGAGGACCGTCTGTTGGCCCAGACCCAGCTCCCAGGCGCTTTCCCAACACTGCCTGCTGACTTTAACCTCATTTCCCATCCTGGAATAATTAAAAGAATTGTAAATGTGTTATGTATGGATTGACTTACATACATTCCTTATTCCTTAAAATCATTCCTTATTCCACAAAAAGAACTGAGGGGTCTCCATTTGCATGGCGAGGACCCTCTACTGAAGAGAATTCACATCACTGTATCCTTTAATTCTCACATCTTTATTTCACTTATACAGAGACTGGGGATCAGAGAGGTTGTGTGACTTGCCCAGGTCACTCAGTTAGAAAATGCCACAGCTGGAAATTTGAAACTGGCTGATTGGGACACCAACTTGTTTTTTCTTCTAGTACTCCCGTCTTAAGGGAGCAACAAATCTTCAGTCTCAAAAATGAGGAGGATAATATAGTAGCCATCTCGCTACCTCTCCCACCAGCATGATCAATAGCATCGGCTGCTGATGAAGGACAGGCCAACAAAAACGCTAACAGAACGACCCTCACATCCCCTGTTCGTGGGCTTCTTATGCTGCTCCTCAAAGGGAGGGAGTGCTATCAGCGGCCTGCTATGGAGAATACAGTCAGACCCTGTAAAACTTTCAAGCCTCTGTCCCATGTCTCAGAAACATTAGGTCCTTGGCATGCCTGGGTCACCAAGCTTAACTGTTGCATCATCTAATTTTATAGTTTCTTAATTTATGTTTTATATAATTTTTCCTCATGATTCCAAGATAAGGTGGATTTTTGACGTGCTTTTAAGATATCTATGTAAAAGCTTTTTTTTTTTTTTAAAAAAAAACTTTTTGGTTCAGGGTACATGTGCAGGCTTGTTATGTAGGTAAACTATGTCACAGTGGTTTGGTGTATAGATTATTTTGTTACCCAGGTAGTAAGCATATTATCCCATAGGTAGTTTTTCAGTCCTCAACCTCCTCCCTCCCTCCACCCTCAAGTAGGCCCCAGTGCCTGGGGTTCCCTTCCTTGTGTCCATGTGGACTCAATATTTAGCTCCTGCTTATAAGTGAGAACATTAGATATTTGGTTTTCTGGTTCCTGTGTTAGTTCATAAAAGCTTTCTCTTTTTTTTTTTTTGCTACTTACATTTTATTTTTGCCTCAATTTTCCTGGGTATCTATAGAAAAAGTTTCTTTTTTATTTTCAAATTTTAAAATGTATATAAATCCCTCTGGTATTTACATTTTCATATTTCAAAATTTCTAAAATACAAATAAAATAAAAAAGAAACCAACGTTACATTAGAACTATCTTAAGAAAAGATGGATAAAGCCAGATGTTGGAACATGGTGGCTTATAAAGTAATCTTTAATAAGTTTTTTAAAAGTATACATAAATCATAGTCATTTGGTAGAGTTCTTAATTAATACCTGGTGGCACAGAGCTTGAGATTGGGCAGGTGCCACATAAATGTAGTATTTAATTCTAGATTGTTCCTATTATATGGCTGTGCAAACTGAGGTCTATGAAAATTAAATGACTTCTTTCACATAAAAGAACAAAGCATTATTTGCTTTGACAACAAGTCAAAGACAACAAGTTGTCTTGGAAAAAATATGGCTAGAACTGCAAAACTGAGCTAGATGAGATGTGAGGGCCACAATCTAGCATGGAGATAAATAGCTGTCCTTTTAGACCACTGACTGCTCTCCAAGGGGGGTTATGTGTCTCTGGCAATTTCCACTCTTGGAAAGCAAGGGTCTTAACTTATACTATCTCACTTTTGGGGGGAAGGGTGGGGTGAGGTCTAAATCTTAGCATTTTAGGAACTTGGGTAGAGGTTACATAGGTTTCCTTCAATATTTTCCCCAGGAGTTTCTATGTCCTTTATGCAAACAGGATTCTTGGCCTGCTCTGAGTTCCCCCAGGTGAAAATATCTTATGAAGCAACCAGCCACTCACACATTAGTATGATTTAATCATCTCTAAAGAGATAGCTCTCTGAAGCTAAGACTCTGCAAAGGAGTAGAGGTGGGAGGTGAAGAAAATAATGCTTTGTTCTTTTATCTCTGTACTATTAAGTCTTCTTTGTCTTTCAAGATCTCATTCAAGTGCCATTTCTTCTAAGAAGCCTTCATTAATCTCTCTAGTTAGACAGATTGCTTCCTTCTTGTTCCTTCAATAATACCTTTTTCTTTATGCTCTACACCAGTACTTCTTACAATCTCTTCCATACATTTACTTATTGGTGTGTTCATCTTATATTCCCCCTGGACTGGTAGTCCCCTTGAGGGCGGGGATACTTTTGATTTACTTTCTTACCCCTATGTGTTGTCTAGCTCAGAGAAGGTAAGGTTATCTTCTGATATCTTAAAATTCTGAAATTACTTGGAAGTGAGATGCAGGGTGTCTGTCCAGTTTTGCACAGGCTCCTCTAGCTCCTGCACCATTTCCCTACAGCAAAGTTTGGGCCACTCGGAAAGAAATCTTGAATCTCCTCTGTACTCTCATAGTCTTGGTGCAGAACCAGTGGTTCCCACCCACCGTTCTCTGCCTGCCAACCTGCTCTGGTTTCAGAAAACACAAGGTAGATTCCTAGCTAAGGAACTTTCTCACTTTGTTGTGACCTTGAGTAATGTATATCATCTTTCTCTGCAGTTTCTTCTTTTATAAAATAGGCATTATTCTTGCCTCTTATGACTGTTGTTCTGAGGACTGGATACAACACCTGCTGTATTTGACACAATACTTTGCACATAGTAACCTCAATAAATAGTAGCAATTTTTTTTTCAATAAAGAACAAAAATGTTTAAGACATTGCCTGGTATATAGTAGGGACTGTAAGAGCTGTGTGCAAGCATTTTAATTCTTATTTTAGGAAAGCAATAAAATGTAGTAAGAAGAGCAGGAGCTTTGGAATCTACTTGGGTTCAAACTCTTGCTCTGCTAGTTGCTTGTTGAGTTGTGTTGGGTAAATTGCTTAACTTTTCTAAGATCAGATTCCTCATCCCTAAAATGGGGGATAATTCTACCTTATAGAATTGTGGTGCTGATTAGAGAGAAAAAAGTATTTTAAGAGTTTTAGTGGATTGTATTTACCAAAGATGGCCACATTAATATCTCTCATCTGACATCCTCTTCTAGAACTTTGCTGTCCTCCCTCCCCATCAAGAGCTGGACTTGAATTTCTCTGTCCTTGAATCTCGGTGGGTTGGTAGGACACTTGTGATTAACACAATGCACTGGTTGTGATACTAGGTACCTTCCTAAGCTAGGCCATAAGATGCCATGTGGCTTCCATCTTGTTGCCACTTGCCTGTGGAGTCCTGAGTGGAAGAAATCCATTATGGGGTAGTGCATAGTAAAGACCAGATGAGACAAAATAAGAGCATTTATTATTAGAGCAATTATTAGAATTATTACCATCTCGCAGGGTATGTCTACATGGCCCCAATATGCAGGAGAACTCAGCCCCCCAGGCTTCTGCCCCACCCCCAATCTCTCAGTCCATGAAAATTTAGCTTGTGAGCCCCTCTCCACGCCTGCCACATGGTTCTGGGGGCACAGGAGACCGAGAGGATGTGGGAAGTGGTTCTGTTGGCCTCTTGAGTCACAAACTGTGGGGATGTTAGGGGACCCTTCTTACTTGTTTTGGTGCAGCTTTCTTCCCTACTGAGGACGCGGAGTGACCTTTTGTGTAAAATTGGCTGGCCTTGCCTGTGTGAGCACATCTCCTTAATCTCCTGTCCTCTGGCACTTTTACATATTGACTGGACAGAGGTCAGCTCCATGGGAAACATTCTTTGTTGCAGTTAAGCCAAACCCTTCAGGTCTTAGAATTGGTTTAAACCTGATTAACTCACAAGGAAAAGGGAAATGTACATTTTGGGACTGGAGAATAAGATATTTAAGCCACTCTTAATAAATGCTTTCCATCTTGCTACTTTCAAAGCCACGTGCTCTCTCTCTCTCTCTCTTTGAGTCTCTCTCACTTTTACTCCTTTAGCTTTCAAACTGGGTTTTTCTCTCTTCTCTTTTTCTCTCCTACCTCTTTTCACCTCCTCTCCATTATTTGCGCTTTCTTTCCTATTCTTCTCCAAATTCTACCCTCCCTGCCTTCTCTCATCCTTTGTCCGTCTCTCCGTGTTTCTCTCTGCTTTGCTCTTCCCAACTTTGATATCTGTCACTTTCAGCAACTTTGTTTCTGAAGGGGTGACACATGCAGCTGTCATTGAAGATGACAGTATCGTCACCAAACAGTTACAGAGGGAGGATGGAATTCTGGAACTTCTGCAGTTAGCTTTGCTTATATTCTGAGCAGTCTTGGTGGAGACAGTACCCAGCAATGTGTTTCAGGTCTAACGGGCCAGATCTCCGTCAACAGAGAGGCTGGTGGGAGCCAGACTGTGGGGTTGATGGTCCATTCACTAGGCTTACCGGGATGTCTCCCATGCTGTCCTCTGGAAGGACAGCTCAGGGCAGGCAGAGATCTGAGGGTGATTAAGCCTCTCTCTGAAGACTTTGGAAAAAGCCTTGGACTTGGGGTAAAGATCTCAGGCCCCCACCAGCTGTGTGATCTCAGGCCAATCGCTGTACCTCTGTGAGCCTGTTTCTAATCCATAAAATGGAATAATGATAGTCATCTTGCCTTCCTCAGGGAGCTATTATGAGGCTCACAGAGCTAATGAATGAGAAAGCATTTTGTAAAGTAGAAAGTGCTGTACGAATTTAAACCCTTTTTTATTATTGTTGTTATCATGATCAAAATTTTTATGTCTCACTAATGTTCATCTTACAACTCATCAGTATTAAGAAGAATACGCTCTAAGTGGAACAAAATCTTGTTTCTCCGTCGTGCATGAATGTATGGCATATTTGTGGGAAATAAATATTACTGTTTTGTGGGGCCTTTATCAAGTCCCCTGCTTCTGCCTCACCCCCATCCTGTTCACTTAAGCCTAGCCGACCCTCTCTGCAAGAGGGTGCTGGGAAAGCCAGGGTTGACCTTACAGGCATGGACAAGCTTGGCGGGATGTGCTCTCAAACCGGCACCTTGCATCCTTGCATCCTATCCCATTCCTGCATCTGCCCACTGTGGTGTAAGCCCGGTCCCGGTCTTTGCGCCTGAGACAGAGTAGCTTCTCTGAGGGCAACCCCAGTGTGCCCCAGGACTCAGGCAGCCACCTACCTTCTCAGGTAGTCCTTGGTGCCCCCTCTCCCCGCCTGGCTTCGGCCACCCTCTCCTTAGTCTCTTGGGCTCCCCCTTGTGGTAGGCTTTAGCCAAGCCCGCCTCCCTGACCCTCCAGCAGGTCCTGCAATCCAAGAACAAATAAGCCTGCCATCTAGGGAACTGTGGCTCCTGGAACCGCAGATTTCTCCATCCTTTCAGGCTGCTGAGACCACTGACCTCCGGTGCCTCCGGGAGGAGCAAAGGCAACTCTGGGGAGCTGTATCCACTTCACCACCTGCGCTTGGCTTGGAAATTTCATTGCTGTTAAAACCAGTCATGGTCATCTTATTCCAACCTGAGTCAGTATTCTTACCAATCTTCAAGCCTGCATCAGATATATGCTCCCAAGAGTTGAGGAGGGGCTTACAAAGGGTAACAGGAAAGAGGTGGCAAGTGCATTCAGTGGAGAGTTTGGTTCCACTCACCTCTTGGGCCTCATCCCCCGGGTCTGTGCCAACCCATCCAGCCTCACCCTGGATCTGTCCTGGTGCTCCTGGCTCCTGACACAGTGCACTGCCCATCCTTGCTCCTCCATAGGCCTTCCTCTCCCCTCTCTGAATCTTGGGGTGGCCTTCTACTTGGTCTCTCAGTCCCAACCCCATTTTGGCTCCCACAACTACTCCAAGAGAAGCTCTCATTGCATTTTACAGATGAGGAAACTGAGGTTTAGGATGTTAAATCACTTGTCCGAGGTCTGAGGGTTCTTGGGGTGGGGGGACCGGAAGCCGACCAGAGTGAAAGCTCATTCCATTACGATATGCTGCCTCCTCTGTGGTTTTAGAAAAATGATTAGGGCTTAGCCTTTGCCTTCAAGGAGCTCAGGGCCTAAAGGAACAGACAGAGTCACATAGACAAACGCTTGCTATCAGCTAAGGCACTAGTGCAATAAGGGAGACTACCCATAGCTCTCAAAATTCAGAAGAGCTATTTAGTTATTAATTTGGCCCAAAGAACTAGTGGTGGTGGTGGGTTGTGTGCGTATGTGTTAACACTTTCAGAAGAGGGGCTGTCATTAAGTGACATGGTCAGTATTTTCCCCAGAAGTCTGGAGAGCAAATATTAGTGTTTCATGCTGCCATTTCCCCAACCTTGCCCATGGCAGACACTGATGATATGTCTTCTCTAGTGAATCCAGATATGGCTTCAGCATCTTTGCCACAAAATGCCCAGATGATTATAGCTTTTGATTGAGGCTGGCAAGCAAAAGAGCATTTTTTGTTTGTTTTTTGTTTTTTGCTACTCTGCAATCTTAGATAAACACTTGTGCTTTCTACAAGAGAAAACAGGCTCAGAGAAGGAAATGACTCTTGTACATCACTGTGGAATAACAGCAGCAACAGCATCTCTGATTCCACCAGGATTTGCTTCTCTGAATGATTTTCTTATCTCTTGGACATTACTTAGTTCTTGCTAAACATTCGTTGAGTTCGATTCTGCGGCATGGATAGGAAATACTAACCTGCATTACCTCTCATTCTCACAACTACCTGTGAGGTAGTCATGATTATTGCCACTTTACAAAAGAGTAAACTGAGGCCCAGAAATGTAAATAGCTTGTTCAAGGTCACACGGCCAGGAAGCAGTGGAACCAATATTTGGTCTCAGGTCTTCCTCCAGAGTCTATTTATTTTTTAATTCTTCTAAATGTGTTACAAAATGTTCAAAAAATCTAAAAAGGTTTAAGATGAATACAGTGAATACCCTTGTCCCCACTCCCCAGTTAGAAACAAAACAAAGCCTGTTTCATTTTTGCAGAATACCATACTGCCCTTCATAACACATAATAAAATGAGATTTAATAATGTAATTGAGCCATGTTGAACATTTCTCACTGAAGCCTGCTTTTAGTGGCGTTTTAAAATGACTTTTCTTTATAAATTGAAATAATGTCTTTGGATATTTGAGAGATTGCAGCAAGGAAAGTCTGCTGTTCACAGACCTGGTCATTGGAGGAGTAATTTAATGCCATAGACGTAGATTTCTCATTTTACCTTTTATCAGTTCTAACAAGCCAGATGGTCATTGCAAACGGGTCCTCCAGCATCGCCCTTTTCTGCTTTGGCCACTCTCGGGGGACTTATTTGAATTTGGTTCCCTGTAACAATCTTTTTTTTTTTTCTTTTCTTTTTTAGAGACGGGGTCTTGCTGTGTTGCCCAAGTTGGTCTTGAACTTCTGGAGTTAAGTGATCCTTCTACCTCGGCCTCCCAAAGTGGTGGGATTATAGGCATGAGCCACCACGTCCAGCCCCTGCAATAATCTTATACCATTCATTTCTTTCCCTGCCACCATTTGCGTCACTCCCTAATAGTCATAACTCTATCTTCTCCAGTTTCCCCAGTTGGAATGAGCCTTTTCTTCATTATAGTCTTCCTCAGCACCCAATAACCCTAGTAAAGCATACATATGCCTTGTATTAGTTATTTGTGTAAGTAATTTCCCCATTAGACCCAGCCTTGCTCATCTATAATCGATGTAACAGTAATTATCATAACTGAAGACTTTACATTTTCTGAGTGCTTTTCCTAGTCATAATCTTATTTAGTTTGTACAATATCTGAGGTATGTATTTTTAAATCATATTCAATTATACAGATATGACCACAGCAACTCAGAAAGGTGAGGTGACTTGCCTAAAGTCACAGCTAGCTAGTTGCAAAGTTCAGAGAAAATTTAGTGTGCCTGTCCTCCTCTTATTAGAATACACAGTATTCTGCCAGGCCTAGTGGCTCATGCCTATAATCCCAGCACTTTGGGAGGCCAAGGCGGGTGGATCACAAGGTCAGCAGTTCAAGACCCGCCTGGCCAACATGATGAAACCCCGTCTTTACTAAAAATACAAAAATTAGCCTGGTGTGGTGGTGTGCACCTGTAATCCCAGCTACTCAGGAAGCTGAGGCAGGAGAATCGCTTGAACCTGGGAGGCAGAGGTTGCAGTGAGTCGAGATTGCACTATTGCACTCCAGCCTGGGCAACAGAGCGAGACTCTGTCTCAAAAAAAAAAAATGTGTACGTATGTGTATGTATATATATATATATACACACAATATTCTATATGTGATTTAAAACCTGAAATTTGTTGTAGTTTTACTCAAACTACCAACTATCAATTGCTTTATTCTGTAAATACCTACCAAGCACATATTATATGCCAGGAATTATGTGGGGTTCTAGGGAAACAGCAGTGAATAGGACAAAGAAGGCCCTTATCTCATGAAGCTTACAGTGTAGTAGTTAGATAATTAACAAGTAAGCAAAGAAATGAACAAGGTGTGGTAGGTAAATGGTGATCCACCTGCTCAAAGATGTCCACATCATTATCCCTGGAACCTGTCAAGTTTACCTTACATAGCAATAGGCCCTTTGCATATATGATTAAATTAAGGGTCTTTTGATGGAGGGATTAACCTGATTTTAGCTAGGCAGGCCCAATGTAATGAACCTTTAGGAAAGGGAGTCAGTAAGATCAGAGTTAAAGAATAAGACATGAAGAGGGAAGCAGAGGTCAGACTGATTTGATTGACAGCTTTGAATATGAGAGGGGGCCATAAGCCAAGGAAAGAAGGCAGGCTCTGGATGCTGGGAAAGACAAGTAAATGATTCTCCCCTAGGGCCTTCAGAAAAAGTGCAGCTCCACTCACCCGTTTTAGACTTCTGACTTTCAGAAGTATAACAAAATAAATTGATGTTGCTTTCAGCCACTAAGTTTGTGGTAATTTGTTATAGTTGCAAGAAACTAATACACAAGGCACAGCCTGGGTAACATAGCAAGAGCCCTGTCCCTACAAAAAATGAAAGAAAAAAAAATTAGCTTGGTGTGGGGGCATGCGCCTGTGATCCCAGCTACTTGGGAGGCTGGGACAAGAGGATTGCTTGAGCCCAGGTGTTTGAGGCTTCAGTGAGCTATGATTGCACCACTGCACCCTAGCCTGGATGACATAGTGAGACTCTGTTTTTGAAAAAAAAAAAAAAAAAAAAAAGTAAAATATACAAGGCATTTACAGATTATGATCAAAATTCCAAATAAAAGAGACATTTTGATTAGATAACAACTGGGGCAGCCTTCTCTGAAGAGAGGATGAGAGTGAATCAGTCCAAGGAAAAGCACTCCAGGCAGAGGGAACAGCAGCTGCAAAGGCCCAGAGGACGCAATGTGATGAGTGGCAAAGACAGGGCCAGTGCAGCTAGACTTTAGAGAAAGAGCAGAGGGTGGGGTGAAGTGAGGTTGGAAAGTTAGGCCAGAGTCAGATCCTATTAGACCTTTTAGTCCATAGTGAGGGGTTCAGATTTTGTACTAAAAGAAAAGGGAAGCTCTTGAAGATTTTTAAACCAGGTGAGAAGTAAATTGCTACTGCATTGCCCAAAGTTCCTAGCATGATGAAGACCCTTTCTTGGGGCATGGGAAAAACTTAAACTCACTCAAGACCAACCCACCCTCCAAATGAGCTCTCCTGTGCTGTACCAGGTTTGTAGAACATGTCCAGTCTTCACTAGGAAGTGTGGGGTTCTCTGCCAACCTGGCACTCCAATTCTGTAAGGGCGGGTACCTCTGATGTAAACCATCAGCAGGAGACAGTGCTCTTACCTATAATTTCCCACAGAGAGACATGGAGGGAAACTGGGCATTACTGTGCTCAGAAATGCCCCTGCCAAGGGGTCGAACTTACCATCTACTATGCAAATATCTTGCTTCATATTTGCTCTGTCTTGAGATAGTAAACTCTGTGAAATTAGGGACGATCTGTACTTTTGTCCTTGCGTTTCTAGTTTTAGCATTTAGTAGATGTTCAATAGGCACTTGTTGAAAGCATGGATAACTGGAGGGAAGGGACATAAGTAATTTAGTGCTCTGTTTTGTAGGAAGCAGAAACAGTAAGATAGCTAACAAGCAGGAAAATACAAATATCGAAACACCCTGTCAGTTTTGCTATAATGCTTGTTTTGAAACTATGAATTTGTTCTAATGCAATTTATACTAGGGAACGATGTGAATATAAGACAATTTCCCCCCTTGAAAAACACTAGGTGAATGCCAAAAACCCAGCTGAACAGACCTGCGTAATACACAAAATGCACACACACATACACATCAAACATTCACAGTAACTTTAGATCACTGTACGTGTGAGGCTCCACACCCATCCACATCTGGTGTTCCAACTCTGTCCCATTTCAGATGATTCTCCTCCCACCACCTCACAATTACTCATGGTCTTCCTGACGCCCACTTCCACAAGCAAACTGCAGATCTTTATCAATGTCAAGTGCCATATTTATTACAGTACTTATATTTTTAACTATTAAATATGTTTAAGACAGGGCTGCTATTTTTATTGGGCTCCTATTTTTTTTTAAATGTGTCACTGGTGAAGTTTGTGAGTGTTATGCCCCTAATCCCATTTGCCCCGTAAACATGTGTTTTTTAGTGGGTAAATTTGCACAGTACAGTGATTTTTTTAGAACACGAATGTGGCTCTCGCTCTCGCTCTTGCTCTCCCTCTCCCTCTCCCTCTCCTTCTCCCTCCTCTGCCTCTGCCTCTGCCTCTCCCTCCCCTTTGCACGGTCCTCGTCTCACCTTTGCACGGTCTCCCTCTGATGCCGAGCGAGGCTGGACTGTACTGCCGCCATCTCGGCTCACTGCAGCCTCCCTGCCTGATTCTCCTGCCTCAGCCTGCCGAGTGCCTGGGATTGCAGGCGCGCGCCGCCACACATGACTGGTTTTCGTATTTTTTGGTAGAGACGGGGTTTCGCCGTGTTGGCCAGGCGGGTCTCCAGCTCCTGACCGCGAGTGGTCTGCCAGCCTCGGCCTCCCGAGGTGCCGGGATTGCAGACGGAGTCTCGCTCACTCAGTGCTCAATGTTGCCCAGGCTGGAGCGCAGTGGCGTGATCTTGGATCGCTACAACCTCCACCTCCCAGCCGCCTGCCTTGGCCTCCCAAAGTGCCGAGATTGCAGCCTCTGCCCCGCCGCCACCCCGTATAGGAAATGAGGAGCGTCTCTGCCTGGCCGCCCATCGTCTGGGATGTGAGGAGCCCCTCTGCCCGGCCGCCCAGTCTGGGAAGTGAGGAGCACCTCTTCCCGGCCGTCATCCCGTCTAGGAAGTGAGGAGTGTCTCTGCCCGGCCGCCCATCATCTGGGATGTGGGGAGCACCTCTGCCCCGCTGCCCGGTCTGAGATGTGAAGAGTGCCTCTGCCCGGCCGCGACCCCGTCTGGGAACTGAGGAGTGTCTCTGCCCCGCCGCCACCCCGTCTGGGAGGTGAGGAGCGTCTCTGACCAGCCGCCCCGTCTGAGAAGTGAGGAGCCCCTCCGCCCGGCAGCCGCCCAGTCTGGGAAGTGGGGAGCCCCTCAGCCCGGCAGCTGCCCTGTCTGGGAAGTGAGGAGCGTCTCCGCCCGGCGGCCGCCCCGTCCAGGAGGTAGGGGGCAGCCCCGCCCAGCCAGCCGCCCCATCCGGGAGGTGGGGGGCAGCCCCCACCCGGCCGCCGCCCCGTCTGGGAAGTGGGGAGCCCCTCTGCCCGGCCGCCACCCCTTCTGGGAGGTGGGGGGGCCCCTCTGCCCGGCAGCCCCGTCTGGGAGGTGAGGAGCCCCTCTGCCCGGCCGCCACCCCGTCTGGGAGGTGTACCCAACAGCTCATTAGAAGGGGCCATGATGACAATGGCGGTTTTGTCGAATAGAAAAGGGGGAAATGTGGGGAAAAGAAAGAGAGATCAGATTGTTATTGTGTCTGTGTAGAAAGAAGTAGACATAGGAGACTCCATTTTGTTCTGTACTAGGAAAAATTCTACCTTGGGATGCTGTTAATCTATAACCTTACCCCCAAACCCGTGCTCTCTGAAACATGTGCTGTGTCCACTAAGGGTTAAATGGATTAAGGGCGGTGCAAGATGTGCTTTGTTAAACAGATGTTTGAAGGCAGCATGCTCCTTAAGAGTCATCACCACTCCCTAATCTCAAGTACCCAGGGACACAAACACTGCGGAAGGCCGCAGGGCCCTCTGCCTAGGAAAACCAGAGACCTTTGTTCACTTGTTTATCTGCTGACCTTCCCTCCACTATTGTCCTATGACCCTGCCAAATCCCCCTCTCCGAGAAACACCCAAGAATGATCAATAAATACTAAAAAAAAAAAAAAAAAAAAAAAACCAAAAAACACGAATGTGGCATTATAGCAGAACTGACTGTACTTTCTTCTGTCTGCAACACCAGGCAAACAAGAAAAACACACACGGTGATTAGTGAAAAAGTGAAATCAAACCAATAGAGTACTAAGAATGCTTCATGATGTCCTTCTGGTGTATAGGACAATCTTCCTGCTATTTATTCATTTTTTCATCCATCCTTTCTTCCATTTATTTATTTATTCTATCAAATACCTACTATGTGTCAGGTCCTGAGAAAGGCCCTAGTGAACAAAATTAGAGTCTTAGAAAGTCTTAGGATTAGGAGAAAATAATATATGAACAGAAAATGATAGTTCACCTTTATTATAGGCTTACTACGTATCAGGCACTATGATCAGCACTTTACCCATTTTACTTAATCCTTTTAATAACCTGGTGGTTATTGGTAGATATTACCAATAAGTGAGGTATTAGTATTCTTCCCATTTTTCAGATGAGGATACTGAGGCTTAGCAACACCCAGGCGGTCTGACTCTAGAGCCTTTGTTCTTGAATGATATTGTTGAGGTCTGGCCGCCCTGCTTCTGTTTGCTTATCTCTAGTGGGGAAAACACTGCTTCTCCTTTTTTGGAGAATGGGGAGCAGCCTGTTCCATCTTTGGCAGTGTATCAAAGGAGTGAAAAAATATATTTTAACAGCTGGCACCAGAGTTCACGGTAGAGGGAGAGTTGTATTTATTTAAGAAAATACATTGGGAGGCCACTTCCTTCGGGGGTGCAGAAGAATCTGAGGGAAAATCTGAAAGGACCAAGCTATACTGTTTTGCATAAGATTTTAGTAGGAAATTTTGGATTGGGACAGAGTAGAGGAGGATGAAGACAGAGAAGGGACTGTGCACCCTGGCAGAGCACTGGTGCCCGCGGGGGATGGTGGTAAGGGAGGATATCCCTGAACAGGACTGGCCACAGGCTTTCAAATGCTGGGGAGCCCTTTGACATTGTTCCCTTGGACATTATTTGCTTTACTGTGATGTAAACACTCTCATCACTCAGACCTCCATAAAGTATATGGCACACTGTGGGGAAAACCAAAGCTCAAGGGTCATGTCTGAAACTGGGCTAGAATGGAGCACACCTGGGGAGGAAAGGCCCCCTCAAGCACATGCCCATTAAGTGATGGCCAATCACTGCTGATCTTCCTCTGCCTGGCAAGGCAAGCAGAGCCATTGCTGGGACCGGAGGATATCAGGGCCAGCTGTGAAGTAGGGGCGTCTGGAGAGGGCTCAGGTATAAATGAGGGGCATTCAGGTCCATTTCTGTGTAGTTCCTACAGGACTAACTAATGGACTTCAGATGGCCTTTGGGTTACAGTTGTTAGGAGTAGGGCTGTCAAGTCAGAGAAACCTGGGTTTGAATCCCAGTTTGGCCATTTACGGGTGACCTTGAACAATGTACTTAACCTGCCTGTACCTCTGCTTTCTTCATCTACAACATGGAGATGACCTTTCCTACTTTGAGTGGTTATTTAGAGAACCGAATGGATGTAAAATGTTTAACACAATGGCTGGCAAAATAATCAAATGATGATTGTTGTTACAACTAACTCCAGTGGTGGAGTGCTAATGGCATAGGCTTTTTACTTGGTAGGATCAGGGATCGAAATCCATTTTCGCTACTTACTAGGTCTGTCTACCTGAGCATGTGACTAAACTCTGGCTGTTAGCAAAATGGGGAAATAAGACCTACCTGGAAGGGCTGAGGTGAGGATTAAATGAGAGAACAGAACATACCTAACACTCTTCCAGGTACACAGTAGATATCCAATGATCAGGGCCAAGTCTAATCCATAGAGTACCTTTTGTGAATTAGGTAAAGTTACCCCTTCTTTTAAGCGACCCAGTTTGCAGGTTTCAGCCTCACTTACCACCCTGGCCTGGGTACCTTGGTGATGTGCACAACATGCACATCTATAGGACATGGCCTACCAGTGATGGGTGGCTGGTAGGACCGTGCTAATTAGCATTCTCCTGCCTCTGACTTGTCCGCTTTGTTCTGGCTTAAGACTGTTCTTGGTTTGGAAGAAAGCACCTAGGCTCCTTAATTTTCTCTCTTCTGGCCCCAGCTCCCTTTCTTCTTGTGACCTGGTTTCTCCACCCATCTCCCCCACTTCCACCCCCAGTCTTCTTACAGACAGGATGCTGGCCAACCTCTGGCTGTGCAGCTGGCCTGGAGACCACTCAGCTGGGAGCTGGATCAGTGGCCTCCCTCGTGACTCGCAGGCTCAGCCTGGGTTCTGGAACAGCCTCTGCCGAGATAATCTGTGCTTTAATTGCCAATGGCAGTCAGAAGGAAGCTGATGATCACCGCCCATAAAGGGCGAGAGTCTTTGGTGGGGAACTCCGCTGGCTGCAGAGCCATTGCAGGCTATTTTTAGTGCTTGGCCATAGAAGTGCAAGGAGAAAATGCCAAGCTGGAAGGCAGCCTTACCACAGAGGACTGGGCTCCCAGGGGGCTGTCTGTGACTTTCAACCCCAGCCCTTTGTGCTTCCTTTCCCTTCATGGTGAGGATTCCAGGCATTGCTGATAGCAGCAGCCATCCCTCTCCTGGAAGCTAAAAAAGCCTGGGAAGGACAGCAGTCACTGGTTCCTGGGCTGGCTGCATGAGCTGGTGTTTAACCCGCTGGCAATTCTTAGCACCAGGGAACTCAGCTCTCGTGGTGTTCCCATTTTATAAATGAGGACAGTGGGCCTCAGAGGTATGAAATAACTTTCTTAAGGTCATTATTCCAGTAAGTTCTCATCACAGTTGTCTTTGTCATTGCTTCCTTAGGAGCATCTGTTCAGCAGAGTGGTGGAAAAGTGCAACCAGAGTCCCTGCGTTTGCCTCCCAGCCTCTCACTAGTTGTGTGATCTTGGACAAATTACTTACCCTCTCTGAGTCCCAGTTTCCCATCTGTAAAGTAGGGGTAAGGAAAGTGCCACCACATAACGGTTGACAATTAAGTGAGAAAAAAACCTGGAAGACGCTTATAAATGTGCTTGACCTGTAGGAAGTACTCAATCAACGTCAGCTGATGATGTTCTGCTGCTGGGCCATCTGCTGACTCTTGGCAGGCATCTTAGCTAACCCCACAACAACTCAGCGAGGCATTATCAGCCCCATTTTTCAGATGGGGAAACTGAGTCCCAGAGAGATGAATTGAATTCCTAAGGGCACATGGCTAGGAAGGGCAGGAGGTGGACCTCGAACCCAGGGCTCTGACCTTCCAGGTCCAAGATCTTTCTCCCATGTAAGCTGGCGTTTCCTGTGTGCTGTGCCCCTTGGAAATCTGAGCAGAGGGAACAGGTGTAGGTGTCGAGAAGGTGATAAAGACAAGGTGAGGGTGTATGTGTAACATGTTAGAAAGTTTGGTGGGCACGAAAAGAAAAACAGCTCTGACCCAGTGCTCACGTTAGCAAAGATCTAGCTCCTCTCTCCTTCCTCATGGCTTCCAGGGTGTCCTTGAGACAAATTATGTAAGAAGGAGCCTCAGAGTCATCTTGAGTGACCTCCCCTGAGGTCCTACATGAGATTACTCTCCAGTCCTGCCATAATCAGTGGCATGGCTGTGTGAAACCCAGAGGGTGTCCCTTCAGGGTTAGGTTTGCTAGAATCAATATGGCCTCTATAGTCTGGTGTTGGGGTAGGTCTCCCTCAGCCTGGCCTGCTTTTCTCTGTCCTTGACCATTCTGTCTTCCAAATAACTCTTCTATGTACTCTTTCCTCTCCAGCCCACTGCCATCACCCTGATTTCAACCTTCTTTCCCCAGCAGGACCATTGCCACAGCCCTCTAATTGGTCTAGGCCCCATCTCCAATCCACAGGGGCTGCCTGAGAGGGTGGCCTTCTCAAATGTGAATTTCATGGGGTCACTTCCCTTCTTACATCCTTATGAGCTTCCCAGGGCCAGAAAGATCAACCTTTTGAGCTTCTAGCTCCCCCACCCCAAATACCCCAGGGGTGAAGCCCAACAGTTCTCAAAGGTGTGTCCCTAGAAAATATGCCTTTAGATTCTTAGTAGGTGGGGGCAGCATTCCGTGGGGAAATTATTATGGGAAAAATACTGAATGAGGTTCAGCAGGTTTATTTGTTGTGGGACTTCTTAGAACTTCTATTATGCTAACTTCTGATACAAAAGCGTTCCAGTTAACCACAGGCAAGGCTGCCTGGAAAACAGTAAGTACCAAAGGTGCTGAATGAGAAGGAAAAAAAAGGAAACAGTATGGACTCCTAGTTTGAGCAACAGCTGACACTAACATAGCACTTACTTCTGTTGTGTGCTTTGTTTCTGTTGACTCATTTAGTCCCCATAGTTCTAGGAGGCAGGCACTATCATTATCCTCATTTTGTGGATGGGGAAACTGAAGCACAGAGAAGTTAAGCGGGTTACCTAGGTTCACCAAGCTAGTTAGCAGTGGAGCTAAGATTCCAACCCAGACATTCTGGCTCTGAAATCTGCACTCATAGCCACTACACTAGAGCCACACTTTGAGGACTCCATATGTACCTGGCATTGTGATAAGCACCCTATATGCATTATTTCCTTGATCCTCACAACAACCCCACACTTATTATCTTCATCCTTTTTGTTAGGGAAACAGAAATACAGTGCACATTGAGCTAAGAGGTGCCTAAGCTGAGGTTTGAACCCAGGTCTTTCTGTGATTTGTGAATCTCCAGCCTGTCTTGTTCTGAACAGAATAAGGGAGTCCTTTACCAAGGGGCATCTTGCAGTGTGTAAAATATACACTAGAAAAGCTTCCTTAGCTATCTGGAAATAGTCACTGCCAAATTATATCATCCTGTTTCCCGACGCCAGGACTTTGCTTGTACTGTTCCCTTGGCCTGGAGTGCCATCTTCCTGCTCAGTCCTCCGAACACCAAGGAAGAACTAAAATAAGGTCCCATCTCTTTAGTTTTCCCAGACTTTCCCCTTTCAAGCAGCTGTTCCCTATCTGTGCTTGCATGGCACTCTATGAAAAAATTATGCACCAATGGTCTGCTACAGTATAGATTCTTTCATTTATTCATTCTCTCCCTCATTCATTCGTTCATGCATTTACTTAACAAGTATTTATTGAGCATCTCCTAAGTACCAGCATTGTTTTAGGTCCTAGGGATACAGCAGTGAAGAAAACAGACACAAATGTAGACCCTCATGGAACTTACACTGTAGTGGGAGAAAAGGGATAATTAAATAAGTGAACAAATATAACATTTTTGAAGGTGAAGGGGGATAGGGAGGGATTGATTAAGAAAGGGTTGCACTTTTAAATAGAGAGTTAGATAGCCTGGTGTGGTGGTATGCTCCTGTAATCCCAGCTACTCAGGAAGCTGAGGCAAGAGAATATCTTGAACCTGGAGGCAGAGGCTGCAGTCAGCCAAGGTTGTGCTACTGCACTCCAGCCTGGGTGACAGAGCGAGACTGTCTCAAATAAAAAAATAAATAAATAAATAAATAAATAAATAAATAAATAAATAAATAAGGGGTTAGAGAAGGCCAACCTGAGGTTGTGACCTTTGAGCAAGGACCCAAAGGAACTGGCACGTTCCCAGGTCAGGGTGGAGCCACCTTGGCTGCCTTGGGGCGAGTGAGGAGAGAGTAGCTGCAGATGCTCAACAAAGGTTTCTTTCTTTCTTTCTTTCTTTTTCTTGAGATGGAGTTTCACTCTTATTGCCCCGGCTGGAGTGCAATGGTGCGATTTTGGCTCACTACAACCTCCACCTCCCAGGTTCAAGCGATTCTCCTGCCTCCGCCACCCAAGTAGCTGGGATTACAGACATGCACAACCACACCCAGCTAATTTTGTATTTTTAGTAGAGCGGAGTTTCTCCATGTTGGTCAGGCTGGTCTCGAACTCCCGACTGTTAAGGACAAACTGCCCCAAAAAGCTTCTTGGTACCGCCGACACTCCCTGCAAACCTCTCCTTGCTGCCCACCCTTCCCCCAAGCCTCTTTACATTTCTAAGCCCTTATCTAGGTTCCACAGTGAACCCAGCAGACTTCACTTATCAGACCTCGCTATGATAAACAAACCCCAATTACAAACCATCCAGATTGCACAGGGGGAGGTCGTGGGAAGCATAAACAAACTACCTACACCCTCCTGTTATAAACATCACAAGGTGATATGTGGCAAAATTAACCAGCAAACAACCCCAGGATATGGCCCTACCAAAGAACTCCCTCAAACTCTCTTCCCCAATATAAACCCCTCATTCTGTAAGCTTGCTGCTGCCTCCTCTGTCTGTGGTGGAGCAGCTGGTAGGTTAATATACTTACTTGCCTGACTTTGGGTCTATTCTTCCTTTCTCTCGGCTGACCTTACACCGATCTTAGGTGACCCGCCTGCCTCGCCCTCCCGAAGTGCTGGGATTACAAGCATGAGCCACCGTGCCCGGCCCAAGAAAGGTTTCTTAATTTGAGTTGCTTAACAAAAGTTTCAGACTTTCTCAATGGTATTATCCCCAAACTTTTCATTAGCATTTTTAGAAGAAATATTTTAACGATGAGCTAAAGTACATGTGACCACTGAGCATAAAGCCAGCATCTGAAAATCTGGGGATCACTGAAAGCCTGGGACAGAGAGTTAGGGACCTGCTTTAACCTTGACCTCGGCAATCCCCTTCTATCTTGGCCACTGTTTTGTCCCCTGTATAAGGGACCTAAGGATGTCTCAGGTCCCTTCCAGTTCTGGCTTCATGATATTTCAGAAGACTCAGTCTCCTTTTCTGTGAAATGGGGGTTATAATACCTGCTCCAGTCTCTCTTCTGGTTGTTGTGTCAAATAAGGCAATGAATATGCCTTTTCTCTACCAGATAAAATGTGGAGTCCAAAGTAGATAAAGGCTAGTGTTAACAGGAACTCTATTATTACGTGTTGGTAACCAAATCTGCCGTTCATGTGTGCTTGTGAGCATTTCCTCCGGTTAATCCCAACAGTCACTCTACGACTTGAACATCACCAGTTCTGTTTTATGGCTGAGGAAACTGCCTTAGAGAGGCACATTCACTTGCGTGAGGGCAGAGAACGTGTGAGAGGAGGACCCAGGATTCAAATTCCAGAATGTGTCAGGGCTTGTACTGGCTTCCCAGTACACACAGAGGCCCGGTTGAGGTCAAAGCTAAGCCTACAGGTAGGGACAAAACAGAACCAAAGGCAATGGGAAACCAAACAAATTCTCAGCCCTTACAGCTGCTCCTAGCCTGGAACAAGGTGAAAAAAAGTGGGATGGTGGGGTGAACCATCTGAGTGGCCTATGGGGGTGAACCGTAGGGGCACCAGGAGGAACCAAGCTGTGGATTGAGGCTTCGGGCCAGCTCAGGAAGGGAGGTGACATGGAGAAGCCACCAGCCAGTCCCGGCTGCAGCCACAACCCATGGTGGACTGCGAGGCATGTGCTCAGCCCCCTTACAAGGGGTCTGTATGTAGCAAAGGGCCCAAGGGGTCAGCCTTGGCCACTGTTATGTTAATATTAAAGATATTAACACACATATCAAGGACTTTACAAAACAAGAGAAAAGAATGGGGAAGAAAGAACAGAAAATCATTTCATACATATTTAATAAATAAAAGACCTAAACAAAACTCTTTATTAATATTTCCATACTAGTGATAAGACAGATAGATTGGAATTAGATATGGAAAAATGTAATATTCTACAAAAGAAACTCTAGGGAGACCCAGGGAGTTATGAAGGTCACTTCTCATTAAGGGTAAACTTTTCTGTCCTTTCTGCCACTGCCTTTATCCTAAGCCTCTGCCAGAGTTGGCAATTTCCCACTCCCTTTTTGTGTTGGAGACAGACGGTGCCACCAAATGCCCCCCTTGGCTAGTCACTGCGAGGCTATTTTTAGTTTTCCAAGCAATTAATGAAATTGTCCGTTTGTGGGCAGTTTTTTTTTTATTGGCTGTTTCAGCTGCTCTGAAGTATAAGCAGTGTATTATTAATAATTCTGTAACTCTTAAGACACCTAGAATGGGGGACATGGCTTTCCCTTGACTTGGGTTATAGGAAAAAGCAAAGATTCCTAAATTTTGGAGGTGGCAGCTACCTTGGGAGGACTGTAGGCTTTGAGGTAGACCTGAATTTCCAAGACATAGACTCCTTGGCTGTAAAATGCGCATCACAGTACCACCCTTTAGGTTGTGTTGCTGTCTGTGAAGTGCCTATAATGGAGTCTGGAACAGTCAAGGAAGAAATATTTGTTCAAGGAGTGGATGAATGCATGAGATCACATTGGTGTGGCTTCCACTAGAGCAAATGCTTATTGACTAAGTGAAACAGGGTATGTATGTGCAGCACTTAGCAGAGCAGATTATTGTTGGGGAGTGTTATGGGTTGAATTGTGTCCCCCCAAAAAGAAATGTGGAGTCCTCATCCCCAGTACTTCAGAATGTGACCTTATTTGGAGATAGAGTCTTTAGAGAGGTAATCAATTTAAAATGAGGCCATCAGGATGGTCCTCATTCAATATGACTAATGTCCTTATAAGAGGTGGAAATTTGGACATACAGACACATGCAGGGAGAATGCCATATGAAAATAAAGGCAGAGATTAGGGTGATACATCTACAACCCAAAGAATGCCAAAGAAGGCAAGCAAGCTGCCAGAAGCTAGGAGAGGGGCATGGAATAGATTCTTCCTCCCAACCCTCACAAGGAACTAACTCTGATTACACCTTGACCTCAGGTTTCTAGCTCATAGAACAGTAAGACAATACATTTCTGCTGTTTAAGTCACTCAAGTTTGTGATATTTTGTTATGGCATCCCTAAAGAATGAATACAGGGAGTGCTATGGTCTGAATGTTTGTGTCCCCTCCAAATTCATATGTTGAAACCCAACCCCAATGTGAGAGCATGAAGAGGTGGACCCTTTTGGGAGGTGATTAGGTCATGAAGGCAGAGCTCTCACAAATGGGATTAGTGACCTTATAAAAGAGTACTGAGGAGAATCGCTTGAACCTGGGAGGCAGAGGTTGCAGTGAGCCAAGACTGCACCATTGCCCTTCAGCCTGGGTGACAGAGTGAGACTCTGTCTCAAAAAAAAAAAAAAAAAAAAAAAAGGGTCCTGAGGGAGCATGCTGGCCCCTTTTCCATGTGAGAACAAGGCTAGAAGGCGCTATTGCTGTCTTTGAAGCACAGAGCAGCACTCACCAGACACTGAATCTACTGGCACCTTGATCTTGAACTTATCAGTCTCCAGAACTGTGAGCAATAAATTCACACTGCTTCTAAATTACCCAGTCTAAGGTATTTTGTTATAGCAGCCTGAATGCACTAAGATAGGGAGCATTAGTGGGATTCCATATGCTGTAAATCCCTGGCTCCGGCCTGCTGTAGAGTATACCCTCAATAAGTGCTTGTAAAAATGAATCAGTGAGATAACACAGAGCAAATACCTCACTCAGTGTCTAATATGTAGTAGGTGCTGTTAATACTTGTTAAATGAATGATGAGCAAGGCTATCCATGAAGCTTGTATTCCAAAGCTTGGCGTACAGGCAGATAGATGTTGGGTGAAGATTTCCTAACCGGATGGCCAGCAGAGCTAACATTTGTATAACACTTACTATGAGCCAGGCAGTACTCTGAATGATTGACGTGTATGTAATCCTCTTTTAATCCTCACAACCACTGTATTATTTGTCCCATTTTAAAGATGGGGACACTGAGATGCAGAGGGGTCAAATAACTTTCCCAAATTCACCTGGCTAATGAGCAGAGTTGACTGTTGGATCTGGTTTGTCTAGGACGAGGTGCCTACTCCGAACCACTATTTGGAATCATGTATGTGAAGAGCCTCACACATCGTAGGTGACCAATTCCAAACCAGCGAGTGGACGGGACTGCCTGGACAAAGTCGTGGGCACAAGGCCCTGCCCCAGTGGCCTTACAGTAGAGGCAGCCCCATTGCTCCATTCCTTTCTCTCTTAAGTTCTCCCTGATTCAGCCTCTGTCTCCACAGACCTCTGGGGCTTTGTGCTTCTCAGGGGCAGAAGGGCAGCTGCTTGGGCCCAGCCAGAATTAGCACGGCCTGTCTCTGAGTGGAGACCCTCATATGTCAGTCCCCTCTTCCTACTCCTGGTCCTTCAGCTGGGCAAAGAGGAAGCCGACTTGATGCTGAAGAGGGAAGCGGAGCAGAGGGGGTGTCAACACCTCCTGCTGTCCATCAGCAAAGCAGCTTCCGCTGTCAGAGGGCTGGTGGCACTGAGTGTCCCACCTCTTCTCCATAATTCATCCCAAACCAAGTGAGGAGCGCTGACTCGGCACTTCTGGTTGCAGGGCCTGGCTGTTCATAGGCTTTCCCAGACGCTTCTGGGCTCCGCCACATATCAGCAATGGCAGTGATTTACGGTGTCACAGGCCAGTGTCCTCTACCCTGACCACTGCTCTCAGCCACAGATTTAATTATTTAAACAGATTTTACATTTTATGAGCATGCCCTCAGGCCTGGCAGAGGAAAGAAAGCCTCGGGAGAGAAAAAACAAAAACAAAAACAAAAGCAAAAAAACCTTTGCTTGAAACATTAAATTGAAATATGGAAGGACGGAGTACAGGAAACATCCCTGATTCTTCAGTGTGTGGTATTCAAGGCCTTCTGAACTTGTCCCATTTTACCTGTTCCTTCCCTTGTTTCTATCTTACTGTAGAAAAAAGTAATACTTGACCATCCTGTGCAAATGAGTGAGAGAGCAAACAAGAAAGTGAACCACGAAATGCTGGAGTAGAGAGAACGTACAGGAGATTCCCTTGTTTGCAAGTTCACAATTTTGTTTTTGCTAACTAGCCTTTCTGTGATGCATGTGTACTCTACACACACACACACACACACACACACACACACACACACACACATATTCACTCATAGGGTTTTACTATGTACCTGGTACTAAGGTAGGACTCGGAATGCCTTAGTGAACAAAACACACAAAAATCCCTGCCCTCATGGAATTTCCATTCCATGGCAGGAGGTATCGTTACCTCATCATTGGAGCTCCTGCTCTTTCATGAGGGTCCAGCTAAAATGCTACTTTTCCTTCCCTCCTGACCTTCCAGGAGAAATTAATGGCTTACGTGACACTCTAATTGTCTATCAGAGCCAAACTCACTCTGCCATAACTGTCGGTAAACTTGAAGCTCCTTTTCTTAGTCTGAGAACTCCTTGAAGGTGAGGACTGTCAAATTTTGCTTCTCTCTGAGCACCTAGCACAGTGCTTGCAGCATGGTAGATGCTTGTCATGTGGACGGCCATTGGAAGACTCCTCTGCCGCTCTTTTCTGGCAAAGGGAGTCTCCTCGTGTGTTCTCTTCACTCTGACATTTTCTGGTTTGTTTTGTTGTTTGTTCTCTCACTTCCTCCCTCAATCACTCATTCATTTAGTGAACATATATTTAGTGAGCACCACTCCATAGGAAGCCCTGTTTTAGGTGCTGGGGATATGTTGACAAAGATAGAGAAGGCTCCTGACCTTGGTGTGCTTGCATCACAGCTGTAGAGGGAGGGAGGAAGCAGCTGTTCTATGGTTCTTTGTATATTAGTTTCTCAAACTGCCATAGGCAGTCATAGGCCCTCAGTGCCATGGCACACCCAGGCTGGGCCTGGGATGACCCATCCTAAACGCAGGTGGTGAGGTGTCTGTGTTTTCCCTGCTTGGTTCAGAGAATAAGGCTGAAGTAAATGAATCTCACCAATCTCCCTCTTCCAAGCTCTTCACCTCTGTGTAAACAGAAGATAACAGAGTCCAAGGCTATTAAAATAATAATGCAAATAATCCATATTTTTCATTTTAAAAGCACTTCTGGAGCATCCGATTAATCTTCTCAGTACCCTTGTGTGTAGATAAGTATAAGGTTTTGCTTTTAGATGAAGGAACTGAAACATGAGGTGATTAAACTATTGGCCTGAGGCTATAGTGAAAGCAAGGTTTTGAGTGGGGATTGGATTCATCAGTCCTCAGTTACTTTGA
Source organism: Homo sapiens (assembly GCF_000001405.40). NCBI lineage: Eukaryota > Metazoa > Chordata > Mammalia > Primates > Hominidae > Homo > Homo sapiens. The sequence continues at coordinate 79,512,834 of NC_000011.10, forward strand.
GCAACTGCAGACTTCAAGGGCCATGTCCCGTGGGCAGCTGCAGGGATTGCAGCCAATCTGCCTTGGTGGGGGCAGTGCAGAGGGGTGGGGAAGAACTGAAGCTCTGCAGGCCCACAGGCACCACCATGTAGGGCTGTGTGACCTTTGGCAAGTGCTTTGAGCTCCCTGCACTCCAGATTCCTCATCTATTACATGGAGATAATCACTTTGTTGCAGGGTTATGAGGGTGAAAATAACTGAGATTATGTTTGTAGAGTGCTTAGTGTGGGGCAGGATACCTTTTTCTTAAAGTTTTCTAGAGACAGAAGCATTTGAAATGGGCAAAGTGCTTAGAGCTACGAATCACCGTCATCATCATTATCATCCAGCATCTTTTGGGCATTTGGTGTATTCCAGACATAAAGGTGCATTAGCATAACTTCATTAAATGCTAAGTGTCTTGTTATGATCATCAGTCAGGTGCAACACCTATGTCATGTCATTTATCTGATTTCTTTCTCCACGAACAAATGCCAGGCATCTGTCCTGTATGCTGCAGGGGATACAGAATTGCCTTGAATATGGACCCTGCCCCCTGAGAGATCCAGCTGGGGAAGCATCAGTCCAGTTAGTCATGAAGGGCCTGGGTCTACATCCTCAGCATCACCCAGGGTCTGGTTACCTGAAAGCCTTTTTGGCTCCAGCAGGGAAAGTTGCAATTAGCTTTGCTATATAAATAGCTCACATTCTAGATATGCCCTGCATGGCACCAGGCACATAACATGCATTCTTTTATCTAATCCTCATAACAATCCTGGGAGGCAAGAACAATTATCACTTGGATTTTGTAGATGAGGAAACTGAGGTGCAGAGAGAGAAATCACTTTTGTGAGGTTTCATAACCAAACACATAGTTGGCCAATCCTCAGTTTGGTATGTCTGAGAGGAGATTTGTGTCTGAAGACAGAATAGAGAGGTATAAATTAAAGCCAGATTCATAATCCAGCTCATCATAACCTGCTATTGGGACTTTCAGGCTGTCACCCAGTTTTCTATGCAACTTTTAGTAAATCACCAAGGATTTATATGATCTCTGTTATTGGCCCAAATTGTGGATGTTACAAGAGCAGTAGAGAATACCTTTTATTCTTGAAGATATTTGAGATGAAAGCATTTGGATTGGACAGGGTGTTTGGACATGCTCATCATCATCATCACCATCTTTATTATCACCTTCCAATATCTTTTGGGCATTTGGCACATTCTAGATATAAAGGTGTCTGGCATAGACTACCCTATTGAATCCCCCCAAAATCTTTATGACTAGGTATTATTTAACCTATTTTAAAGATGAGAAAACAGGCATGCTAGAAAGCTTACAGATGTTAAGTAACTAGCCCAAGGCCACAGAGCTAGCAAATATGAGAGCTAGATTTAAATCATGCAGGGTTGCAGGAGGGAGTGCTGCCAGTCCTGGTATGGTCCTGTTTGAGAAGCCTCCTGTCTTGTCTCCTCTTTCAGTGCTCCAGGAAGCTTTCTCCTCCAGCAAGAATGAGAATTAATAACTTTAAAGTTGGAAGAGTCACTCTTGGTTTGCACACTTTTACGAGGCTTCCTTGGGAGGATGTTTAACCTCTGTCTGCACCTCTGTTTCCTCATTGCTCTCATGTGCCTGCCTCCTGGGGTGTGTCTGCATTATTAATGATGGCAAAGTGATGTGAGCACACTGCACCGAGGTAGATTCATGAGAGTGCAAAGTATGATTAATCTCCAGAACCATCCAATCGGGCCACATGGAGCTGAAGGACATGGGTACCCTACATTTTGCAGGGCCTGGACTTAAGTGTGTTCACATCACTCTCACATCGGATTTTCCCTAAGACTCTGTGCAGGAGGCTGCATGGCAGACAGACGAAAGAGTATTAGGGCCACAGAGACCCATAGGATTACTGGAGGGAGAAAAGAGCATTGGGCCAAGGAGAAATTTGTGGCACAGAACTGCTAGTGCTCACCATTATCATGGCTATGCTAGTTTTTTAGCTTCCTTGCAATTAGGTGTGCCCATGTGACTGAATCTGGCCAATGGCATGCAAGTGGATGGGGTATGTGCCACTTTCAGGTGTGGCTCCTAGAATTTCCCCCTTGGGACCTTGCTAGAGGACTTAAATGAGGGTGGAGCCACAAGATGGACAGAGCCTGGGTCCCTGAATGATAGCTGCTTTTCCTTGCCAACTCAGACTGAGCTGTGACGTGAAAAAAAAGCTTTTGCCATGTTAAGTCACTAAAATATTGGGGTTTATCTGTTGCATTCACTAGCATTATTTACCTAATAAGCAATAATAAAAATGTGACTTTTACAGCATTTGTGGTTTTCCAATCGCTTTCATATACTATAATTTGGAGGATCTTCAGGAGACCTTTGTGTTTTTAGTATCACAGAGAGTTGTGTTTCTGGAGGGAACTATTTGTGTTCAACCTTATGGATATCTTGTGGGTTAATCATCTTTTCTTCTGTCACCCTGCCTTTTAGAAGGCTCATAGACATTGTGGCCTTGTGATCATGGCTGCATGACATGCTGTTTGAGTACCAATTTCATTTCTGTGCCATCTTGCCTCCTAAGTGATTCACTTTCTTCAAACCTCAGTTGCCCCCTCTGTAAAATGGGGATAGACAAAGAGCCAACTTGGTTAGATGTGGCTAGACTTTCATCCATCTGAATAGCTCACACCCAACTCTGCTGCAGAGTCATTTCCCAAACCCTGATTCCCAGAATATGGAATGCAGGAGGAGGCTCAGCAATGCCCACTCCGACCTTTCATTCAGTGCTTCTCAAACTGCTGGGGATTGTTAGTGGTCTGCCAGGAGATGAATGAAGCCAGAGAATAAATATGGCATAATTTTGCTATAAATGTGCAGAAACAAAACTTTTCAATTTTGATATGGCATATGCTTAAGCAACATCAGGAGATGTTTTCTTTCCATGTTATCCAAGCTAAAGGTCCTCCCTTCTCCCCATCCCCCCAAATCCTGGACAGTAGAAAATTCTTATTTGCCTGACTGAAAGGACAGATTCACTGGCTGGCTGCCATGGTAACCCCTGCATGCCCTCCCTCAGTTGCTCTGCAGGTCCAAGCCTTCGGGTTTTAGCAAAACTCCCAGGGAGCAGCCTCTTGCATTATCTTTTCACACTTGCAGATCACTTCCTAAATTCCCAATGTGCCCTACATCAGGAATTTCTCTCTGAGTTTTGTATAGGAAAAGCATCACTTTCCCAAGGAATGGTCACTTGTTCTCCTGCTGTGATAAGGAGTCCTACAGAAATCATCACATTCTTCCTTGATCCTTGGCAGCCTGAAAGCCCAGGTGCCAGGTTTTGCACATATTTGTTTTCTCCCATTTCATTTAAAGAAATTGTTATCTCTCTCCTCCTCCATCCCTTTCCTTATTATTTTATTAAGTCTATTGTAAATGTCCGTTTTTTGTAATTTTCCTCAAGTCCTTCCTAGGGTGAGGCAGAATGGAAATCAATTCAAGAAATTACAAGTGCCTAAATAAACCAGCATTTCTAACACTCTAAGGGGGCCAGATTTTTTTGTTTGTTTGTTTTCCATTCCCTCTGCCTTCTCCCACCCATGGGGTCATTGGACAACCCTCATTCCTTGCCTAAACTCCCCTCCCCTCCCACCTTCTTGAGTCCTCATCCTTTATTACCCAGATAAATAATCCTGGCAAAGCTACACAATAAAAAGAACTAGTAGTTTTAATAAAGCAAAAGGACATTCAAAGCTCCCCTTGAATGTCAGCCTCAACTTTTGGCTACAGTGGAGGTGATGTAGAGCAATTATGATGAGGAGCTGCAAATAGGACCTAGGGTGGGGGGACTCACAGGAAGCCACCAAGGTAGAAGGAGTGATAATGTGGGGTAGGGGGTGCAGGGAGAGCTGATGGGTGGAAACAGATGGGTTAATGCAGGGAGGAGGAAGAGAATGGCTAGATGTGTTGACAGTGCCCAGGCGAGGAGCTGGTGTGATTACTTTCAAGTTGGCTACAAAAAAAAAAAAAAAAAGAAAAAAAAAAAAAAAGGCTTTTTCCCTCTGTGTTGGATGTTTTAAAAAGTTGTAATACCAGAAAGTTGTGCTTAAAACAAGACCACTAAAAACAGAACCCAGGAATTCAGTCGCTAACCATCAAACATTAGAAATCACTTTGGACTTAAGTAAATCATTTGCTAGCCTTAAATGCTTTTAATATATATGTTTAAAAGCTCCTGCCCTCTTTTGCTTTTTTATTTTTTAATGGCTGTCTGCCTGCCTCCGAACTGTAACATCTCAAGTGTTTTCTTCTTTTCTGGGGGGATAACCAAATCATAGTTTCTTTTGACCCGGTTCACTGTCAGGTCTCTTCTTCCTCAGTAGTTAGAGACCAAGGGTGGGTAGTGAGGAGCCTGACATAATTACTAAAGGGGCATTCCTGCCGAGTCTTGCTAGACTCCAGAAGTCTGCAGAAAACAATTCCTGCCTGTTTTGATTCTGGAAACAATGAAATGGGGCACAGATGCCCCTCCATGCGATTCAACACATGTGGACTGGCACCTTCTTAGGAACTGAGGGAACTATCCAAGACATGTAGCTCAACTTCTTAAATTGAGAGAGGAAAGATAGAGTCCAGAGAGGTGAGGTGACTACCCCATATTAGTCTGTTCTCTTGTGGCTAACAAAGACGTACTGGAGACTGGGTAATTTATGAAGGAAAGAGGTTTAATGGACTCACAGTTCCACATGGCTGGGGAGGCCACATAATCATGGCAGAAGATGAAGGAAGAACAAAGGGATGTCTTACATGGAGGCCGGTAACAGCGGTTGTGGAGGGGAACTCCCCTTTATAAAACTATCAGAGCTCATGAGACTTATTCACTGTCACGAGAACGGCATGGGAAAAACCCAGCCCCATGATTCAATTATCTCCCACTGGGTCCCTCCCACAATACATGGGGATTATTACAATTCAAGGTGAGATTTGGGTGGGGACACAAAGCCAAACCATATCAACCCCTAATGTCACAGTGCCAGTATGAGGTACAGTTAGTACTAGAATCCAGGCCTTCAGACTCTCTACTTGCAGAAATCATGGGGTCTTGGTCCCAGGAGAAGACATAGGAGAAATAACATTTATAATGCACCTAGTATCTGCCTGGCACTACCTTAGGCATTTTACTCCATTACTATACAACCACTGAAAATGTCAGCTATTGCTTATTGAATACCTGCTACATGCTAACTATGCCATGCTAAACACGCACGTATATTTTTTCTCATCCTTACAAAATGCATGAGGCAAATATTACTCCCATTTTTACACACGGGCAAGCAGCCTAAAAGAGCTAAGTTACCCAAGGACACACAGCTAGGGAATATGGGAACTGGGACATGACTCTAAACCTATGTTCCTTCCTGAATCCCTATCCTTTTCCCCCAGTGACAGTTCTCACTCAACTGGCTCAGCCTTTGCAAAGTCCCATGGTAGGTGTTTGTGACTCAGGGAGTGGGTATAAGGTGTCCCTTTCTGGGATGTTTTCTTTTCCTCCCCTTCCCACTGTGTTTCCTGCTCTTCTGAGGCAGATGCACATACCTGGGGAAATACAGCATGGCAAAATGGAAAGAACACTTCAATGTCAGCTCAGTTCCTGCTACAATTCTACATGCCATGATATTGGGCGAGTTCCCTGACTTCTGTGAGCCTCGTTCTCCTCATCTTTTAAAATGGAAATAATAATATCTATGCCTAAGGGTTGAAATCCAACATATGAAGTGTCTGACTTATAAGTGTTTAGGAGTGATAGCTGTAAGCTGTGGCCAGTTCTGGAAGGTTCCATGCCAGTTTTCGAAGTTCCCTGAAAAGCCCTAGGAGACCTGGCCTATCTTTTCCCCTCCTGTATCTGATCTTGGGCCTGGAAGTTCTGGGAGAGCAGGGCTGAGTGAGCATCTGTGTAGGGCCATTCTGGGTCATGAACCATTGCCAATGGTGGAAACTGTTGGGTTCATCAGACTCATTGTCCAGTGCATAATTCCTACATTCATCACAGGGTAATGCAAAATATTCTTGTTCTACATATACTATGGAGAAGAAGAAAAATATCTCCATACTATTGTTTATGAGGAGGAGGAGTCCCCAGAGGTGAATACCAACAGCTTCTTGCAGACATTGAGGCAGGGCAGTAAATAAGAGATAAGCAGATTGGTGATGGAAGCCTTTCTGGTACATACATGTGTGCATGTGTGCACATATTTGCATGACCTTGGTTTGAGTGATTCTATATTTATGTGACAGGTCTCTAGTTCTGTCAAGGTGCAATAGGCTTGTTTTGTCCAGGTCTGTTGGAGATACGCACAGGTGTATGAGGTTGTTCCTCATTACTAGGAGGAGCAATGAGGGCTAGTATTGTGGTTCCCAAGCCCAGCTATGCTTTAGGACCTGGGGAGCTTGCAAACAACCCTGCAGAGTCCCAAGCCCCACCTCTAGAGAGCTTGATACAGCCTGGGTAGGAATGAGGTACCGATTTGTAATTTTAAAAGGCTTTCCCTGTACTCCTGATGAATAGCCAGGTTGGGAACCATGGAGACAGTAGACAGGTCATGGTGTATGATCCAGATTGGGTCTGAATTCCTTTCCAATATGGACTAGCTAGAGACCCACAGCTCTGATGGATCATCTCATTTGCTTCTCAGAGTCCCTCTGTGTTCCTGTGTCATCATCCCCCTCTCAAAGCGAAGGAGAAAGGCTTCGAGAAGTCACCCAGCTAGGAAGGGCCTCACTTTGGATTAGTGCATTTTTCTCATCATAGCAATATCCATGGACATAGGTATCTGGCACTAACCACACTGGGCGGCGGGTGGGGGGGGGGCCCACACTGGGTAGCCAGTGTCATTGGTACACACCTCTCTGGGCAACAGTTGCTATTTACTTAAAAAAGTAAGTTACAATTGGCACATTTTCTGTTTGCAATAATAAAAAATAATTCCTCTTCCTTGCGCACAAAGGCTCCAATTATGATTTAATTCAATTCTGATTAACTATGCTTTGATGGCATTTCCATTACATAAAAAATAAAATGTATTAGCCAAGCATAATGTGTTTTGACTATAGTTCTGATGCTAATAAGGAGGCTGCTTGGCGGCTATGATCCCACACTTAATTCCACAGTTGCAAAGAATGAGAGGGAAAAAAATGAGGCAGATAACTGAGAAATCCCACATGAGGGGCATTGTGGTTTGGGGGTGGAACGGGGGCTACCAGCCTATGCCTGGTGTTCTCAGGTTTGGTTCTCACAGCCTCTACTTAAGGTGTTTCTAGATGTGCATTGGGCAGGAAGCAATGGCTATCCTGCCTCCTGTCTTAGGTAGGGGTGGGGTGGGGGAGAGGTATGAAGATGGAGCTGACTGCACACCCGCTCCCGTGAGTCGCTAGACCAGTCAGGCTTGTTCCCACCACATCAAGGGGAACAACACTCCTCCTGCCTCCCAGTCTCTCTCCCAGTTTGAGTAATCTGCAGCCTCCTGGCCCCTGCTCACCTGGTCTCCCACTAGACAATGCTTGAGATGGCCAGTGTCCCCACCTCCCCATGTCCTTGATGCGTACATATAGTTAGTAACCCTTCCTTGGGCCCTAACTGGTATCCTTCCATCTCTGAAGAAGGGGCTGACCTGGGTGAGCCTCTGTCCTGACACTTGCTCTACAGCTGTGATTTTGCCAACAAAATCAGTTTCCTGTCTATGAAAGAGGAAACTGGTGGATCTGGGCCTGTGTGCTCTTGGATTCGTCTCTTGACACTTTCTCTCCTCTCTTCTATTTGGCAGGGGCTGACCTCTGACCCCAGCCTCCTGGCTTCCCCTGGATTTGGCCAGTGGAGGGCACTGGCTGGATGAGGGAGGCAGAGGCTGCCTTACTCTGTGGGACGTCTCCCATGTAGGGACCACTCCTTAGGGACTCCTCTTGACCTTAGAGGGGGATCTTCTGCTTCTGGCTGTTGTTAATCTTTGAGTTGCCTCATTCTTCCCTGTTGGCTTCTCAGCTTTCCAGCTCGCATGTAACCAAATCTTTACCATCCAGGTTTAAAAACCGTGTATACTGATTAAATCTTTCTGTTTGCATTTTATGCATGCTCGCGTGTGCACACACACACACATGCATGCTGTGCATATATATGAATAATCAAAACATGAATGGGTCATATTACACACGTTGTTTGATCTACTGTTTAGTATGTTATTAAAATTTTATTTTCTTATTTAATTTCTAAAATATGTTTAATATTTTAATATTCTGTCATAAGATCTATTATAATTTATTTAGCATCCTGTTATTGAGTACTTTGATACTTTACTTTTTAACTTATATAAATAATTACATGGAACTTCTAACTAAGGGAGCAAAATAAAGCCAGCTGAACAATTGCTGTCACCTAGTTTTTGACTAAATGAACAGTAGATAATTAAAAGTCTGCTCATCTCTTTCCCTGCAATCATCAGTAGCACCAAATAAAAAAAGGTTTACAACTTAATGCCATAAACCTCAAGAAAAGATTTTGACCCTGCTGGTGTTGTTCTTAACTCTATCAGGTCAGAAGCCAGAGTGGGGAGAAGGAGTGACTCAGAAAAATGCTGAGGTCTCTCACTAATCATCCCACATCTGGAGGGGACCAGAATGAGAATGTGGGATGTGAGCAGGCTGTCCAGAGGAAAGCCTCATGGCCTCTACTTACTATCCCTTAAGCCAAGGAGCTAGTCTTCCCTGATTCACGATTTTTCTGGGACATTATGTTCATGTTGTGAAACATTGGGAAGCACTGCCCGAGACCACCAAAAAGTTCTTAATCTTGTAATACTACAGCTATTGATATAGAGTTCAAGAAGAGCAGATATAAGATATAATGAGAAGAGAGTCAAGAAAAATTTAACCACATTACATAGAAACAGAAAGAAATAAAAACAAATAAAAATTGTCCATGTCGAGAAAGACGAAAAGAAATCATGTGGCAACTAAGCAAACATATAATCCCCACCCCATCCGACCCCCAAAGAAAGAAAGAAAGCAAAGAAAGGCTGGAAGAAATAAACAAAAGAGACTATTGTTTGCAAAAGACAAATGAAAAACTTAACCTGAACGAAAATATATCCCAAGGAAAAGAGAAATTACATTGTGTATTTTGTAGTACAGAAGAACTTAATAAAAATCTGAATTCCATGAAACAAGGACTCAGTGATGAGAAATGAGATGACAACTCAATGATAAGAAAATTGAGGACTCAAACTATACTATTACAGAAATAATAAACTATAAACAAAAATAACTAAACCAGACAGCTAAAAATTATATTTCTGACATAGAGAAAAGGTTTGCTAGAATATTGATGAAAGCTGAGAAAAAAGACATAGATTAAGGCAGTTGGAAAGAAGATAATATACATGAAGGACAAAATTGATTCAAAAATAAGAATAATTGGTCTCTCTGCTGAAGAGAACTCCAATAAGTGCAGTAGAAAATACATTTCATCCTGTTTTTTAAGGATTGAAAGGGCATACCACATTCCAGAAAAAAAATATTCAGAATGATAAGCAAGAGAGAATATCCTGTTACTTCCAAAGTTGAATAATGAAGGAAAAATTTTTCTGGTGCCTAAATAGAGAAAAAAAAGTTATCTTCAAGAGGAGAGTAAAGCTCACTTCAAACTTCTCCACAAAGGTGTTCAATGCCAGAAGGTAATAATGCCTAAAAAGTTGTGAGGGAAAGTCGGAGGGACTAAACCTTATCATACCTGACCAAGTTACTGTGGAAGTACAAAGGCAAAAGAAGACATTCAAAAAGAAATATAAGGACTCAGCATCCATGAACCCTTCCAGAGAAAATGACTCAACAGAAATCTAGCCATGGATGGCTGGAATGGAGAAGACAGGGAAGAAAGGCTCATGCCACACTCAAAGGCAGAAAGTGGTATAACAGTGTTTATATGATCCGGGGGGAAAGTGTGATCCAAAATTGCTATCTTCAGCCAAATTGCCCTGTATAAGTAGGTGCAAGAGAGGAATACTCCATTTTCAAGCTCTTAGGAACTTGGAGATTATAATTCTGAACTCTCTGTTAAAAAAAAAAAAAGCTGTTTGATGATGAAATTCAGCCACCATAAGATGAACCAATACAAAGAATTCTAGAATGGATATGCTTTGGTAAAGGACTGTAGGTTATCATTCAATTTTTTAAACATTAAAATAAACCAAAAAATAAGGAAAAACACTTTAAAATTATTTCAATATAATATTTCAAACAAAAGCTAAACAACTATAGAAGTTATTGTTGTATTATAGAATTTAAATATTACAAATCCTGCCAAAGTAAAATTTCCCAAAATATTGGAAAATAAGGCTGGGGGGAGGGCGGGTGGGAGAAGGATTATAAAAATGCTATTTTTTTCATCTTTAGCAGCAAAGGGTCAATCAGTAGTGTTTAAAATTGGACCATGGAGTTAAAAACATAATGACTCAAACTTCTCAAGAATTTTTTAGGATTTTTTTTTCTTAAAAAAGATTTTTTATTTGATATATATATTTATCATGGGTTGAATTGTGTCCCTCTAAATAGAGACACTGGAGTCCTAACACTCAGCACCTCAGAAGGTGGTTCTATTGGAGATGGGTTTTTACAGAGTTAATCAAGTTAAAATGAGGTCTTAAGGGTAGATGCTAATTCAGTATAACCGGTGTCTTTACAAAAAGGAAAAATATTGGGCACAGACTTGGACGCAGTGACAAGATGGCCATCAGAAGAACAAAAACCCCAAAACAAACAAAAAACTGAGGCTACCAGAAACTAGGAGAGAGGCCTGGAACAGACCTTTCCTGGCACCCTCAGAGGGTCAGGCTGACACTTTAATTTCAGATCTCTGACCTCCAAGATCGTGAGACAATAGATTTCTATTGTCCTAAGCCACCTCGTTTGAGGCAGTTTATTACAGCAGCCCTAGGAAATGAACACGGTATTTTAAAGGGGATTGTTAGAAATGAAATCTCTTGTACAGAAACACTTATCTGAAGTTTAGTAATCTCCCAGATTTATTTCAATTTCTATTCTTTTCTGTACATCAACTAAAATAAGTGAAATCGTTTATTTTCCTGATTATAGCATTAGATAAGGCTATTTTATAAGATCATTTCCATCTATCCAAACACCAAACAAATTCAACCAACTTTTTTTCTTCATGCAGGCTCAAAAAAGAATTTGAAATGTTGTCACCTTTTTTTTTTTTTTTTTTTTTTATTTATTTTTTTTTGAGTTGGAGTCTCGCTCTGTCACCCAGGCTGGAGTGCAGTGGTGTGATCTCGGCTCGCTGCAAGCTTCGCCTCCCGAGTTCACACCATTCTCCTGCCTCAGCCTCCAGAGTAGCTGGGACTACAGGCGCCTGCCACCACGCCCAGATAATTTTTTTGTATTTTTAGTAGAGACGGGGTTTCACCGTGTTAGCCAGGATGGTCTCGATCTCCTGACCTCGTGATCTGCCTGCCTCGGCCGCCTCCCAAAGTGCTGGGATTACAGGCGTGAGCCACGGCGCCTGGCCTTGTCATCTTATTTTAATGATGGCTATTTATTTTAATGATGGTCATAAGTTTTTGGCTGGGGCTGGGCGCAGTGACTCATGCCTGTAATCCCTGCACTTTGGGAGGCTGAGGCAGTTGGATCACTTGAGCCCAGGAGTCTGAGGCCAGCCTGAGCAACATGGCGAAACCTCATCTCTACTAAAAATATAAAAATTAGCTGGGCATGGTGGTGCACATCTGTGGTCCCAGCTACTCAGGAGGCTGAGGTGGGAGGATCACTTGAGCCTGGTAAGTTGAGGCTTCAGTGAGCCATAATCATGTCCCTGCACTCCAGCCTGGGCAACAGAGTGAGACCCTGTCTCAAAAATTTTTTAAAAAAAGAAAAAGATTTTGGTTGGTTGGTTGTTTTGTTCACTTTTTTTGTACTTGTTATTGCTTGAAAGTTTTTCAGTAAGTATGAATACTTTATTTAAAAATAATAATATTGCAATGAAAAATCCTTGTGTTTTAGTCCATATTTACATATCTCATTTTTAAAAAGCTATTGCATCTTGGAGTTTGAATATTTTTAGGCTCATGATAACTATGGTTAAATTCCTTTTTGTATTATAAAGTTTATAGTCATACAAACAATGTATTATGATGCCTGCCTTATTATACTATTGCAGCATTATTATTATTACAATAACAGTTTGATGAACTAAAAATGGCATCTTGTTTCAATTTGCCTTTGTTTAATTACAAGAGAAAGTTTGAACATCTTTCACACACCTACAGCCTTCTTGTATTTTTTTGTTCTGTTCATGCTTTTATACCTTTTCTACAGTTGTTGTTTGCTTATTTATGAGTACATCATACACACACAATCACCTGTCTTGTTTGTGGCTAATATTCTTAGTCTATGCTTAGCTTTCTAATTTTGTTCCTGAATTGCTCATACATTTTTTTATATTTTAGCCAGAGATTTTATTTTCCTCTGATTTCTCTCATGGATTTTGACTGATGACTTTTTTGGCATGACTAATCCTTTTTTATGTACATATCATAGCCTCCCAACTGTTCTGGCATTTCCTTGTGGGTAGTATCTTCTACCTCTCCTCACCCTACCAGTGCATTTTTTTTTCTCACTACTTTAAAGATTTTAAAGTGGAAAATTCAGTGGCTTTTAGTATGTTTACAATGTTGTCCAACATCATCATTATCTAATTTGAGAGCTCTTACATTACACCAAAAACAAACCCATATCCCTCAAGCAGTCATCTCCCATTTTCCCCTCCCCCTCAGCCTTTGGCAGCCACGAATTTGCTTTCCATCTCTATGAATTTACTTATTCTGGACATCTCACAGAAACGGAATCATACAATATGCTGCCGTTTGCTTGTGGCTTTTTTCATTTAGCGTAATGTTTTCAAGGTTTATCCATATTGTACCATGTATCAGTAGTTTGTGTGGTGGAATACTCTTCCATTGTATTGACATACCACATTTTGCTTATCCATTCACTCGTAGGTGGACAATTGGATTCCTTCCACTTTTTGGCTTTTATGAATAATGCTGCTCTGAAAATTTGTGTGCACGTTTTTGCTTGAACACCTGTTTTCAATTCTCTTGGGTCTATAGCTAGGAAGGGAATTACTTGCTTACATAATAATTCAATAATATGTTTTTGAGAAAATTCCAAATTATTTTTCACAGCAGCAGAACCATTTTCCATTTCCATCAGCAAAGTATGAGGTTTCAATTTCACCACATCCTTTGCAACATTTTTCTTTAAAAAAGTTGATAACCATCCTAGTGGGTGTGTAGTGGTATCTCATTGTGGTTTTGATTTGCATTTCCCTAATGACTAGTAATATCGAACATCTTTTTATGTGATTTGGGGTCATCTGTATGTCTTCTTTGGAGAAATGTCTATCCACAATCTTTGCCCATTATATAAATTGGGTTGTTTGTCATTCTGTTGTTGAGTCATAAGAGTTCTTCATGTAATCTGGATACTAAATGCTTATCAAATACATGGTTTGCAAATATGTTCTCCCATTCTGTAGGTTCTTTTCACTTTGATGAATAAAAGCTTTTACTTTTGTTGAAGCCAGTTTTATCTGTTTTTTTTTCTCTATTGCTTGCGCTTTTGTTATCATATCTAAGAATCCCTTGGCAAACCTGAGATCATGAAGATTTACTGCTATGTTTTCTTTTAAGAGTTTTTTAGTATTAGATCTCACATTTAGGTTTTTGATTCATTTTAAGTTAATTTTTATATATGGTGTGAAGTAAAGATCCAACTTCATTTTTTTTTTCAAAATGTGGCCATCCAGTAGCCCCAGCACCAATTGTTGAAAAGATTATTATTTCTCCCATTGAGTGATCTTGCTACCCTTGCTAAAAATCAGTTGACCATAGACTCATGATTTATTCCTGGATTCTTGATTCCATTCCAATGACCTAAATGTCTACCCTTGTGATAGTACCACACTGTCATGATTACCATTGCTTTGTAGTAAGTTTTGAAATGGGAAGTTGTGAATTCTTCTACTTTTCTTTTTTAAACATCACTTTGGCGATTCTGGATCTCTTGCAATTCCATATAAATTTTAGGATCAGCTTGTCAATTTCTGCAAAACAGTGAGCTGGAATTCTGTTAGAGAATGTGTAAATTCAGACATCAATTTAAGAAGTATTGTCATCCTAACAAAATTAAGTCTTCTGTCCATGAACATGATCCCATTTATTTAGATCTTTTAAAATATCTTTCAGCGATGTTTTGTAGTTCTCAGAGTATACTTCTTTTGTTAAATTTCTCCTATATATTTTATTCCTTTTGATTCTATTTTAATGAAATTGTTTTTAACTTAATTTTTGGATTTTTCATGGCAAGTTGTATGGAAATGCAATTGATTTTTGTACACTGATCTTGTCAGGATTGTGGTTGCTCTTTATCAGAGTGACAAAGTTCCCTTCTGCTCATAGTTGGTTGAATTTTTTTTTAATCATGAAAGGTTATTAGATTTTTATCATATGCTTTTTCATATGTTGAATTGGTCTTGCATTCCTGGGATAAATCACATGTAGTCATGGAGTAGAATCCTTTTAATATGCCTCTGTATGCTGATGGTTGGAATTTTGTGTTTGTTTTCAGAAGGGATGTTGGTCTTTTCTTGTGATATCCTTGCCAGGCTTTAGTATTAGGATGTCTCGAGGAGACTATTGTGATTGATGTAGGGACTGTACTGGCATTCAAAGTTTCAGGCTTTTATCCACCACACTCTTTATTCTATCTTAGATTTGTCTGGTTTCGTAGGTCTAATTGTTGGGCGTCAAGCTATTCCTTCCACCTGAAACCGTTTTCTTACTCTCCCAGATGCATTTGTCAAAAGTCTATCAAGACTCATATCGAAGGCCACTAGTTCTGGGAGAACAGTTCTAGCTCTTTAACTGGAAGCAATCACATTAGTCTTGGGCTCCCATAGAACGTTATACAGAGCTTCCTTACTTGCACCTATTGCCTTTTTTTTTTCATAAACAATGAACAGCTGGTGAATCAGCAATTGCATATGACCTATTTTATCTATGTCCTAGTCCACAGAGTGGTACTGATAATCTGTTCACAATTACACATTACTGTAATGTTTGTGAGATATAATTTTTGTAGTTAATTTTTTAAAGAAATTTTCCTCACCATTTTTTGGTAGTTTTATAAACATTTGGTTACTTCAGGGATGGGCAGGGGTGAGGGATTAGGGATTTACCTATGTGAACATGATCTTTTGTGGTGGAGGAAGAACGAAAAGCCCTTCACTGGAATGTGAGCTCTGGGCCCTGGATCCTGACTTTATCATGACTATGTTTTCAGCCCTTTGGCACCCTAGGCACAAAATATACACACTCTGGGAATGTTGGTGAGTTAAATGTATCCCATTTCCATGAATAGCTCTTTTCTGTATGATCCTTGTCTGTCTGACTTTTAGCATCATTTCTTTGAGTCAGATCTTCATATCTTAGTACATTAGAAAAGTCTTTCCTATTCCTCTTCTTTTCCTTTGCTCTTTCTTCTATTGGCATTGAAATATCTTGTTTCCATAATAAATACAGAAATATCAGTTTGAGGGGATTGCATGTCAGGTAAAAATTAAGTTAGTTCTATATGGGATCTTAAACCACCTTCCTCCACCAGCTTCCACTCTAGCCCAGTCCCCAAGGTTAACTTATCTTGAGGGAAGCCTGGTGCGGGGAGCCAAGTAGAACTTGTTCACTGAGATGCAGTGTTCTCCCTCTAGGAAAAGGCCAGATGGTACAGGTGGTACATAGGACCAAGTATTGTCAGAGTGCTGCTAAGGTGAAAAAAACCACATGCTTTGGAGTTTTAAACAGACTTACATTCAAATTCTCATTTTTTAAACCTATGATTTAGATTTTTTGGGCAAGGTTTTTCTGAGCCTCAGGATCTTCACTGTAAAACAGGAGTCATAAAAGCTACCGCATAGGATAATGAAGAGGATAAAGTGGGATGCATGTGTTTGCTGAACATTATGTTCAACTTGATGAGTGGATAAATGATGTATGATGCCCACCATCAAACTACAGTTGGCCTAAAATCATTGACTTAGGCAATGGCTTTCTAAGGAGGGAATATGGTAGGAGTAGAGGTTTCCTGAGTATTTTTATCACTGACATTGTTTAGGATTTCCAGAATAATATGGAGACTAAAAAAAAAGCATTCTTACTTTTGATTGTTATCACTGCTTTTAAATTCCCTGCAGACAGTGGACCCCTTTATTGCTTATACCCCAAATGGACTGCTCTCTTATTCCCCCTAACCCCACTTCCCTGAATGTCTCTTCAATGGAGATGGGACTTGAGGATTATGGAAGAAATACTTGGCCCTGTCTGTTCCTCTGGGTCCTTGCTTGTAGACTCTGAGTTATTTCTGAAACTCTTTGCTTGTTCAATCTGAAAAGTAGTTTGCAATGGAAATTTTTCCCCCTTGAAATCCTTGTTAATCTAATTGCAATTGAAATGCATAAATGAAATGACAAAAGCTGCATTTTATCAGCAATTATAGTAATTTTCTTTTATTTACTGGAGTCTGACCTCTGCTGTATTGATGAATTGCACTTTTTCAAGGTCTATTTTCCCATCAGCAAAGTCAGGTTGTTTATAAAATGATTGGCATAAAATGTTGTTCTCCCCTCACCTGTTTTTTTCCTTCATATTTTAAAAATGTGTTCTGGGTTTGAAGAAATTGACTAGGAATTTATGGAGCCTGTACATCTCTATCTGAGTGGATATTTTTTACATGGAGCTTTAAAGCATCCAACAACACTCTTTTCAATGCTGAAATCTGAAAAACAAGCAGCATTTAACATCTCAAGTCTCTGTCTTCTTTTGAGTCCTTATAGATTTGATTTGTAAAATTTCCACCTATTATATTTTCAATCTTTCATCTGATTGCTCTTTTCCAAGGTGACATTGTCAGGAAGTCACCATGGGAAGCTTGAGATGAATGAGGGGCCTTGTACCCCTCCCCACGTTCAGGCAGTTACCAAGCCCTGCCAACACTACCTCCTTGGATCCTTCTTTGTCTCCATCTTGACTGCTACCACACTGGTTCAGACTTTCATCTGCTCTCCCCTGGACCACTGCATCAGCCTCCACACTGGCGTCTCTGCCTTCAGCCTTAATTATTTTCCTTGCTTCTTTTACAACCACCATACAGCTGCTAGAATGATCTAATGCACCCCATCATCTACAGGAACACATCTTATCTCTTGAGGATAACTCATGGGGCTGTAAGTGATGGAAGTGTGAATCCCTCCACTTGTCCATGTCATGGTCTACCTGCCCTACTTCTTGCCCTAAACTTCAAGGACTCAGAGCTGGTTCCAATCTTCATGCCACAGGGTGACTGCAGTTTTTGCTCTTCATAAGCTTGGAAAGCCTCTTCCTTTTTTTTTTTTTTTAGATAGAGTCTCATTGCATCACGCAGGCTGGAGTGCAGTGGCGTGATCTCAGCTCACTGTAACCTCCACCTCCCGGGTTCAAGTGATTCTCATGCTTCAGCCTCCCAAGTAGCTGAAATTACAGGTGCATACCACTATGCCCACTAATTTTCGTATTTTTAGTAGAGATGGGGTTTCACTATGTTGTTGGCCAGGATGCTGTTGAATGCCTGACCTCAAGTGATCCGCCGACATCCACCTCCCAAAGTGCTGGGATTACAGGCATGAGCCACCGCGTCCAGAAGCCTCTTCCTTCTTCTTGGTTCTTCACCTGGCCAAGCTTTACAAGAATGTATCTGTCACCTTCTCTGTGAAGCCTCCTTGATTACTCTGATGTATGTTATTTATCTATTTATCAAAGTTCTCAGTTCCTTGTATTGAATGACTTATCTTCCTTCTGTGCTTCCCTATCAGACTGGGTAACAGGTTCCCTGAGTGTAGGAAGTGTAGCGTGATCAGCTCCCTGCAGACAGTGGACAGTATCTCTGGTGCCTAGCTCACGTGGCCACTAACATATGATTTGTTGAATAAATTATACTATCTAATATTTGCTCAATAAGTCCCAGTTTCCTTCTCTTTTCACCTTATTCCTCAAAGTACCAATTTCTTTATATGTAAACTGTGTATAAAGTTACTTTTCTTGCCTAGCTGCATGCATTGCTCTGAGGGTCAAATGAGCTATTGGCTATAAATCTGCAATATAGACTTGAATACTTGAAAGCATTTTCTAATGTTAATTTTTTTTGCCCTTTTTTGGCACTTTCATCTAACACCCAATCACACCCCACCATCCCTATGAACAACCCTGACTGAATACAATATTTCAGATGGAGATCCGAAGCCCCCAGACAAACCAAATATGATAAATAAAACCAAAGCCAAACACATAATGAAGTGGACCCTGACTAAGGTATGCAATGAACTCATATTAGGGGTTTATTCAATTTTTGCCCCCTTCCCGTCAAATCGTATGATGTCCAGGCTTCAGATAGCTGCCTCACATTGTACACGGTGGGTCTCAATTCCTTTTTCATGGATGACCTTGTAGTCTAAGCAAACGATAGTTAACATTGTTAATGAGAGTTGATATTAGCATTCACCATATGCCAAATGGTAAACTGCTAAACTGAATGGATTGTCTCATTTAATTCTCGCCAGATCCTTGGAGGTGCATACTGTTATTTTCTTCATGTACAGATGGGGACACTTCAGACTCTTCAGAAGCTGCCCAGTTGGTAAGAGGTAGAAGGGAGTTGAGAGGCTACAGACTTAACCCTCATGTTCTAGGGCCTTTCAGGACTGTGTGTCTGGTTCTCCCTCTGCACTGTGGTCTCCTGACTAGGGTCTTTTAGGTGGCAGGAGCTTGGCCTGTGGTACGCTTGCTCCTCCAGACTTCTAGGAAACATTCTGAAGTGGAAATACTCCCACTGGAAGCATTGCAGTGTGAGCGAAAATGTTCTGTTGAGACACAAGGTCTAGATTAAAAATTGTGGCTTCCTGGCTTTACAAGTGAGCCTCTTTTCCACTTCTGGAAGATGCGTAGAAAAAGAAATCAACCTCATAGACCTGACAGGAAATGGAATGAGATATTATAAGTGGCAACACTTAGACAATGCCTTAGTCAGCGGGATACTTGGTGAATACTAGTTTGAGCCT
The DNA here is from genome assembly GCF_000001405.40 of Homo sapiens. NCBI lineage: Eukaryota > Metazoa > Chordata > Mammalia > Primates > Hominidae > Homo > Homo sapiens. Next base: position 79,532,054 of record NC_000011.10, read on the forward strand.
CCTGGAGCTTTAGTTTTGCCATTCATGAAAATGTTTTTTTTTGGATGGTATCATATTAAAGCTTGGCATCAATTCTGTGTGGTGTTTGGATGTGTGTGGATGAGTGTGTATACGTGTGAGTGTGTGCGTGTGTGGGTGTGTGGGACTGTGAGTGAGCATATGCGTATGTCTTAGTGTGTATGTATGAGTGTGTGTGTGAGTGTGATTGCCATTTCTCATCTTATGAAGGAGGAAACAGGCACAGAGAAAGGTTGTGAGCTCGTCTCCCCTAGATAAATGGCTCCTGATTTGAGAAGCACAGTGACCAAGGCATGCCATGGGTCACCTGAGAACTTACTGCCATTATCAGGTTTGCTCAAGTCAATTCGGATGACTTTCCCTCTATTTGCACTGTGCCCAGTCTGGTGAAGGATAAATGTTTCTGTTGCACCATGTGTCTCAAAAGTTCCTCAGTCAAGAATGTAAGATATGTGGCTTACCAGGCAGAGTTAGGCCTATGACCTAAAAACAACCTCTTTGATCTCATTCTGTTGTCCTTTGCTGATTTTTTTTTCCAAGCTGATCATTATACCTTAAATGTCTTTGGCTGTAAGGGTGCTGCCTGTGCCATCCAGGACTGAGCCCCTCCAGCACAGAGAGGAAGAGTAGGTTCTTACCCTCAGGGAGGTCCTGGACGTTGGGGAAACCAATGCTTAAACCAGGACTCCAGAAGAGTTACACAGAATTCCCTAGAACATACACTTGGTATGCTCTGTGGCTGAAAGTCTCACAAAGTGGATCTGGAGCTTGTCCTTGAAGAGCCTGGTATAGCTTACCAGGATGGGAAAGTGGGAAAAAGTGGTTGGGTGGAAGGACATGTGGGCAAAGGCATACCACCACAAAGGCCCATTGCACAGAATCACCCTCTTTCTAGAATATGCTAGAGTCAAGCCCACATTAAATCTTGAATCTGCAAAGCAACAGTTGGGTAAGTATTTCAATGGTGGCTCCCTAGCCAGGAGAAAACAGTACCCAACAGTCCTGGCCCTTCCCTTTCCCGGCAACTTATTTCTATACTCATCATTTTAGCTCTACCAAATATTTAAAGTGTGAATAATGGTGATCCGTGGTAAGGGAATCCAAGTCTGATATTTCTCTTCATGGAGATTAATAATTGTAATTTTCCCTGTGGCTGGGGGGAGAAGTGGGGAGAGTTGTATAAGAAGAATGGTCTACCCCACGAGGAGTTTAGGTCTCAAACAAGGCTTAACTGGACAATTACAGCTTTGCATGCTGTTCATAGAGGAGTGTGATGCAGCAGAAATTACCCCAGGGCATGGATGGCCTCATGGGTAGCCCAAGACAACCAAGTGTCATTCTGGGATCTCAGCTGACCTGTGCCCAGCCCAGTGTACCTTTCTAAAGGGCAGTTCTGTAGCTGCTCTTGTGCCCTGAACAGTGCCCTATACATGTGACACATAATTGATAAACTCAGCATAAAAATGAGACAAAGAATCTATAGCATAGCAGTTAAGAGCAAGGATAGTAGAGCTAGGTAGAGGCAGAACAAATCATGGCCAGTCACTCCCTAGCTGTGTGACCTTGGGAGAGGTAATTCACTTCTCTGAGCCTCTGTCTTCCTCATCTGTTGGATGAAGGTGTTGTGAGGATATATATGATGCACTTGAAGCATAGTAGAAGCTTAGTAAATGCAGGGCCATTTTCTTCTTCTTTCTTCTTCCTTTTTTTTTTTTTTTTTGAGACAGACTCTTGTTTTGTCACCCAGGCTGGAGTGCAATGGCATGATCTTGGCTCACTGCAAACTCCACCTCCCGTGTTCAAGTGATTCTCATGCCTCAGCCTCCTGAGTAGCTGGGATTACAGGCATCCATCATCATGCCTGGCTAATTTCTGTATTTTTGTAGAGATGGGGTTTCATCATGTTGGCCAGGCTGGTCTTGAACTCTCCTGACCTCAGGTGATCTGCCCACCTCGGCCTCCCAAAGTGCTGGGATTACAAGCGTGAACCACTGTGCCCTGCCCATTTTCTTCTTTTCTCTAGATTTGTTTACCCTACTATTGTACATGTCCTGTTCAGAAAAAGAAAATGTGAAAATAAAGTGTTCAGGGGCATTTAGCATTTTTCTGAGTGGGTTCTTCACCTGGTGACAGTGGCTACTTCCAGAGGATGGGATGAACTGAGCTCTGAATGACCAACAAGACAAGGTAGTATCATGGTTAAGAATATCACTGCCAGTGCCAAGAGCTGTGTGTTCAAATCCTATCCTTGACTTTCTAGCTTAGTGTCCTTGAGCAAGGAATTTTGCATCTCTGAGCCTCAGTTTTCTCATTTGTTAGATGGAGATGATAATAAAACCTGCCTTAGTGGACTATGAGCTTATTAACATATGTAAAGTTCTTGAGTTCTCGGAACAGTGCCTTGTGCATAGTAAATACTACATCATCATTTGCTGTCAGCCTTTCCTTTTATTGTTTCTTGTCCTAAGAGTTTCTTGTTTTCTAATTGATTGTTATCAATATTTCATCATTTCCCCTTCTTGGAAGAATTGTGCATCTCTGTCTTTCTGTCCTTCTTGCTCTCATCTTGGACTATGTGTCTTGAAATGCCAGGGCAATGAAGGGAAGGTAATTTTGTATGTGTGGATATTGATCATTTCAGGTTATGACTGTTGCTTTAAATGTGTCTGAATGCTTCTTGCAGTACCTGTCCTTTTCTTTCATGTCGTGGGAACCTTGCCACATTGCTGAAAAGTTGAAAAGAAAGAAGAGAGGGGAGTCTACCTTTGACAAAAGAGGAAACCAAGGCAACCCCCACCCGCTCAGAGTCTCTACTTTCACATCTGGAAACCAAGGAGTTTCAAATAGATGTTCTCTCAGGGCTCTCGCAGCTCAAAATTTCAACACTAAGACAGTATGAATTTAGTTCATCCAATAGCACAAAAGAGGTTGAGGGCATAGGGCAAGATCTATTTCACATAAGAATAATGCATTCTCAAAAGCAATGGTATATTCATGTGGTTACTTCAAAACTATGAGACAATTCTGTATCACCCTGTTTTAACAAAATAAAAAAACAAGTTGCTATGTAAGTTGAAGCATGACTTTGGTAACCTTCCTGACAATTAAAATCCTAAAATGAATTGTTCAGGATTCTCTCATGAATGTTATTGCTAAATAATCTTGGGATATTCCAAAGAGGAGGGATGTCTTCTATAGAAATGGCAACAGTCTCATTCAATACAGGGCATGTATTATATTAATTAATTTCTTGTTACTGTCTTTCTGCCCAGGCTACAGTTGGAAATGCACATCATTAATTCAGAGGAACAATCCTCCTTCATTTCTGGTAGGGGGAGTAGAGGGACCTCTCCATCCCATGATTGATGGCAGTTTTAAATAATTTCTGGTTCCATTTTACTAATAGAAAGTAAATCATCTTTGGCATTGACTCCTGTAATGGTTTAAAAAAATCAGTCCTTATAAAGTGACACGTGAGTGTCTCTCTTCTGGTCACATTGTTGTTAGAGATAGCCATTTCCTAACACCCAGCATAACAGGTCAAGTTTGGTCTAAAGCCTCCTTTCTCAATAAACCATCTCAACAAGGCATTTGGAGGCAGTATATAAAATACTGTAGAGGACTTTATATTGCTCTCTGATGTGATCACACAGTTATTTCCGGCATAATGGAATCATGATGCAGGGATAAGGATGCTTAGACTCAGATTCAGGTTTTATTAATGACTTTGCTGTGGGGCTTTTCCCTAAGCACTTAACCTCTCTGAACCTTAGTGACTTCAACTAAAAAATAGGAAAAACCCAGTCTTCCCCCCTTTTTCCTCCCACAGTTATTTTGAATATCACAAGATAATGATCTGAATGTACTTTTTACAATTCTAAACTTTTGTAGGTAAGTAATTAATTAAGGAATAGTGATATTCCTTAATTATTATTATCGATTACCAGTCAACATAATATTGCTTAAAAAGAAGTATCCAGTAATAACTCTTTGAAATATTATTTCTATACGGTTTTCTTAACATGAAAGGTCATTGGCAGAGTGAAAACTGCTGATTATATATTGACCAATCAATCAAAAGGTAGGAAAAAAGCACCTACTACGTGTGCCTTGCCCAATTCTGCTAGGTTCTGTTGGGGAATGTACAGTAGGAACAAGACTTGCCTTCTTCCCACAGCTGTTGTGAGGGTTAAATGACCTCATATATGGCATATTATTTACCTTATTTTCTCCCTCTCTTCCTCCTTCTGTGCCTCTCTTCCTCTAACAGGTATTTAGTGAACACTCAGTGCATGACTCACTGCTTACATGATGATGATAGAGCAGTGCACATAACAGAAAGAGTCCCTGCCCTTGGGGAGCTTAAATTTTGGTGGGGATGATGAACAGATAAATACATATGATTTGGTAGAGACAAATGCTCAGGAAAAAAATCAAATGGGGTAAAGGGATGGAGAGTGTTGGGAGGCTATGTTAGAGTATTTGGGGAAGGCCTCTGTGAGGGGGAAACCCAGATGAATGGAGGAAGTGAGCCATCTCAATATCTGAAGCTTGTTCTTTGCAGAGGGAACAGCAGTGCAGAAACTTTGGAGGATGGGAACAGGGAACGTCATTATCTGCTTTGATTTTGGATAGCTCACTCTGGCTGCTGGATGGAGAGCAGACTGGGTGGCAGGAGAGTGAAGCCAGGCCGACCAGTTACAGGGGAGATTTGTTGGGGACAGGAGAGCGCTGACGGTGGCTCCAACTAGATTGGCAGTGCTGGAGGAGGTGAGAGGTGGTTAGATTCTAGGTATGTGTAGAAGGAAGAACCAACAGGAAGTACTGATGGAGGATATGGGGAGTGAGAGAAAGAGAGGAACCAAAGGTAGCTCCTATGTTTTTGGCCTGAGCCACTAGACCGAGACAGCTTCCCATTCAGCAAGATGGGAGACTATGGGAGGACCAGGTTTGTGGGCAGGGGGTAAAAGTCACAAGTTCACTTTTGGAGATATTAATTTATGGATGCCTTTCAGATATTTGAACAGAGATGTCACATACACCATCATATTTTTAAGTTAGGAGGGAGATTGGAGCTAGAGGTGCTGTATTTATTCAAGCATTCACTAAATACTTGCGATGTGTCACAGAGGTTTAGTCTGATCACATATTTAGCCTTCAATGATTGCTTAGTACAGTACAGTGCGGCTTAGTATAGTACAGTGCTTTGCTCTGAGGCCAGTTAAGTTTCCAATCCATGTTTCCTTTGGCCCATCAACCTCAGGGTTGAGAATGCGTAGGCCGAAGTAGGGAGTCCCTGTGAACTCCTTCATGGATGCTGGCCACTTGCTGCTACTCAGTGCCCTCAGGAATCTTAAGAGAGGCAGGGCTCTCTGACAGTCTTGACTTTACATGCAGGAGAAGGAAATACTGATCATCCTGCTTATTCTGGTTTCTAATCATAAACCCCAGGCTCGACTCAAGTACGGAGTCACAGATTGCACACCAGGATCCCCATCAGTCTCCCCCTGGTTTCCGGGCTTCTTGCTGGGAGTGCGATGTGTCTTGCCTGAAGCTGTGGCCACGTATCGGGAACTCACATTTGCGGGAAATTAAGAAGTCACAGCAGACAACTACTGCTGGTTCATTAGCTGGCTGGAAGCTATCACCAGGTAATCCCTTCAGACTGAGAGAAACGGGGCTGCTTTAGGGTAGGGGAGAATGTGAGCCCACTTCGTCCCTACCCAGATTGAAGAGAACTCCATGCTGGTCACGTCAAGGCCAGAACAGCAGCCAGGGCTGTGGAAGGAGCCCTGCACTGAAGGTCAGGTGGCTGTAGCTCTAGTCCTGCCACCAGCTCTGTTGTGATGTGTTATATCAGGTGAGTCACATTTCCTGTCTGTTTCTTTATCTGTTTTTGAAGAGGTTGACTTTTAGGACATCTTAGGTGTAGGTCCTTTCAGCTATAAAATACAATGAGAGGCAGACAGACTCTGTGGTAGAGTCAGAGGTGACTTGACCATTGTCCTTTCCTCTGCAGAGGCTTTTCCGCACTTCCTAAGTGTTGGGCTTCCTCATTTGAGGTTTCTGTTGCCTTTCTTCCCTCTCTGTATGCTTAGGATGGGTGTGTACCTTCCCTGCCAAGGCGTGAGCTACCACTCATGTGCTGATGGCTTCAATGCCACTAGCTCTAGAGCCAATGTCCCGCTGGGCATCTTCATCCCCAGCTCTTCCGTGGACCCCCTCATGTCAAGATGCTTAAAACTGACCTTATCACCTTCCCTTCCAAAACTGTCTTTCCCTCTTGAGTTTTGTGCCTTCATTAATGACATTTAGTCTTCCAGTTTAGAAATATGGAGGCCATCCTAGCTATGTTCCTTTCATCCACTCAATCACCAAGTCCTGACAGTTCTACATCATTGTCATCTAGTCTCTCCACCCTAGCTTCCCATCCTCCTTGCCAGTGTCTTAGCCTGATGACATCTGCATCTTCTCCCAGGCTTTCAGCCTCTGGCTGCCTTTAGGAGTAGTCTTGCAGCACAAGGCCTGACATTAATTTCTTGCTTGAAACCTCCCGTGATTTTCTATTGCCTGGTGAAAAAAATCAGCACCTCGAGTAACTGATCAATGTCTGTTCAAGGAATTAATTGTTGTTCAAAAATGAAATTTCAATACAAAATACCAATAGTTACTGTTTATTGTACTGGGCTTAAAACTTTATTTTCATTTTCTTATTAAATCTGCATAGCAACCCTATGTGGAGGACATTTTAATTCCCATTTTGTAGCTGATATTGAGTCTTTAAGAAGCTGAGCAACTTTTGTGAAGAACTCCACTGGCAAGTGGCAGAAGTGGAAATGAAATGCAGGTGGGGTCAGACATGCACGGTCTTGTCATCATCTCTGTCTTGCTCCAGCAAGCAGGAGCCTCACAAACGGGCTCAGCTGAGTCTTTCCATTTCCCATTGATCTCTTCATCTCCTCCTATCATATACCATGTGTTTGTTTTTACTACAACTCAAATCCACCCTGACTTTCATATCATGACGTCTTTGCTACTTTCTCTGCCTCAGATGTTATTTACACCCAACAAATTCCTACTTCTATTGGAGGCCCCATTCCAATAGCACCTCTGTAAAAACTCTTCTCTGTAGTAGGCAGAGTCCATCATATTATCTTTTCTGCCAAAGCATCATACTTTGCTACCTTCCATACCACCCAGCATGCTATGATTTGAATGGCAGGTGACTGTCAATACACCAGAATATTCCAAGCTCCCTGATGGCAGGGACTGTATCTTATTCCACTTTGTAGCAGTTTGTAGCTGTCTTCAGTTCTAGGCTAGTGAGTGATGCAAAGGAACTGCTCAGTAAGTGGCTGTTGAATTAAATGGAGCCCAACCTCAAATATTGTGATGGCATTGCTGGTAATGTCAGTGTTAGAACAGTAATGTATTTTGAGTTATCACACTCCACAGTTTTATGGATCATTACTTGTGCATTCTGCTCTGTGCTATAAAGTTTGGAGGACATTGAAGATGGAAAAGCAGTTATCATATTGGCTAACATTAATTGGGCACTTACTATGTTTCTGGCTGTGTAGCTTCTCATTTAATCCTCATGCCAATCATGAGTTACAAAGTGTTTTATTCCGATTTGTAAGCAAGAAAGAGTGTTAAACCTGACTGAATTCACACACTGAAACATAAATGATAATGCATACTCTCATACTGGGAGATGCAGCAGAGGTACAGGAAAATGCAATGGACTGGAGATAAGGACCTGTGTCCTAGATAAGAACCCTATTTATAGTGTGAATTTGAGATCTCAGTTTTTTTCCCTCTATGAAACCCATACCAGGTCACACAGAGGAAATTTTTGTGGGTCATAAAATCTCAAAGAGACTTGTAGTGGTCCACCACTACCGTCTTCAATGTTTGCTGTGCATTTGGAACTTCCTAAACAGGTATTGCCTTGTATTCTGGGTTGAATAGTGTTTCCCCAAAATCCATGTCCACCTAAATCTGTGTATGTGACCTTATCTGGAATTAGGGTCCTTGAAAAATGCAATCTCATTAAGATGAGGTCTGACTGGATTAGGGTAGGTCATAATCCAATGACTGGTGTCCTTTTGAGAAGAGGGAAGTTCAGATGCACACAAACACAGAGGACAGCACTATGTAAGGTGGAGGCAGAGACTGGTGTGATATGTCTACAAGCCAAGAACACTAAGGATTACTGGCAACCTCTAGACAGTAGGAGAGAGGCATGGAAGAGATTCTCCTGCAGAGCCTCCAAAACAGAACCGACACAGCTAACACCTTGATTTCAGACTCTGAGCTTCCAAAACTGTGAGAGAATACATTTCTGTCGCTTCACCCAATTTGCAGTACTTTATGGTAGCCCTAGGAAGCTAATATACCTTGGATGATAATGATGATTTTTTTATGATGATGGTAGTAATAATAAAAAAAAATTGAATTGAATTTATTTCTG